>NC_000004.12:5426011-5732508 GCF_000001405.40 Homo sapiens
ACCTGAGTTGTTTACAGTTTTACATATTTATGAATAAAGCCATTATGGACATTTGCATACAGGTTTTATATGAGCTTAAATTTCCATTTCTCTGGAATAATTACCTAGAAGTGAGATTGCTGGATCATTTGGTAAGAAACTGCCAAACTGGTTTCTAGAATGGCTGGACCTCTTTCCATTCCCACAAGCAGCGAATGAGAGACCCGGTTGTTCTGTGTCCTTGCCAGTACTTGGTATCGTCCCATCGTTGAGGTCATTAGGCATTCTAATAGGTCAGTCGTGATTTCAGTTTGCAAATCCCTGGTAACTAATGGTGTTGAGCATCTTTTTGCTTGCCTGTTTGCCATCCATATATTTTCTGTGTGGAATATATGTTCAAATCATTTGCCTGTTAATTTATTGGATTATTTTGGCCGGGTGTGGTGGCTCATGCCTGTAATCTCAGCACTTAGGGAGGCTGAGTCAGGTAGGTCACTTGAGACCAGGATTTCAAGACCAGCCTGGCCAACATGGAGAAACCCTGTCTCTACTAAAAAATACAAAAAATTAACTGGGTGTGGTGGTGTGCACCTGTAATCCCACTTACTCAGGAGTCTGAAGGCCAGGAGGCGGAGGTTGCAATGAGCCAAGATCGCATCACTGCACTCCAGCCTGTGCAACAGGGCGAGACTCCATCTAAACAAAAAAAAAAAAAAAAAAAAAAGGAAAAGAAAAAAACACTTACTGGATTATTTTATTTCATTTTGAGAGTTTTAAAATATATCCTGGATAGAATTCCTTTATCAGATATATATTCTAAAAATATTTTCTCCAAGTCAGTGGCTTGTCTTTCTATTATCTTAAAAGAGTCTTCTTAAATTCATTTTTATTTGTTTTACTATTCAGGTGAAGCAGTGGGACTGCTAAAGGAACAAAGAAATCTGTTACCACTTGTGATCAATTAGTTATAAACACCACTATACTTAGACCAATTTAACAGTCTTTTTTAAAAGCTGAAGTTTTAAATTATGATGTCAACTATAAGGTTTTTGCAGTTCTTTATAAGGTGAAGAAGTTCCCTTCTACTTCCAATTTATTCGGTTTTTTAAAATCGTAAATGCATGTTGAATTTGGTCACATAGCATTTCTAAATCTGTCGAGATAATCCTGTGGTTTCTCTTCTATAGTCTGTTGAAATACTGCTGACTGACTTTGAAATGTTGAACCAGCCTTACCTTCCCAGAAGAAACCCTGTTTGATCATAACGTAGTATCTTTTACATATAATCCTTGAATCAATGTACTAATATCTTGTTCATAATATTTACATCTAGGTTCTTGAGGAATTTTTGTCTGTAGTTCTATTTTCTTGTAACAACTTGGTGTGGCTTTGGTATTAGAGTAATGCTGGCAACGTAGTTGAGAAGTGTTTCCTCCCCTTCTATTTTCTAAAAAAAATATGCCCAAGATTGGTATTATTTCTACACATATTTTGTAGAATTATGCAGTGAAGATATTTGGGCCTGGAGTTTTCTTTGAGGGAAAGTTTTTCACTGTGGATTCAATTTCTTTAACAGACATGGGACTATTCTGTTTATCTATTTCTTCAAGAACTAAGTAAATTTAAATAAGATTTGGTAGTTTATGTCTTTCAAGGAATTTCCCTAGTTCATCTAACTTTTCAAATGTTAGGGCATACAGTTATGTGTAATATCCCCTTATTATCCTTTTAATGAGTGTAAATTCTGTAGTGATGTCCCCTCTTTCAGTCCTGAATTGGTAATTGATGTTTTCTCTCTGGTTTTCCTGGTCATTCAGAGTACAGGTTTATCAAATGTATTGATCTTTTTAAAGAACCAGTTTTTGCTTTATTGATTTTCTCTATTATTTTTCTATTTTTTATTTTAATTTCTTCTCTCTTATCTCTTATGCCCTCCTTCTCTCTGCTTACTTTGAATTTAATTTATTCTTCTTATTCTAGTCTCTTAAGGTGGAAGTTTAGGTAATTTGAGACTTGTCTTATTTTCCTCCATAAGCATTTAATGCTATAAATTTTGTTTTAAGTCCAGCTTCAGCTGTATCCCACAAATTTAGATATATTGTGCTTTTAATTTCATTCAGTTAAAAACATTTCTAGGCCAGGCGTGATGGCTTATACCTGTAATCCCAGCAGTTTGGGAGGCCGACGCGGGCGGATCACAAGGTCAGGAGATCAAGATCATCCTGGTTAACACAGTGAAACCCCGTCTCTACTAAAAAATATAAAAAATTAGCCAGGCATAGTGGTGGGTGCCTGTAGTCCCAACTACTCGGGAGGCTGAGGCAGGAGAATGGCGTGAACCCGGGAGGTGGAGCTTGCAGTGAGCCGAGATAGCACCACTGCACTCTAGCCTGGGCAACAAAGTGAGACTCTGTCTAAAAAAAACAAAACAAACAAACAAAAAAACATTTTTCTGACAGTATTTGGGAATTTTTAATATATCTTTCATTGATGTTCAGTTTAATTCTGTCATGATCAGAGAAAATATTTTGTATGACTTCTTTTCTAAAAACTGGTGAAGTTTAATTTATGGTCTAGATATGATCTATCTTGGTTAATATTACATGCAAACTTGCAAAAATATGTATTGTCTTCTTTGGTCCTGTGTTCTATAAATGTCAATTAGGTCAAGTTATTTGATAACATTGCTCAGGTTTTGTATGTATTTTTGTTGATTTTTTGTCTACTTCTTATATCAATTACTAAGATGTAAGTGTTGGAATTCCCAGCTATGATTGTAAATTTCTCTGTTTTTCCTTGCTTTTCATTTAGGATCATTACGTCTTCTTGATAAATTGCCCCATTTATCATTATATAATGTCATTCTTATTCCTTGTTCTAAAGTCTGCTTTGCCTGATATTAATACAGCCACTTCAGCTTTCCTTTGGTTAGTGTTTACATGACATATCCAGTGGTTTGCTGGTAAATGTCTAACAGCTAGTTCTCTGGTAAAGAATAAACAAATCCCCCTAATTTATAGATTTTGATTTCCATGATATAAGGACTCCACCATGGCTGATTTCAAGTTAGCAATGAGACATCATCAAACACAGAGTTGGGAAGAGATGCTAACAGTATGCTCTTGTGAGCCAGTATAACCCTACTCTAGTACATCGCTGATAATATCTTTTTCTATCCTTTTATTTCTAACCTATCTCTTTGTCTTTATTTTTAAAGTACATTTCTTGTAGGCAATCTTTTAAATCCAGTCTAACAGTATCTGTCTTTTCATTGATATTTAGACCACTTATATTTAATATAATTATTGAGGTAATTTTATTTAAATCTATCATCTTGCCTTTTCTTGTATTTGTTTCATTTGGTCTTTGTTCCTCTTTTTCTTCCTTATTTTGGATTAGTTGATCCTTACTTATGATTCCACTTTAACTTCTCCATTGGCTTAGTTTTTATACCTCTTTAAAAAACAATATACATCTTCAATTAATCAGAAAATACCTTAAATCTGTTACAGCATGTGTAATCTTATAATATACCCAAATTCATTCTATTCATCTCTTTTTACTATAAATATATGTCATTGAATTTATTTTTGCTTCAAATAGTCAATTATATTTTGCAGTGGTTAAAAATAAAAAAAAACTTTGCATTTACCTTCTTTTTGCTATTTTCATATTCTTTCTTTGTGTAGCTTCAATTTTCTAGCTGTTATTATATTCATTCTACCTGGAGGACTTCCTTTAACAATTTTGACTATTAAAATCTACTGGTAATGAATTCTTTCTTTTTTTGGTTTGCTTATATAAGGAAAAGAATCTTTATTTCCTTATATTGTTACAAGATATTTTAACTGGATACAGAACTCTGGGTTAAGAGGGTGGTTTTTTTTTCCTTAGTCACTTAAATATTGCCACTCCATTGCTTCTTATTTGTAGTATTCCTGACAGCAAATCTGCTGTAATTCCTATCCCTGTTCCTCTGTAGGTAACATGCTTTTTTCCTTCAGCTGACTCCAAGATTTTCTCCCTCTTTTTGATTTTAGATATGATGTACCAAGGCATATTGGATTTGTTTTCTTTTTGATATTTACTCTGGTTGGTGTTTTCTGAGCTTTTTGGATATGTGGTTTGATTACTCATCATATTTAGAAAATTCTTGGTCATTATCTCTGCAAATATATATATTTTTGACCCATTCTCTCTCTACTCTGCTTCTGGGATTTCAAAACCCGAAGTGAGATGTTTGATATTTTCCCTCACAATATTTACATGCCCTCTTCTCCCCATCCCCCACCACACTGTTGTCTCTTAGTGTTTCACTTCAGGCAATTTCTTTTGACCTATCTTCAAGTCTATTGATAAACCTATTGGAAGCATTCTTTATCTCTGGCACTATGTTTTTGCATTTGTTTGTTTTTAGCATTTCCATCTGCTTTTATAGTTTCTGTCTTTCTATTGAAATCCCCGTCTGTTAACGCATGCTGTCCGCCTTTCCACTAAAGCCTTTGAAATGTTTTAAATTCCTTGTTTGTTAGGTCTGACATCTAGTTCATATCTGAGTATGATTCTGTTAATTTCTTTGTCTCTTCACAATGAGTTTTTGTTTTTTTGTCCTGTGTCTGATAATTTTTTATTAAAATCTTTGCATGATGTAAAGGAAAATGTTTATGCCTGGAAATGGACATGTTTCTTTTACTACTATGCTTTTAGTTTTCTTTGGAGGAGGAGGTAGCATTGAGTCAATCTAATTAGTAGTTGAGCTTGACTTGAGTTTTGTTGTTCTGTGGTTATTTTCAAAATACCAGCTTTAGAGTTGGGTTTTAGTGTGGTTACCAAAGTGTTTTCCTCAATGTTCCTGTTCCACCTTTGACTTAGGGTTTCTCTGTGAATCTGTGCCTTAAATAGGGTCTCTCTCTGTGCTCCTGTTCTCTAGCAATAGGCTTCTGTTTCTAGTTCCTTGACACTTGCTGATGTGGCAGAGGGTGGGGAGAGTAAATGTTTTCTGCTGCTTTGGTTCAACCTGTCTTAGGTAGGCTCTGTGTCAATGGGTCTTGGGGATCTTAGGGGTGATCCTATCTTTCTCCCAGCAATAGGAAACCACTAATGGTCTGATCCCAGGATCATGGTAGGGAAATGAAACTGCATTTGCTAAGGCCCTGAGGCAAAAGAAGCTTGGCCCATGGAACCAAAAGAAAACTAGTGTGACCTGAGCAAAGTCAGCAAGAAAGATAAACCTTGAGAAGTGTGTAGGGCCAGATCATGTATTACCTGTGTGCTACATTATAGCTTTTGGTTTTTTATAGCAAGTTCAATGGAAAATTCTAAATAACATTAATTGCCTTGGATAAATAGAGAATTTGGAATCCTTTAAGAGAGTGGTACTGGATAAACTAACTTTTCTGTCATCCCATACGCTATTTAGAAGTTCATCTCAAGTTTCACATATTGACTGTAAAATGCACTGATTCTAATTCTGTGCTTCCAGTTAGAACATCATTTCTCCATGAAAACTTCCAAAAGTCCTTTTTTTTTTTATTTACTAGTTGAATTGAACACATTTAACATGAAGTAGCTTTCTGATACTGGTGCATCATTTATTTCTGCCCTTTATCAGAGCTTACGTATTTACTCATTAGCCAATTAAACATTGTTTCCTCTCCTTCTTCCTATGCATAACTCTGAAATACTAATGGTCAACAGCTGAGCGGTTTCTTGCATACTTTAGTGAAATGAGCTTTCTATTGCTAGCAATGCTACTAGCATCTCCCCAAAAAGAGAAATTATCAGACTGATGCAGTGGTTTCATGTTATCTCAAATTAATATGTAAGCGTGTGACACCTGAGTTCATTTGACTAGCCAAGAGCCAAAGAAATATAAATTACCCCCCAAAGGATTAAGAGAGAGGCCAGGCATGCTACTTATCTCTTCTTTCCACAGCTTCTTGGCACACTTTAATGCAATGAATTATGACAGAGCTCTTGAATCATTACCTTGATGAGTTGGGCTTCCATTTATGCATTCATTTCATTGTCCATTCAGTAATAATGAATTACTGTAACAAAAACTAGCTTACATCTGTTGAGAACTTACTTTGTGTCAATCTCTGAAGTAAATGCGTCAATAAGTTGTCTCATTATGGGGTAAGGGCTAGTATTATTCCATGGAATCTGAAACTCAAAAGTTAAATGCTTGCCCAGTGACAAACAGCCAGCAAAGGTAGCCGTTGAGATTCAAAGCCAGAACTCTGTGACTTAAGTTCTTTGCCACTATGATGCATTAAGCATCTACTTCTAGATCAACTACATGCTAATCCCTTTGAATCTGGAGCTGACTTAGTCATGTTTCTGCCTTCAGAGAGCTACCCAGTGGGGGAGATGGACATGTAACTATTAATTAAAATATAGCATGATAAGGAACTAGCAAAGGTTTGGTAAGAATCTAGACCGTAGATCGATGTATTAATAGTTTGCCAAGAGAGAGGGTAAGATGGGAAACAGGAATAGCAAGGAACTTGATGAACATTCCATGGTGAAATGTGGTCTGAGTCTTGAAGTATGAATAGGAGTTCATGAATAGGAGTTCATGAATATGAATATGAAAAGCAGGGTAAAGTCATTGATGATTCAAAATATAGTATATCCTATTCTTTGAACCTGGCACAATGGGTGTAATAAGAATAGTGGCCAAATATGATGGTGCCTGGGGCCTGTTTTTAGGAAGTTTTCATGCTAAAAAGCTTGAACTTCATTCATAGTAAATAGCAAACTTGGAATGATTTTGAGCAAGTAGTTTGAACATGTGAATAATAACAATAATACTAGATACCATTTATTGAGCACTTACTATGTGCTTAATCAAGATATACATAGCCGTTTTCTCTTCACAATAAGATTTTGTAGCAGACATTGTTATTCCTTCTTACAGATGAGTAAACTGAGGTACATATAAGAGGTTAAGCAGCTTCCCCAAGGTCATTGTGCCAGTAAGCATGGGAGCTGAGGTTCAGTTGCAGGCCTGAGTAATTACCACTTTCATAACCCCTTTGTTTCACTGATTCTACTACTTACAAGTCTCTCAGGGGCAGCTGGAGTTGGGATTAAAGAGCCCCAGGCTGGAGACAGGCAAGTGGTTGAGGGAGCAAAAATGAGACCAGACAGAGATGAAAAAGGACCAGAGTAGAGGATAGAAAGGAGGATAGAGAGGAAGTTTCTGGAAGGGAAAATAAGTCTTGGTGACCAATCAAATGGTCAAATACAAAGGCGGAAAGAGTCCTAGAGTCGAAGTTGACTCCCAGGTTTCTGACTGTGCTGCTGAAAAGACCCTTGCGGCTGAGACTGAGAACCCAGGAGAAGGGGCAGTTTGAAAGCTTGCTTCAGACAGGTTGAGTTGTGCCCATGGGACCTGTAGGTGTAAGTGTCCGGTGGGTGTTAGCTACCCAGATCTGGCCATCCTGCCAGCCAGGATGTGGAAACTGGAGACATGGTCTTGCCTTGAAGAAAGTATCAGTGGGTAGGAGACTTGGGTTCTAGTCCCAGCTGGGCCAGAAGTCATTTAACTCCTCCATTCGGACTTGGCTTCCTTGTCTATAACATTTAAGGGAGGAAGGAAATTACCTTGAAGGCCCCCTCTAGGCCAAAATTTAGTAATTCTGTGTTCCCAGTCAAGAAGAGAGCAAACACCTGTGGAAACAGATCCTGGAAGGCTGTCAGCTCGCAGGCTAGATGTTGAATAGCATTTCACACTCCACTGCAAATATCAAAACCTTCAGCAATATTCACAGAGCTCACTGCAGCAGGCTAATAATTATACTTCAGGAGGTGATTGTATGCTTTCCATATTTTTAGTCTAATGAGGGAGTAAACTCTGTGTGGTTAGTGAGGGGGCAAATCCCACCACATGCACATCTACATTTCTGAGGGAAAGAAAGGCGATGTCTCATTTCACGCCCCATGTTCCTGCTTTTCTGGAAGGCCCGTTATATGATGCCCTAATGCTCCTTGGCATCAAAACTCACTTTTCATTTCAAACTTTCATTGGCGGAATTGCTCAACCACTGGTAGAGATGGTTAGCAGTAGGTGAGGCTGATCTTTCCAGGCCATTGCAGGGCAGCCAGAGTTCCCTGGTGCCCAGTGTCCGCCCAGTGTATTTTGGACTCACAAGAATCCATAAAGCATGCACCATGCACCCCATGCAGTGAAAGACAATGGGCAAGAAAGCAGGCACTGTCAGGGAATGTGAATCAAGATCCAGTTTCAAGAGGATTTTATATCATTTTTATTAATAGCAAAACCATATTTATTATCCTTCTTTTATCTACTAATTCAATTGGAACCAAAACTAATAGATGACTAATTCAATTGCAACCAAAACTAAGAGTGTTTATGAACGTCAGGAAATTTTGGAATATAAAACATAGAGAGTATATGCTATATGTGTGCATGTATGTGTGTGTGTGTGTGTGTGTGTATATATATATATATATATGATTTTTATATTCAGCATGTTTATAAAGATGGCATAATTGCTGGAAAATGTATGGCCTTTGAAGGAGACAGAACTAGGTTGTCATCATTCTGGTTGATCTTGGGGAATGGAACTGGGTTCAAATAAGCCTTAGTAGCTGTGTCACCTCAGATGTGGTACCCACTCTCTCCAAGCCTTTGCTTCCCGAAATGGAGGTAGTACCCACCTGACAAGGTCCTTGTGAGATAACACATAGACACTCATGAGATAACACATAGACACTGAGCACAGTCCCTAGCATCTAGAAGTGCTCTCTAAACATTAGCTTTTCCAAGACATGAATAGCATATGTAAAGAATTAAGAAGAGCTTCTGGCACACAGTAGACTCAATAAATGGCCCCCCTAAGATCGCAACTATTGGCATTGTCAGTAAAGCCACTATTCGTAATAATAGTGGAACAGCTGTATTGAGCCCTGGCCTTAAAGTTATAAGACTGACATTCTGGTCTGGGCTCCTTCACTCATCTCCATGGCCCTGAACATAGCCCCTAATCTCTGTGGGCCTCAGCTTCTTCATCCATGGCCTATGGTGCTTCAAGGATGGGAAGACTGACATGTGGAGGCATCTGTTCCCCACAAAGCCCTGCACGAATGCTGTGGACATGATGGCAGTTACAGTTGGCATTTCCAATGGCTGATAAATAGATTCAGGGTTGGCCATTCCCCTTACCAAAACATTGGAAGAAGCTTTAGTTGTTGTTGTTGTTTCATGGAAGGCCTTGGGGAATTGTATTCATTTATAATCTAAGCAGGTGTAACTGGTCTTTGGACCCTGGACTACCTTTCTGGGCATAACCACAGCCTACCACGATTATCTGCTTGATCTGTTGTTTGCTGTCCCGGTGAGCCAGGGCTGCCCCTAGAGCTGCCTTTATCACACACGTGCCCCAGGGGGTCCTCAGTCCCAGCCTTTTCTGTGTCGTCCCAGAGCAACTCGCTCCTTCCTCTGCAAGAATCCTGAGCAGCTAGCTCAAAGCCCATGCTATAAAGATGAATCAGTACTCTTAAAACAAGACTTTGCACAGAGCAGATGCTCCTTAAAGATTAACTGTTTTAATTAGCAGGATGTAAAGAGCTTAGACAGTGCTTGGCACACAACAAGGGCAATAGAAGTGTTTGCTATTTTTATTATGACTGTTTATTTATTTAGTCAGTTAACAAATTTTTCCTGCATATCTTCTTGGTACCAGGCAGGGGATGAGGCACCAGAGAGAACACAACACTCTCTGCCCTCAAGGAGCTTGGAGTCAAGAGAAAAGGGAGACAACTAAGCAAAAATGCATGAGGAGATGAAGAGCATGGGGGAAATGAGGAAGCCCCTGTCTAGCCTGGGCAGGAGGGAGATGGTAAGGAAGTGATAATAGCAGAGGCCTATTCTGAGGAGTCCACTGTACCTGTGAAGAGCCTTGTCTGGCACATGGTAGGTTCCTGGAGGACGAAACCCTAGGGCTGCACCTTCTGTGAGTTGGGAAAGAGTGTCAGGAACAGAGACAGAGACAGGGTGTTCCAGGAACAGCACGCAGCATGGAGCCAGGGTGGCCATGGGCAAGCAGGGCGGCACAAGACAGCTTGGGGCCTCAGTGCTGGGCCGTGGATTTGAACTGCCCTCTGGGCCAGACTGGTCCCCAGCCCTAGTACCTTGTGTTCCACCAAAAATTAAAAATAGGAAAGATTCCAGGATCAAGTCAAATACATTTCCAAGCCATGCCTGCTACTGAGTTGGGCCCCTGTGAACATCACCAAAGCACATCAGCACACGAAAGGCTCTGAGGATGATGGTAGAACACAGCAATATTGATGTCATAATCCCTATGCCACCAAAATGATGTCATTGGCTGCTCAGAATCCCAGCACTTAGATGCGAGAGAACTACACAGGTTTAGAGCTGAAAGGACATGGATCCAGTGGCATTGCAAGGAACACAGTTTATGAAACAGCCACCGTGATGGGAAGATCTTTTAGCAGGGAATACCATCATCTGTGGCATGTCAGAAAACTGACTCTCTGGTCAGCAGTGAGAAGGACAGATTGGAGGTCTCTCTGGGTCCAGAGGCCCAGCTGGGAAGCTATGCTGCTCCTAGGGGACTAGAAGGGAAAACAAGCATCAGAACATGAGCAGCATGTGAGCAAAGCTGAGGAAGGGAGGGTACACGCGCTATTAGGAGTTAGAATCACGCAGAATTGGCAGCTGAATATCACTGTGACAGTCATGGGAATTCCCTGAACCTAGGAGTCAGGACCAAGAATTCTAGACTTGACCTCAGGGGTACTACTGGGTGGTTGAGGCAAGCTACTCTTCCTCCTCAGGCCCAGTGTCCAATTCTAATAAGGAGGTGTGGAGAACACGATGAGTTTCAAGGGACCCTTCAGCCCTGCGATGTTGACATCTCGAGATGCTGTGAGCTGTTTCCACCTCTGTTGCAAACATCAGTGAGCCAGACAAGCCCTATGGCATCAGGGTGAAAGAGCCAGTCCACACATTTATTAAGTGCCTTCTGTATACTGGGCTGAGCACCAGGTCCTGGGAGGGAAGGAAGGAGGGTGGAAGGGTGCACCAGGGCACCAATCCCCAGATAACTCAATTACTCCTGGCGGTTGCCCAGTACACGGGAAAGGACCCTGGAGTCAGAAAACCAAGAGGTGCTAATCCCAGCTCTGCTGTGCTAACTGGGTGACCTTGGCAAGTTCCTTACCCCTTGTATTCATTTATTGTGTCTGCAAAACAAATTACTACGAACTGAGTGGCCTGAAACAATAGAAGTTCATTTTCCCACAGTTGTGGAGGCTGAAAGTCCAATATCAAGGGGCCAGCAGGGCCATGTGCCCTCAGAAGCCACGGGAGGATTCTTTCTGCCTCTTTGAGCTTCCAGTAGCTCCAGGCGTTCCTTGGCTTGTGGCCGCATTGCCCTGATCTGCCTTTGTCTTCACATGGCCGTCTTCTCTGTGTCTCAGATCTTTCCTTTCTCTTATAAAGACATCAGTTGTTGGATTTAGGGCCCAATCTAAATCCAGGATGATTTTATCTTGAGATACTTGATTACATTTACAAAGACCTTATTTTCAAATATGGCCCTATTCACAGGTCCCAGGAGTTAGGACTTGAACATAGCTTTTAGGGGGCAATGATTCGGCCCACTACATCTCCAAATGCCTCTGCCTCCTCATCAGAAAAATGAAGATCATAGTAGCATTTATCCTGTTGGGTGGTTGGGAGAATTAAAGAGGTAATATAGTCCTTAACATGGCACCTGACAAATCACGGTTGCTATTGTTCAGATATGTGGTTCACACCTGTCCTTCCAGCTCTAAACCTGTGTAGTTCTCTCACGTCTAAGTGCTGGGATTCTGAACAGCCAATGACATCATTTTGGTGGCATAGGGATTATGATATCAATATTGTTGTGTTCTACCATCAGCTCCAAGTGTGTGGGGGAGGAGGGAATGTCACCTTCTCTAGGACTGCAGACATTTGTCGCTTGTCTGATCATGACAGCCAGGACAGGATCACTCTGCTGCTGCTTCTACCCTGAGTTCTGAATGGACTTGGGGCTGCCAGGCATGACAAGGTTTGATGGGGAACACCTCGGCACACACAGCCATTCTGCACTGCTGGGTGCACCCTGCGCTATTGGAGCTTGTGGGCTGGCCCAGCATGAAGGGACTCCTTTTCTCTCAAGCCCTCAGGACTGAGAAGAGGAACAGGCACACACTCTGGTGCAGGGAAGGAAGTCCCTGTAGGCTGAAGCCCAGCTTCGGGCTCAGTGGTGGGATCCAGGTGGGATTCGGAATAGCACAGATCAGTGCCCAGCATGTACTAGGAAAGCATTAAATATTCACTCATCCGATGCTTAATGAACAAGTGTGATCACTGACTTTGGAGTCAGGATGATCTATCACCGATAGGAAGAGGCAGACAAAAAGATGCTGAAAATACAAAACACACAGAATTTGGAGACTGATCGTTCATGAGGCTGAGGAGGATGGCATTTAGGAGGGTTCCCAGATTTCTGGTTTGGGTAACTGATGGACGATGGGGAGGCCAAGCATGGCAGAGGAAGCGGAGGTTGGAGTGATTTGACTTTTTTTGTTTTTGTTTTTGTTTTTATACTTTAAGTTTTAGGGTACATGTGCACATTGTGCAGGTTAGTTACATATGTATACATGTGCCATGCTGGTGCGCTGCACCCACTAACTCGTCATCTAGCATTGGGTATATCTCCCGATGCTATCCCTCCTCCCTCCCCACACCCCACAACAGTTCCCAGAGTATGATATTCCCCTTCCTGTGTCCATGTGATCTCATTGTTCAATTCCCACCTATGAGTGACAATATGCGGTGTTTGGTTTTTTGTTCTTGGGATAATTTACTGAGAATGATGATTTCCAATTTCATCCATGTCCCTACAAAGGACATGAACTCATCATTTTTTATGGCTGCATAGTATTCCATGGTGTGTATGTGCCACATTTTCTTAATCCAGTCTATCATTGTTGGACATTTGGGTTGGTTCCAAGTCTTTGCTATTGTGAATAATGCCGCAATAAACATATGTGTGCATGTGTCTTTATAGCAGCATGATTTATAGTCCTTTGGGTATATACCCAGTAATGGGATGGCTGGGTCAAATGGTATTTCTAGTTCTAGATCCCTGAGGAATCGCCACACTGACTTCCACAATGGTTGAACTAGTTTACAGTCCCACCAACAGTGTGAAAGTGTTCCTATTTCTCCACATCCTCTCCAGCACCTGTTGTTTCCTGACTTTTTAATGATTGCCATTCTAACTGGTGTGAGATGGTATTTCATTGTGGTTTGGATTTGCATTTCTCTGATGGCCAGTGATGATGAGCATTTTTTCATGTGTTTTTTGGCTGCATAAATGTCTTCTTTTGAGAAATGTCTGTTCATGTCCTTCGCCCACTTTTTGATGGGGTTGTTTGTTTTTTTCTTGTAAATTTGTTTGAGTTCATTGTAGATTCTGGATATTAGCCCTTTGTCAGATGAGTAGGTTGTGAAATTTTTCTCCCATTTTGTAGGTTGCCTGTTCACTCTGATGGTAGTTTCTTTTGCTGTGCAGAAGCTCTTTAGTTTAATTAGATCCCATTTGTCAATTTTGGCTTTTGTTGCCATTGCTTTTGCTGTTTTAGACATGAAGTCCTTGCCCTTGCCTATGTCCTGAATGGTAATTCCCAAGTTTTCTTCTAGGGTTTATATGGTTTTAGGTCTAACGTTTAAGTCTTTAATCCATCTTGAATTGATTTTTGTATAAGGTGTAAGGAAGGGATCCAGTTTCAGCTTTCTCCATATGGCTAGCCAGTTTTCCCAGCACCATTTATTAAATAGGGAATCCTTTCCCCATTGCTTGTTTTTCTCAGGTTTGTCAAAGATCAGATAGTTGTAGATATGCGGCATTATTTCTAAGGGCTCTGTTGTGTTCCATTGATCTATATCTCTGTTTTGGTACAAGTACCATGCTGTTTTGGTTACTGTAGTCTTGTAGTATAGTTTGAAGTCAGGTAGTGTGATGCCTCCAGCTTTGTTCTTTTGGCTTAGGATTGACTTGGCGATGCGGGCTCTTTTTTGGTTCCATATGAACTTTAAAGTAGTTTTTTCCAATTCTGTGAAGAAAGTCTTTGGTAGCTTGATGGGGATGGCATTGAATCTGTAAACTACCTTGGGCAGTATGGCCATTTTCACGATATTGATTCTTCCTACCCATGAGCATGGAATGTTCTTCCATTTCTTTGTATCCTCTTTTATTTCCTTGAGCAGTGGCTTGTAGTTCTCCTTGAAGAGGTCCTACACATCCCTTGTAAGTTGGATTCCTAGGTATTTTATTCTCTTTGAAGCAATTGTGAATGGGAGTTCACTCATGATTTGGCACTCTGTTTGTCTGTTGTTGGTGTGTAAGAATGCTTGTGATTTTTGTACATTGATTTTGTATCCTGAGACTTTGCTGAAGTTGCTTATCAGCTTAAGGAGATTTTGGGCTGAGACAATGGGGTTTTCTAGATATACAATCATGTCATCTGCAAACAGAGACAATTTGTCTTTCTCTTTTCCTAATTGAATACCCTTTATTTCCTTCTCCTGCCTAATTACCCTGGCCAGAACCTCCAACACTATGTTGAATAAGAGTGGTGAGAGAGGGCATCCCTGTCTTGTGCTAGTTTTCAAAGGAAATGCTTCCAGTTTTTGCCCATTCAGTATGATATTGGCTGTGGGTTTGTCATAGATAGCTCTTATTATTTTGAAATATGTCCCATCATTACCTAATTTATTGAGAGTTTTTAGCATGAAGGGTTGTTGAATTTTGTCAAAGGCCTTTTCTGCATCTATTGAGATAATCATGTGGTTTTTGTCTTTAGTTCTGTTTATATGCTGGATTACATTTATTGATTTGTGTATATTGAACCAGCCTTGCATCCCAGGGATGAAGCCCACTTGATCATGGTGGATAAGCTTTTTGATGTGCTGCTGGATTCGTTTTGCCAGTATTTTATTGAGGATTTTTGCATCAATGTTCATCAAGGATATTGGTCTAAAATTCTCTTTTTTGGTTGTGTCTCTGCCTGGCTTTGGTATCAGGATGATGCTGGCCTCATAAAATGAGTTAGGGAGGATTCCCTCTTTTTCTATTGATTGGAATAGTTTCAGAAGGAATGGTACCAGTTCCTCCTTGTACCTCTGGTAGAATTTGGCTGTGAATCCATCTGGTCCTGGACTCTTTTTGGTTGGTAAGCTATTGATTATTGCCACAACTTCAGCTCCTGTTATTGGTCTATTCAGAGATTCAACTTCTTCCTGGTTTAGTCTTGGGAGAGTGTATGTGTCCAGGAATTTATCCATTTCTTCTAGATTTTCTAGTTTATTTGCGTAGAGGTGTTTGTAGTATTCTCTGATGGTAGTTTGTATTTCTGTGGGATCAGTGGTGATATCCCCTTTATCATTTTTTATTGCATCTATTTGATTCTTCTCTTTTTTTCTTTATTAGTCTTGCTAGCAGTCTATCTATTTTGTTGATCCTTTCAAAAAACCAGCTCCTGGATTCATTAATTTTTTGAAGGGTTTTTTGTGTCTCTATTTCCTTCAGTTCTGCTCTGGTTTTAGTTATTTCTTGCCTTCTGCTAGCTTTTGAATGTGTTTGCTCTTGCTTCTGTAGTTCTTTTAATTGTGATGTTAGGGTGTCAATTTTGGATCTTTCCTGCTTTCTCTTGTGGGCATTTAGTGCTATAAATTTCCCTCTACACACTGCTTTGAATGTGTCCCAGAGATTCTGGTATGTTGTGTCTTTGTTCTCGTTGGTTTCAAAGAACATCTTTATTTCTGCCTTCATTTCGTTATGTACCCAGTAGTCATTCAGGAGCAGGTTGTTCAGTTTCCATGTAGTTGAGCAGTTTTGAGTGAGATTCTTAATCCTGAGTTCTAGTTTGATTGCACTGTGGTCTGAGAGATAGTTTGTTATAATTTCTGTTCTTTTACATTTGCTGAGGAGAGCTTTACTTCCAAGTATGTGGTCAATTTTGGAATAGGTGTGGTGTGGTGCTGAAAAAAATGTATATTCTGTTGATTTGGGGTGGAGAGTTCTGTAGATGTCTATTAGGTCCGCTTGGTGCAGAGCTGAGTTCAATTCCTGGGTATCCTTGTTGACTTTCTGTCTCGTTGATCTGTCTAATGTTGACAGTGGGGTGTTAAAGTCTCCCATTATTAATGTGTGGGAGTCTAAGTCTCTTTGTAGGTCACTCAGGACTTGCTTCATGAATCTTGGTGCTCCTGTATTGGTTGCATATATATTTAGAATAGTTAGCTCTTCTTGTTGAATTGATCCCTTTACCATTATGTAATGGTCTTCTTTGTCTCTTTTGATCTTTGTTGGTTTAAAGTCTGTTTTATCAGAGACTAGGATTGCAACCCCTGCCTTTTTTTGTTTTCCACTGGCTTGGTAGATCTTCCTCCATCCTTTTATTTTGAGCCTATGTGTGTCTCTGCACGTGAGATGGATTTCCTGAATACAGCACACTGATGGGTCTTGACTCTTTATCCAATTTGCCAGTCTGTGTCTTTTAATTGGAGCATTTAGTCCATTTACATTTAAAGTTAATATTGTTATGTGTGAATTTGATCCTGTCATGATGATGTTAGCTGGTTATTTTGCTCGTTAGTTGATGCAGTTTCTTCCTAGTCTTGATGGTCTTTACATTTTGGCATGATTTTGCAGTGGCTGGTACCGGTTGTTCCTTTCCATGTTTAGTTCTTCCTTCAGGAGCTCTTGTAAGGCAGGCCTGGTGGTGACACAATCTCTCAGCATTTGCTTGTCTGTAAAGGATTTTATTTCTCCTTCACTGATGAAGCTTAGTTTGGCTGGATATGAAATTCTGGGTTGAAAATTCTTTTCTTTAAGAATGTTGAATATTGGCCCCCACTCTCTTCTGGCTTGTAGGGTGTCTGCCGAGAGATCCGCTGTTAGTCTGATGGGCTTCCCTTTGAGGGTAACCCGACCTTTCTCTCTGGCTGCCCTTAACATTTTTTCCTTCATTTCAACTTTGGTGAATCTGACAATTATGTGTCTTGGAGTTGCTCTTCTCGAGGAGTATCTTGGTGGCATTCTCTGTATTTCCTGAATCTGAACGTTGGCCTGCCTTGCTAGATTGGGGAAGTTCTCCTGGATAATATCCTGCAGAGTGTTTTCCAACTTGGTTCCATTCTCCCCATCACTTTCAGGTACACCAATCAGACGTAGATTTGGTCTTTTCACATAGTCCCATATTTCTTGGAGGCTTTGCTCGTTTCTTTTTATTCTTTTTTCTCTAAACTTCCCTTCTCGCTTCATTTCATTCATTTCATCTTCCATTGCTGATACCCTTTTTCCAGTTGATCGCATCGGCTCCTGAGGCTTCTGCATTCTTCACGTAGTTCTCGAGCCTTGGTTTTCAGCTCCATCAGCTCCTTTAAGCACTCCTCTGTATTGGTTATTCTAGTTATACATTCTTCTACATTTTTTTCAAAGTTTTCAACTTCTTTGCCTTTGGTTTGAATGTCCTCCCATAGCTCAGAGTAATTTGATCGTCTGAAGCCTTCTCTCAGCTTGTCAAAGTCATTCTCCATCCAGCTTTGTTCCGTTGCTGGTGAGGAACTGCATTCCTTTGGAGGAGGAGAGGCGCTCTGCTTTTTAGAGTTTCCAGTTTTTCTGTTCTGTTTTTTCCCCATCTTTGTGGTTTTATCTACTTTTGGTCTTTGATGATGGTGATGTACAGATGGGTTTTTGGTGTGGATGTCCTTTCTGTTTATTAGTTTTCCTTCTAACAGACAGGACCCTCAGCTGCAGGTCTGTTGGAATACCCTGCCATGTGAGGTGTCAGTGTGCCCCTGCTGGGGGGTGCCTGCCAGTCAGGCTGCTCGGTGGTCAGGGGTCAGGCACCCACTTGAGGAGGCAGTCTGCCAGTTCTCAGATCTCCAGCTGCGTGCTGGGAGAACCACTGCTCTCTTCAAAGCTGTCAGACAGGGACATTTAAGTCTGCAGAGGTTACTACTGTCTTTTTGTTTGTCTGTGCCCTGCCCCCAGAGGTGGAGCCTACAGAGGCAGGCAGGCCTCCTTGAGCTGTGGTGGGCTCCGCCCAGTTGGAGCTTCCGGGCTGCTTTGTTTACCTAATCAAGCCTGGGCAATGGCGGGCGCCCCTCCCCCAGCCTCGCTGCCGCCTTGCAGTTTGATCTCAGACTGCTGTGCTAGCAATCAGCGAGACTCCGTGGGTGTAGGACCCTCCAAGTCAGGTGCGGGATATAATCTTGTGGTGCACCGTTTTTTAAGCCCGTCGGAAAAGCGCAGTATTTGGGTGGGAGTGACCCGATTTTCCAGGTGCCGTCCGTCACCCCTTTCTTTGACTCGGAAAGGGAACTCCCTGACCCCTTGCGCTTCCCAAGTGAGGCAATGCCTCGCCCTGCTTTGGCTCGCGCACTGTGCGCACACCCACTGACCTGCGCCCACTGTCTGGCACTCCCTAGTGAGATGAACCCGGTACCTCAGATGGAAATGCAGAAATCACCCGTCTTCTGCGTCGCTCACACTGGGAGCTGTTGACCGGAGCTGTTCCTATTCGGCCATCTTGGCTCCTCCCCCCGCCTTGGGCATTCTTAAGGATCATGATTTGACTGTTAGTAATGCCTAATGTTCATGGAGCACTCACTACGGGCCAGGCATCCTGCTAAACTCTTAGTATAGATTATCTTATTTAATCTACTTAATCCTCACAACAGCCCAATGAATAAACCATTATTATTATCTACATTCTACACAACTGAGGCAGAGAGAAGGTAAGTCACTTATCACTAACAGGTAACTCCAGCAGCACCAGTGGTCTTCCTGTTTCCCAGGGCACAATGTCAGTTCCTTTGTAAGGACCAAATAATCTAAGGGACATGTTCTCAAATTCCCAAGTGCACCATTCCACTATGTGGCACTGAGTATGTAGTTTGTGCTGAACGAAATGTTGAGACGAACCTTACTTCAAACAGGAATTCAGCAGACCTGTAAGGTGCATCTCAGCTTTGCATTTCCTGGCTGTGTGACCTCTTCATACTGCTGGCCCTCTCTGAACCTCCCCTGTAAAACATGTCCCCGGAGGCTGTTGTGAAGAGGAAAGGAGAGCCCGTGGGTGAAAGTGCACTTAGAAAATGTGAAGCAAATGGAGAATATCGCCAGGGGGCAGCTAGAATGTGGCTGCTGGTCAGATTCAAGTGTGTAGCTGCCCAGCCAGCGCCCCCAGGTCAACTCATCCTGGATCTTGTTTCCATGCCGAGTGAATGCCCATCTAGAAACTGAGTTGAGACAGCTTTAATCACAACAGTATGTGGCTCCCCGGGGCAGATTTCGGCTGCTCTGACAACTGTAAAATGGACTTATGCCTGCAAATTAATTTACTAGAAATAATGAACATTTCACAAAATGTTCCTGGAAGCCCACATAGACAATTAGACCCTACAATGCACTCCGGGCCTAGTGAGGTGGAGGTGAGGCACTGAGATAACCCACCACTCAGCCCCTTGGAGAGTGATCAGAGACAAGGACCCCAGGACAAATGCAGCACCCTGAAGAATAAGGGTCCACCACTCTTGGGCCTCCATCCCCTTCGCTGTATTTTTTCTATTGAGGTGAAATTCACATAAGATAAAATTAGCCATTTTAAAGTGAACAATTCAGTAGCATTCAGTACATTCACAATGTTTTATGAGCACCGCCTCTGTCTAGTTCCAACCCATTTGTTTTCAGCAACCCCAAAGGAAAACCGGTACCCATGAAGGAGGTGCACCCACCCTCCCTTCCCCACCCACAGCCCCTAGCAACTTCCAATCTGCTTTCTGTCTTGTGGATTTACTCATTGTGGGTATTTCATGTTAGATGTCACCTATGCTAAAATATAGTTGTCCCTGAGATAGGCCCCAGGCACAGAGCTCTAAGTGTCCATTTCTCAAGGTTCTCAACCCCCTGGGGGTTCTGTTCCTCTTCCTCACTCTGGGTTTACCCCACCCGTTCTCCCAGCAAACATACTCCACCAATCCACCCCCTCCAGGGGCATGTCTTCCCTTTCGCCAAGTGGACGGCCCTTCCATGCCCCCTCAGGGCATCCCATCTGCATTCCACCCGGTAGTGTCACGCCAGTGCTTCCTGTGATGCCTGTAACTTGTTCTCAGACAGCTCATGGCTTACTGAGGGTACAAACCACATGGCATAGTGAAAAAAGTACAGGTTTTACTGTCCAAGAAAGCTAGATTTCTGACCGGATGCGATGGCTCACGCCTGTAATCCCAGCACTTTGGGAGGCTGAGGCGGGCAGATCACCTGAGGCCAAGAGTTCGAGACCAGCCTGGCCAACAAGGTGAAACCCCATCCCTACTAAAAATATCACAATTAGCCAGGCATGGTGGCAGGTGCCTGTAATCTCAGCTGCTCGGCAGGCTGAGGAAGGAGAATCGCTTGAACTAAGGCACAGAGGAGCCGACATTGCGCCATTATGTGCCAGCCTGGGCAGCAGAGCAAAACTCTATCTCAAAAAAAAACAAAAAAAAAAAAAACAAGCTCAATTTCTCTCCTTGTCCCCTCTCTAAGGGGTGGTGGCCATAAACTGGGATACACAATGATGTTCTCCTTGTCCTCTCGTTGGCAGCTCCAGAAGTATTCCAGGTGTACATGGACAGAGGCCCCGGATACTCGTACCCTGTCGACTGGTGGTCCCTGGGCATCACAGCCTATGAGCTGCTGCGGGGCTGGGTAAGACAGGCACCTGTGCGGTACACACGAGGGGCTGTGCAGTGGGGGCTCACGTTGTACCTGGACGGGCAGAGTCGGCAGGGCCCGCGGTGCAGGAAGGAGCACTGGGGGAGTCACTGCCCCCCAGGTTTCAGTCCTGATGCCTGTGTGCCGCCTATGAACGCCCTGAACTTCTGGTCCAACCCACTCATTGTACAGATGGGAAAGAGGCATTCAGTGGGGGAGGGTCTTACACAAAGGCCCACAGCGGATCAGTGACAAGTCAAACATCAAAGCGCCTTGGCCTCGTGGTTTCAAACACTGTCCTCTTTGAACCCACAACACAAGGTCTTCATGTCTGATTTTCTAGCTGATTGGAAAATCTTTAAAGGTGAAGACCATGCTTCTTTTTTCTCTTTGTTTCACATCTTCCCTGAATATCTAACTCAGTGTCCTATAAAAATGGGACATTCAATCAATACGTATTTGTATTTTATTGCATTTAAATTTACAAGCTGAAGATGATTAATGGGGCTATTTGGTGGCTGTAATAACACATTTTTTTGTTTGAGCAGAAAGTATTATGTCTAGGCCAGGCACAGTGGCTCAGCACTGTAATCCCAGCACTTTGGGAGGCTGAGGTGGGAGGATTGCTTGAGCCCAGGAATTTGAGACCAGCCTGGGAAACATAGGGAAATTACATCTCTACAAATAATAATAATTTAAAAAAAATAGCTGAGCGTGGTGGCACTCGCTTGTAGTCTCAGCTACTTGGGAGGCTGAGGCAGGAGAATCACTTGAGCCTGGGAGGTCAAGGCTGCAGTGAGCCATGATGGCACCACTGCACTCTAGCCTAGGTGACAGAGTGAGGCCCTGTCTCAGAAAAAGAAAGTACTTTGACTAAAATTCATTTTGAGGTGTTATTTCTTTGCACAAGTATCATTTGAAAAGGATGTCACTTCACCATGTCTCAGGACCATGGTTTCCTCATTGTTATAACGGGGATAATAAGATCCTTTCTGTCTATTTAGCGGAGCTGGAGTTTTAGGATTCCTGTGTTCCTGGACTGTGGGAGACATGGTTTGCCTGAGACTCATCTCCATAGCACCAGTGCCCAGCACAGAGCTGACAGAAGCAAAGAGCCAGATTCTCCCACAGGCTACAGTTTTAATGTTGTTTCAGTCATTTACATACATGCATATTCATGCCCATAGGAGGTGCCTTCCTTGAGGGCATGATGGTGTCTTATTCACTGTGGGTGTCCCATTGCATGGTTGTAATGGGTGTTGACTGAATGTTTGTTGAATGAATGAGTGATGAGAGCAGTTTGTACACCATGAACGCTGTGAGTGCAAATAAGTATTATTTGTCACCCTGTAGTTAAGCAACAATTTTCTGCTCTTGATCTCAGTTATTTCCCCTGAATTCCTCAAAAACATAATTATTATACATTGCATTCTTAGAATTCAAAGAAAATATGAGCTTGTTCACTGAATGAAAAGAATTAATGTCCCGCAGATTTACCTGTGAGCTGCTGCGGGGCTGCATAAGACAGGTGCCTGTGTGGTGTTCCTGCTCGGTTCGTTTCCTGTTAGCTGTTTCCTTTGATATATATACTCAGAGGAGGAATATGAGGGTCCACGATGTCGTAGGAACCAGAACACACCGGCATCCGCCAGAGGCTGTTAATCTTATGTAATCAATCACAGCAATGACCTTGGCGAGCATTTGCCCTAAACGTGACTGGGCTCCTGCCAACAGAAAAGATATTGGCAGTCATTCCTCATGGGTCAGTGCAATCAAAGATGATAGCTTGGCAAAAAGCCTCAAGGATGGAGTGGTCCTTGCTGATTCACAAATAAACTATTTTATTTTATTTTTTAATTCTTCTGAGTTTTCTGCTGAAAGATCCAGATGCTATTTTCAAGGATGGTGCTTCTTGGAAGAGGAAGAAGCAAATGATGGGGGATCCAGGCCTTTGGCATGGAGACAAAGTAATGGAATGAAAGAACACCACCTGTTACGTACTACTGTAAATCTTTCTCCCAGATATATTTGACTGGCTGCTTCTTTGACCCAAAGGACAACAGGTTTATGCAAATAATTTATTCTCTGTTTTTCATACTGGAAACCGTTGATTTAGTCAAAAAGCTGTGCTGAAAAACACTCATATTTATCCATGGACTACGTAAATTTAGGAGTTATCCCCCCTCTTGGAATTCCTCAGTGATGTCAATGACAACATCCTTGGGTAGGATCCAGGGAGCTCCTTTCGTCCAAAAGAGGAAAGAAAGTCATAGTGGAGGCTAGGCACGGTGACTCAGATCTGTAATCCCAGTTCTTTGGGAGGCCGAGGAGGGCGGATCACCTGAGGTCGGAGATCGAAACAAGCCTTGCCAATATGGTGAAACCCTGCCTCTACTAAAAATACAAAAAAATTATCCTGGCATGGTGGCGGGTGCCTGTAATCGCAGCTAGTCGAGAGTCTGAGGCAGGAGAATTGCTTGAACCCGGGAAGCGGAGGTTGCAGTGAGCCAAGATCGTGCCACTGCACTCTAGCCTGGGTGTGACAGAGCAAGACTCTGTCTCACATAAAAAGGTTATAGTGGGAATTCCCAATGTTGTTCTAGGATCTTAAAGTTGGAATGCATTGAAAATAATGGGTGGAAAATTGATATTAATATGGCTTGTTAGCCAGGGACCCAGGAAAACAGCTGTTTCTCCTCATGAGGAGCCAAGCATGCTTTATGGACAGCAGAGGGACCAAGTCCTGTTGGCAGGTTTGAGACCACAGTGCAGACCAGGGTTCTCCAACCCCTGGGGCTGGGTACTGGCCTGTGGCCTGTTAGGAACTGGCCGCACAGCAGAGCAGGGGGTGAAGGTGAATGGCAAGTGAGCCAGGGAAGCTTCCTCTGTATTTAGAGCTGCTCCCCGTCACTCACATCACCACCTGAGCTCCACCTCCTGTCAGGTCAGCAGTAGCATTAGACTCTCATGGGAGTGCAAACCCTCTTGTGAACTGTGCATGCGAGGGACCTAGGGTGCGTGCACCTTATGAGAATCTAATGCCTGATGATCTGTCACTGTCTCCCATCACCCCCAGATGCGACTGCCTAGTTGTAGGAAAACCAGCTCAGGGCTCCCACTGATTCTACATTATGGTGAGTTGTATAATTATTTAATTATATATTACAATATCATAATAATAAAGTGTAGAATAAATGTAATGCACTTGGATCACCCTGAAACCATCCCCGCAACCCTAGTCCATGGAAAAAAATGTCTTCCACAAAACCAGTCCCTGGTGCCAAAAATATTGGGAATCACTGATGCAGAGAACCCTGTGCTTTTGGTTGGAGCTTGTAGGCTAGACAAGAGACCTAAGTAGGATCCAACTTCTCTCTGACCCAAACTAGAATCTTAGTTCTTACCCTGGCAGGCATGCTGATTGAAAGAAAAAGGCCCAAGTAGGGGCCACTCCCCAGAATTCCTTTTGGTGCCCCAGTCACCCTGGCACTCTGACTACTGCCTCTCCAGAGAACACTATGGAAAGAGATATGAGGAGATCTCCCTTCCCCTGACCATATCCACAGAGAAGAGATGGACAGATCTTTAGCCACCCATTGTCCCAACAAACCTCAAAGTCTCTCTGACAGGTGAGCACCCATCTGTTCATTGATTATCCTCAGGATCCAGGGAGCGTTGTACCTCCAGAAAGAATCTTTTTCACTCTTGAACAGCTGTAATGGCTAGAAATTATTTTCCCCTTACTCAGTCGAAAGCTGCTTCCTTATAATAGAGAAAAATAACCTTTAGAGGAATCTCACAGGTTCAAACCCTGGCTCTAACCAGGTACCCCATCTGGGATCCTAAGCAAGGCTTTTAAACAGACTGAATATTCAGAATCCGTTTGTATTAACAAGAAGAAATTAGTAATTATATCTACCCAATAGGATTGCTTTGAGAATTAAATGATTCTGATTATGTTAATTACCCAGCTCCAAGACTGATGAATGGCTGGCACTCAGGAAACATCCCCCTATTACTTCTACCCTGGGAGGAACTGCTGGAAAGCCTGTGTCCTTCCCAATTTAGCATCTTCAAGCACTAGAGGCAGGCACTGAGAGCAGAGGCTGGATCACACCTGCTTGCTGACCATTAGCAAGTAAGGCCAATGGGCTTCATGAGCAGAGATGGGTTCCCATCCACACTCTGTGCTTCTTGGTGTTGTGATTTGGGCTAAGTCACTTAACTTCATCTGAGCCCTGGCTTCCTCATTCACAAAAGAAGGTTTATCAGGCCCACCTGCAGGGTCATGTGAGATTACATGAGAAAATGTAATCAGGGCATAGGCGGTGTCTGGCACACAGGAGATGTGCGGATTATTGTGCAAATAAGTAAATACACACACAACGATGATTCCACAAGACAGGTAGATGCAGGTAAAGCTCTGCTGACTTAGGTTTAGAGGAGCAGGGGAGAATTTCAGGGGGAGAAGACATTGAAGTTCGGTCACATATGAATGGCTGGAAGGAATAATGTGAGCGCAGGTAGAGAAGTGGAAGCTAGGGCTGATTCAACAAACATTTTGGCCTACCCACCTGTCAGAAGGATAGTGAGGGGACAGTCTATAAAGGACCTGAGGCCAGCTGGAGGCATTTGGCTTTACTCTGTAGGTAATGTGGTACTATCCATGGTACCTAAGCAGAGAAGTGACAGCACAGTGGTCATATTATACATAGAACCACATATGTCTGGGTTCAAATCCTGACTTTGCCACCTAGACTCTCAATGGTCTTCAGTGAGCCTGTTTCTTATCTATAAAATGGGGAGAACAGTAGTACAGGCCCGTGGTACAGGTTTCTCCACCTCGGCACTATGGACATTTGAGGCCAGATGATTTTTTGTGGTGCGGGACTGTCCTGTGCATTGTTAGGATGTCCAGCAATATCACTGGCCTCCACCCATCAGATGCCAGCAGAACTCCCCACCCAGTTATGACAATCCAAAATGACTCCAAACATTGCCACATATCCCCTGGGGGACAGTTGTCCCTGATTGAGAACCACTGCCATAGAACAACCAGGAGGACTAAGTGGGATCCTGCAGGTGAGGCCATTAGCACAATGCATTGCACCCCCATGGAGTGGGATTTCAAGGAACCCTCGCCCCTTTCACATCACCTAGGACTTCTACCCTGGGAGGACCTGCTTGAAAGCCTGCATCCTTCCCACTTTAGCACCCTTCAACCACTAGAGACAGGCACGGAGAGCAGAGGCTGGATCATACCTGTTTGCTGACCATTAGCATGTAAGGCCTATGGGCTTCATGAGCAGAGATGTGTTCCCATCCACATTCTGTGCTTCTTGGTGCCCACTCCATGGGGACATGAGGACTTTACCCTCTTTGCTCACCCATCAACCACCTCCCTGACCTGGTGTTAGCCTTGCCTTTGACCCCAGTCAGCACTTCTCCTTAGGAATGGGTAGACAGAGAAGGTTGAGGGTACAGAGAGGCCAGCGAGTGGAGGGAGGTTGCCCAGAGCTCCGCCGAGAGGTGAGAGAGCGGCACTGAGTACCGCTGGATGTACAAGGCGTGGGTGGGCTGAACCTGGAGAAACAGGACCAGGTAACCTCACCAAGGGAGCCAGTAGAGCACTGTGCCAGGAGTCACAAGCCTGGGAGGTAATGGAGTCTGTGATCTCCATTCAAAGGAGGAGGAAGGACCTTTGTGAATTGTTCAGTGTTTTCAAGCTGTGCTTCTCAGACTCTAGGACCCTGCAGAGATGATTCAACGGTTCCAGGGGCAGGGAAAGTGTTTCTCTGGGGTTTGGAGGTTTAAATTGCCTAAGGAACTGTTTTTCACTTTCATCTGTTCTGTGTTTGGGATTTTGAGTAAAAAGATTTTGGGAAAAAAAAATTGGATTAGATGGTCTCCAAGGCCCAGCTCAACTTTAACAGTGAAAATGACAGACATCCGGCAATTCTTTTCCTCTGTCTTCTATTTTTTGGTAAATTGGCAAAATTTTTTTTAGAAACCGAGTTTCCTGGAATAGAGACATACCCACACTCCATAATAAGTATATCCAATGTCCCACTGCTAAAATTGCTTTTACCAGCAGTACATGGAATTACTTTACCTTATAAATACCACCTGGTATTCTGACACAGCATATCCTAAGGCCAGCGAGTGAGAGAACTCAGCATCAGTACAAGCAGACAGGATATTGATCTTAATATTTGCCAGTCATCTTATAAAAGAACCTACGTTTCTCTACAACCACTCAAACAGATGACGGCTGAACCTGGTGCCTAAAGCTGTGGAACTTGTTTTAGTCATCATGTTCCGAACTCATTTCTAAATGTATTTCCTGCACTGGCTTCCTAGTGCATTGGAGTTATTATTATCATCATTGTTTTTGTAATTGGTCCGGTTGCCTCCAGAAGGAGAGAGAATTACAGAGATTAGGGAGAGAGAGAGAGAGAGAGAGTAGCTCATGTGGAGGTCCAGTGGAATAGCAGAATTGATGAGCACCTTGAATGACCAATAAGGAAACAGGGAATGAAATGTAAATGATAAGAAAACATTTACATTTGTTTCTGGCTGGTGTTCAAGTTGGGTGCTTGGATTCTGGGTCTCTGGTGGCAATGCAGAAAGACCAGGGGATGAGAATCGGGGACATTGGGAAAGTCTCTTTTCATCTCCCAGCCTCAGTTTCCTGACGTTTGAAATGAGGGATGAAGTGCCCCATCATTGTCCAGGGTCTTTGCACCTCCTTTTCAGGGTAGGGGTGGGACTGTTTTGGGCAGAACTGTTTATTGAAAAGCAAAAAAGACAGGAAGGAGCAATTATAAATAGTCCAAAACGGCTGGGTGCAGTGGCTTACGTCTGTAATCCCAGCACTCTGGGAGGCTGAGACGGGCAGATCACCTGAGGTGAGGAGTTCGAGACCAACCTGGCCAACATGGTAAAACCCGGTCTCTACTAAAAATAAAAAAGATTAGTGGGGCATGGTGACGCGTGCCTGTAATCCCAGCTACTTGGGAGACTGAGGCAGGAGAATCGCTTGAACCTGGCAGGTGGAGGTTGCAGTGAGCCGAGATCATACCATTGCACTCCAGTCTAGGCGACAAGAGTGAAACTCCATCTAAAAAAAAAGAAGTCCAAAACTGAACTCAGCCCCAGCTCATCTCCCAGTGGTAGCCCTGAGCTCTGGGTCTCCTGTCCCTGCCCCTGTGGAAATTATAGAGAACTGCCCTTCCGCAAACATGCCCAGCAGCCCCATAGATTCCCTCCCCAGCACTCATTCCACCCCCGACCTCTCTTTATTGCCCATCTCTCTCCAAGACAGTGAGCTCAGTGCAGGAGGGACCATGTCTGTCCCGCTCATGCCGGGCCCCATCTACAGAGGTCACCAGTTCATCACAGGAGCAGAGTCAAAGTCAGCCACCTCCTGGAGTGAGAGCTCTGTAGGGCTGCTGTTCATTACCTGTGATGGCCGTAACTAAGATCCACACACTGGGTGGCTTAAACAGAAATTATTCTCTCACAGTTCTGAAGGCCAGAAGTCTGAGATGAAGTGGTTGGCAGGGCTTGTTCCTCCTGAGGCTGAGGGAAGGACCTATTCCAGGCCTCTCTGCTTGGCTTGTGGATGGCTGTCTTGTTCACATCGTCTTTCCTCTATGTGTCTTTCTGTGCCATAAAGTCCCCCTTTTATACGGACTCAGGTCACGTAGAATTAGGACCAACTCTAATGACTCGATTGGATTACTTCTAGAAAGAGCCTATGTCCAAATAAGGTCACATTCTGAGGTCCTGGGGGCTAGGACTTTAGCATATGAATTTGGGGGACACAATTTCCCCTGTAGCAGCAGTGGTCAGAGGTGAGCCTTGGCAATTCACACTGCCTGGCCTTTCACCTCAGTGCCCAGCTCCAGGATATAGTGCCTCGGTTTTGTCTTCTGTGAAATGGTCATGTTAACAGTCACCAGCTCATAAAGATTCTATGAGCTTTGTGTCACGTAAGGGGCATTTTCAGTTAAGATCGGCTCTCATCATTCTAACTATGGTAGTTGTTTCTGGTGAAGTGCGAAGGGATCTCACACACGCAATGATGGGCAGAAAATGCTCGTTCATGGAAGTAACTTTCCCATTAGATTAAAAAAAATTGAAGAAAGATTTTTTAAGTGTTAGTGTATCAAGTTAACTAGACTTTCTAGAGAGCCCACGGGTTTTGGTTTTGCTCTGCCTATTATACGGTGAAATGGACAGGTCCTCACTCAATTAACAGATAAGAGAGAAGGTGCCACTCAGGAAAAAAAGCTCCCTTCTGGGTGTGCACATCTGAGGGGGCAGAGGCGCACCCCTGAGGGCCAACATCTTCTCCAGGGCCTCCTGTTTGGTAAAGATAAAGGTGTCCCTTCACTCCAGGGAACTGTAGCCCTACCAAGGATCGGGACCCCTCGCCCCTTTGGGCGGGCGCCTTCTGTCTGCAGCAGCCCTGTGGGAATTGCCGTTCCATGAGGTTGGAGCCAGGACCTTAAGTGCCGCAGTGTTACCCACACAACATGTAGGCTCGATCACGTGGTGGTGACAGTCCAATGACCACAACCTGGGAGGGTGGCCAGTAAGGTCAGTGCAAGCGGATCATGCTTCTACATATGCCGCATGCATAGGAAATCAGCTCCTCCCCTGGCGGGGTTTTCAGCATGGAGATAAGGGGAGTTCATTCCCAACTCTGGCATCTCCAGATCCTACTGGTTTGCAGGGCTGGGCTTCTTGGAACTTTTCCGAAGCAAGAACTCAAGGTGCAGCCAGTACAAGTGAGTGTTTTTTCACAGTGTGTACCTGGAAACCCCAAACCCAGGGACCAAGGTGGCAGTGGGATCCCAGTATGGCGTCTGACTCAGGGTCAGCGTTCGCTCAGCACCTGCGGAGGGACTGAGACGTTCACTGTCGCCATGCTCTGGGACCCTGCTCGATGACAGACACTACTGGGGCCCCGAGAACACAGAAATGAGCGTGGTCAAATTCCCCCTTTGAGCAGCCCACAGCTTCGTGGAGGAGACAGACAGCACTAATTTTACTGGCACATATTAATGGCAGTCAACTTCATATGGGTTAATCACGAATTCATCGCTCAGATTTCTCCAGGATCAGTTTGTTGTACCACCACACGTGCCAGGGAAACTGTTGTTTTTGTCATCCCAAGACATGTGGCCATGATACCAACCTGAAAACATCTTGGACCGCAGTTCAGCTGGAGAGGCTCTGGGAGATAATGTTCATGGGGGTTGGGGCAGGGGGAGCGGGGACCGGGAGTGCACTGCTGCTCAGAAGCACTCCAAGCCTTGTCCCCAGGGTCACAGTCAAGAAAATCTTCCCAAGCTTTGAGAGGGGCTTAGAAGCAAGAAACTGCACATGGCAATGTTGAGAAAACATGGTCAGGAGGCTTCATTTTCTACCAAGTTCAGAAACTGGGGGAGAGCAGAGCTTACACATCCTCACTGTAGGGAGGGGAGGACAGGTGAGAAGTCAGGGGACGAGGCTGGGGTCCTCCCATCCCTCAGCCCAACCACACCCAGACACTGGCCATCTCAGCTCTGTCCACCCCATGGGCCAGTTCGGCCCGGACAGGGAAAGTGGCGGCCAAGGCCCAGCAAGTGGGGGCTATGACTGGAGGTGTCCGTGGGTGCCTGGTGGACGGCAAGAGTCAGCCCGCAAGCCTGTGACTGGAGCAGGGACTCTGGTGTTAAGCTGCTGACAGTGAGTCCTGCCTCTGGCATTTGTGGGCTGTGTGACCTCGGTGAGCCACCCCTAACATGCTGTGGCCACAGCAGCAGCACCCACCTGCCAGGTCCTGCACTGCCCCCTGGGCCTGGTTACTGTTGGCACTTGGGTTCGGGCCACCTGCTCTGCCGTGAAAGAGAAGCACCCACTGTTACTTGAAGAGGAAGAATAAACCATCCCTCATAATCATACAATCTTAAAATGCGGACGGTGCCTTCCAATGGCTCTCTCTCTGATTCTGGCTGTTGTTCTTTGATTGCAGAGGCCGTACGAAATCCACTCGGTCACGCCCATCGATGAAATCCTCAACATGTTCAAGGTGGAGCGTGTCCACTACTCCTCCACGTGGTGCAAGGGGATGGTGGCCCTGCTGAGGAAGGTAAGGGGGCAGCTTCCAGCCTGCCCCGCCAGGGAGCTACGGTGAGTGTAGAAACAGCCATATCAGCAAACGAAGGGGTGAGAATACAAATGGCATACTCGGGGTAGAGATGATCAAATCAGCTGCGCTCAAATGCCAAATGCCGTGGAATAAACGCTGTTATGGGGGTGCGTGCAGATCAGCACACCTCGGAGGACTGTGGCGGCTCTGACCGCAAGCCCCTAGGCTCTTGTCACTCTGCTACGAGCTCCTAATAAACGGAAATAATGCATGTGGGGTTTTTTTTTTCTTTTTTTTTTTTTTTTTTTAATATACGGAGTCTCACTCTGTCGCCCAGGCTGGAGTGCAGTGGCGCAGTCTCGACTCACTGCAAGCTCCGCCTCCCGGGTTCACGCCATTTTCCTGCCTCAGCCTCCTGAGTAGCTGGGACTACAGGCACCCGCCAACACGCCCGGCTAATTTTTTGTATTTTTAGTAGAGACGGGGTTTCACCATGTTAGCCAGGATGGTCTCAATCTCCTGACCTTGTGATCCGCCAGCCTCGGCCTCCCAAAGTGCTGGGATTACAGGCGTGAGCCACCGTGCCCAGCCTGCATGTGGGTTTTTTAAATCTGCTGCACATGGTCTTTTCACTCAATGACCTTTAAGAAATTGGGTATCTCGGCTGGGCGCAGTGTCTCACGCCTGTAATTCCAGCACTTTGGGAGGCTGAGGTGGGTGGATCACATGAGGTCAGGAGTTCGAGACCAGCCTGGCCAGCATGGAGAAACCCCGTCTCTCTAAAAATACAAAAGTAGCCACCTACAAAAGTAGGTGGCACATGCCTGTAATCCCAGCTACTTGGAGGCTGAGGCAGGTGAATCACTTGAACCTGGGAGGTGGAGGTTGTGGTGAGCCAAGATCGCACCATTGCACTCCAGCCTGGGCAACAAGAGCAAAACTCTGAAAGAAGCGAGGCGAGGCGGAAGGGAGGGAGGGAGGGATGGAGGGAGAGAGGAAGGAAGGAGGGAGGGAGGGAAGGAAGGAAGGAAGGAAGGAAAGGAAAGAAGGAAGGAAGGAAGGAATCAATCTCCTTGACTTTCTGCAGGAACTGTTGCTATTAGACTAAAGCAGTGGTTCCCAAGGTATGGGCCTAGGACCAGCCAGCATCAGTGTCATGTGGGAGCCTGTTAGAAACGCACATCCTCAGGCTCCACCCAGACCTGAATCAGACACCTGGGGTGGGCCCCACTGTCTGTGTCTCCATGAGCTCTCCAGGTGGTTCTGGTGTGCACTCCAGTCCGACATGGGCGGGAGATCTTGGTGCCCTGCCTTTAAGGCTCCCTTCACATCCTCCACGATGCATGGAGCTGAGTCTTGCATGGAGCTGAGTCTTGTGTGAGGTTGGCACCCAGTTGTTTTTAAAGGAATGATGACAATAGCAGCCAGCACTGTTTAGGGTCCTGCGTTCTGGGCCATACGATGGCTCTTCTCCCTTACTCCTCCCAAGCCCTGTGAGCAGGGAAAGTGTCACTATCCCAGTACCAGAGATGAGAAAGCTGAGGCATAGGAAACCAAAATCATTCAACCAATGCCACAGAGCTATTAAAAGGCAGAAGCAGGATTTTGATCCAAACTCTCCTAACTTCAGGTCCCAGCTTTTAATCCCTACATGGCTATAATGGCTTGTTGAATTATTAATCTGTTAAATTACTTTAAAGGAAATCCACCACCTGGTTCTTGAGAGCTTGTTTGGAGGCTCTAGCAGGGCAGCACAGCTACTCATATACCCTTGACCGAAGACCGATCCTCCTCTATTGGGGATGGTCATCCTCTTTGACTGGGTGCACAGCTTTCGGAGGGATGCACATGGAGTCGTGAGAGAGCAAGGGGACACCTGCCTAGCCAGCCAGATTAGCCGAAGCAACCCTGGCAATCAATGGCATGACAGGTGTCGCAGCCAGATCACTCTCGCATCCCGTCACCTGGTTCTTATAAGTCAGTGTCTCTTAACCCTGACTGCTCATTAGAACCATGTGGAAGCCTTACATACCACCAATGCCTGCACCTCCCAGCCCACCCAAGTGACTCAGAATCTGGCCCTCAGGTCTGGACATCAGCATGTTTTCAGAACAGCTGCCCTGAACAGTGAACTTCCACATGGTATTGAAGTGGAACCTGCTTAAGTTGGCACCCACTGTTTTGGGACAGCCCCTAAAGAGTGGCAGCCATGATCAGCAGATGCAACCCCTGCTAGCTATCCCTGTGGGCTGTGACTGCAGCCACTCAATGGGCATAGGTGGGAGATTTCTGCAGTGACAGGTGTGTGTGAACTGGCAGGGGGCTCTGACTTCCAGCTCCACCTGTGGACCCTGGTGTGCCCCCCCCCCCCACCTTTCTAAGTATGTGCCAGGTCCTTACCAGTCCCATTTGGTCTCATCCTACCATGAGCTGGAAGTGGAGAAGTCTCCATTATTCCCCCTGCTTTCAGGGAGGCAATGAGCCCAGGGCACCCAGCAGCTCGCCCAAGGTCACAGCTGTTAAATGACAGTCCCGGGGCCAGGCCTCTGTCTTTTCATTCTTGGCCCCTGTGCCTTTTCAGTAGATAAGCTACAGGGTTTTGGCAAGTTGGGAGGCCCGCTGGGATGCCAGGTCATAGTCTTCAGCTGTTCTTATGCTACCTCACTCCTTATTAGCTGAAACTCAATTAGAAGAGAAGCTAAAAAGTGTCCCCTTGGCTACAAATGAGGCCACTTCATTAGGTCACAGAGATCACCTCGTAGCTGTCCAGGTATAAATTTTATTACAATTTGGTGCCTCCCATTACCAAGTTGGAAATCCTAAGATGAGGCAGCTAATTCTTTCTATTTGTAATTGGATGCTTCTCCAGACATCAGAGAGGCAGCCTGTTACAGGCTCCAGTCCCAGAAAGAAACATGGGGGCTGAAAGTCTGGTCCCTGCCCTAACAGTCCCTCACTGGATGACCTTGCAGAAGCAGCCTGACCTCTCAGTTTCTCCCTGGCTATAAAGAGATGAGTGCAGATGGCGCTTCCAACAACAGTGACCCAGACGGGGCACAACATCAATAGAGCGTGAAGAGCAGAGGCACATTAATTGCCCTGAGACCCCCTCCTTCAGAGTCCCCGCTAACCTTGAGGGATGCCCAATTCATGGAAACTCATTTGCCCTCTAACTGCAGCTCCTGACCAAGGATCCTGAGAGCCGCGTGTCCAGCCTTCATGACATACAGAGCGTGCCCTACTTGGCCGACATGAACTGGGACGCGGTGTTCAAGAAGGCACTGATGCCCGGCTTTGTGCCCAATGTGAGTGGAAGTCCCACCTGATGTCATGCCACCCCTCTGCAGGGTCCCCGCCTTGGTGCAAAGCAAGACTTTGGCAGCTGGCTAGTGAGCCCTCTGCTGGCCACTTCCACCTGAGCACCAAGGGCTTATGTCTTGCTGGAATTCAGGGTGAACTTGGGCCTGATTTCCAGGGTCCCAGCCGTACAGCTTCCCTCCTTGTGGTAGGTCCTTTGGGGGTGCCAAGCCTTCTCTCTGTCACTGAATCCCACCTCCAGGTGCTCAGGTCCAGGTGTGGGGATAGCAGGCTGATCTACCCTTCTGCCTCCACAGAGCTGACTGCCGAGTAGAGGAAGACAGGCAATGACCTACCCCGACAGGGCAGTCAGCACTTGTTGCACAAGCTCGGAAGAGGGAGAGGTGGGATGGGAGGGGCAGAGGCAGGGGCTTCTTTTAGGAAGGGTCGGCAGAGACCTAGAGGTAAAGTGAGGGAACCAGGACTGCAGGGATGGGCACTGAGCCTTCCAGGCAAAGGGATCGACAAGATCACACTCTTGAAGGCAGCAGAAAGCCTGGGTTTCAAAGAACAATTTTATAGCATTTAAGGGAATAAACCAGAGGGAATATAATAGGAAATGGGGCCAGGAGGGAACACATGCCACACCAAAAAGGCTTCCAGAGGCCACGGTCAAAGTTTTAGGTTTTGTCCCCCAGAAACTGGAGTGTTTAAGGCAGGGAAGTGAAAGCATTGGATTTACATTTTAAAGGAGGGTTCTGGCAGGAGCTGGAGGCTCCTGGGTCCTCCAGGACAGACGCTGAAAGTTTGGACCTGCCTGGAAGCCTCCTGTGGTCCCTTCCTGTTGAGCAGTTGCATTTCTCCTAGAGGGAATTGCAGAGAGCACCTGAGGAATAGTGACAATTGGGATGGAAATCCTGGGTGACATTCCAGTTCAGCCACCTCTGCCATCTGTGACCTAGGAGAGCACACCCCACCCGCTCACCTGTCCTTGCCCTGCCCGGTAGCAGTGGTGTGAGCAGGAAAGAGACAACATTTGCTCTTTGTTGTTGCCTGTTCCAGCCCCGTATTATGTGAATGGAGGTGGAGACTCCAGCCTGGAAGGCAAGAGATTTCTAGGCTGGTTCCTGGGGAGCCTCAGACGTCCCTGGCTAGTGTTTCATGTCAGATTATTTTAAAGACTTCCGTCACTCCTTTTGGTGCAAAAATAATGTCTCCCCACATCAGTTTCTCCAAGAGTGCCAGGCTTCCAGACCTTTTTCACAAACCGTGGTAGCAGCGCACACGCACGTTTCTGAACACAGACCCTCCCCAGCCTGCCCAGTGTTCACCACTGAATCCAACCGAAGCCAAGCCTGGCTGATGCTCATCTGTTCCCGTCCTCTCCCTGTGAGCAGCGTTGCATCCCCACCTGCTTAGCCAGTTCACCTGGTCCAGGGCTGGCCCTGCTCTCCCCTGAGCCCACCTTTCTCCCCACTTCCCTCGCAGGCAGGGCTCCAGACAGGCTATGGAATGGCAGGTCGCACAGGGCTTCGTCCTTCATTCTTCCAGGCCTGGCCATGTGCCGTTCCCACTGCCTGGACCTCCTTCTGCCCGCCCAGACCTGCCTAACCTTAGGGAATCTGCCCGGCTGGAAGGCTTCCTTGACCCCAGAGTGGACATGGTGCTGCCTCTGAGTTCAGAAAGCTCCCTGGCTCTTCAGACACCCCTCGGACTGCTGTGGGAACAGGCCATGGGGACAAAGTGTCCAGGGCAGGCTTAGCATAGAGTGGCTGTTCAGGTAGAGCTCTCTGCTGTTCTCCCAATATAATTATTTTAGGGTTTCACTTGGCCAACTGGGAGCTCTGTGTGCCTGTGTGGGTATGTGTGGAAGTGTGTCTGTGTGTATGCCTGTGCATCTGTGTGTGCATGCCAGTGCATTTGTGTGTACCCATGTGTCTGTGTGTCTGTACGTCTGTATGTCTGTGTGCATGCCCGTGGTGTGTGTGCCTATATGTCTATGTGTGCCTGTGTATCTGCGTGTGTGTGCCTCTGTTTTTGTGTCTGTATGTGTGTGTGTGTATGTGTCTGTGTGTGTGTACCTGCTTGTGTGTCTGTGTGTCTGTATGTCTATATGTGTCCGTGTGCCTGTGTGTGTGCCTATATGTCTGTGTGTGCCTGTGCATCTGTGTGTGTGTGTGCATCTGTGTGTGTGTGTGGTGTGCAAGTGTGCCTTGGGGCCGGCAGGGGCAGCTGCGGGGGCAATGGCTCAATGCTGGGGGCAGGCAGTCTGCATCCCATTTCCCACCCTATTCCGCTGGCCAATGAGAAAGTGAAAAGCACAGACCTTACTGTCACCATCTGTGTCCCCCAAACACCTACACCCACCAGCACTGTGCTGCACAGGAGCTGGACCCCTGGGAAGAAAACAGCCCCAGGGCTGCCAGGGAGCTTACAGACAACAGTGCACAGCCCCCACTGCGGGTCGACCTTTGGGGAGGGACCACTCTGGGATGGGGGACTGTCCTTTGCCTTGTACAGTGTTGAGCAGCACCCCGGGACTGTACTCATGAGATGCCAGTAGCATCCCCTCTGTTGTGCAAACAAAAATGTCTCCAGACATTGCCAAGCATCCCCTGAGGATAAAGTTGTTCCCAGTTGACAACCACAAGGGTAGGGTTTTGTGGAGCCATAAGCCAATAAACCTACAAAGACAGAAAATAAACCACAGGGCAGGGCCCTCGGAAGGAGACCCGCAGGCTCTGCTGAGCCGGGAGTAAAGGTTTGGGTCTCTTCTGCCGTCTCTGTGACCTCAGGCGGCTGCACCCTAGTTCTTCACAGATCCGATGAGAAACCAGGACCCTCACAGAGCCTGGGGAGTAGAGCCCGGAGGCTTCCAAAGCCTCTGCTCTGCGCGCATTCCCGTGGCTGACTTCCTTCCTAATGCACATTTTGGACAGTCCAGAGAAATATGCCCGCCTTCTTCACAGGCTCTGATCTGCCAAACTCAGGGTGAGACTGGCGAAGGCTAAGAATCTCGATGCAGTCCTGCACATCAGGCACAAATTGCCTAATTAGCACTTCCTCGAGTGCTGTCTGAGCCTTCCCTGAGGCTGTGTGCTGGGATGCCCTGGGGGGCATCTGGGGTCAGCCTGTGGCTTTGCCATATTGTGTGCCTGAGCCTGTTGGCAGGTGCCTGCCTTTGCAGCACCCTGGCCTGCTGCTCCTCCTCAGCCCCTCTCCTGCACACACCCACACACTGATGCACACTCACACACTCAGTCACACTCACACATAGACACACATGCACACTCATTCCCCCACACACATATGCACACGTGCCCCCACACACAGTCTCACACACATACCTACTCATCCTACACAAGCACATGCATTCACATATATACTCACCCACACACACCTTCACACACATGCACACTCCCATACAAACACACACACACACAAGCAAGCCCCCTACCACATGCCCACCTACAGGGCAGTGAGCCTCAGCCCCACCCACAGGTCTGTAGCCTCCCCTCTGGCTGTGCTGTCTCCTAGCTGGAACCTTGCACAGGCCGCTTTCTCTTCCGGGGATCCCTTCCTCTCCTTGTCCACAAGGCAGTCTCCTACCCCTCCTTCAAGACAGCATAAAGCAAGGACTGGCCCAGTTGCCAGTCTCAGCAGAAGCCTTCTGTATTAGGCCATTCTTGCATTGCTATAAAGGAATAACTGAGGTTGGGTAATTTATAAAGAAGAGAGGCTTAACTGGCTTACAGTCCTGCGGGCTGTACAGGAAGCATGGCACCTGCATCAGCTTTGCTTCTGGGGAGGCATCAGGGAGCTTCCAGTCAGGGCGGAAGGTGAAGCAAGAGCAGGTGTGTCACGTGGCAGGAGCAGGAACAGCAGTGGGGGTGGGGGGTGCCACACGCTCTTAAACTACCAGATGTCTCACCAGAGCTCACTCACTATTGTGAGGACAGCACCTAGCCATGAGGGATCCGTCCCCATGAACCAAACACCTCCCACCAGGCCCCACCTCCCAAACTGGGAATTACATCTCAACATGAGATTTGCAGGGGACAGGCAAGTTATGTCACCTTCTGAAGGAAAGACAAGCCCAAGCTTGGCCTCCTCTGGGACATTCCCAGCCAGCGCCACCACCTCCCTGCACAGAGCAGGCCTCAGCCTCTCCTGCAACCCTCTGCACGAGTGCCTAGGGATACATCAGTGGTGAGAACACTCTGTCGCAGTGCGCCTGCCATCCTGCTGGGAGCTTCGGAGGGTGAGGGCCGCGAAGTGTTGGCTGACCTCTCTCTGCCTGAGCCAGACCCCAGAACAATGGGTGACAATAGAAGGCACTAGAAGGCCTAAGTGTGTGCTTGTCACGTGAATGAACGAATGATGATGGCCAACAGGTCTGAGCGTGTTCTGTGTACCTGCCATTGTTCTGATAACTTTGTGTGACTTATCTTGTGTCAGCTTCACACCAGTCCTGGGCAGTGGATCCTGTTAATGGCATTCTCAGCAAGGTTAGGCAACTTGCCCAAGATTTCTCAGTGAGAAATTGAGAGTTTGAATTCAGATGGTCTAGATCCAGAACCTGCATTTTTATGAATGAATGAATGAGTGGCAGGCAAAACAAGGCAGAGCCTGCATATTTATGAACGAATGAATGAATGAATGAGTGGCAGGTAAAACAGGTCTGGAGAGACCTGGGCCTGAGATTCAACTTGCTCCTTAGGGGAGGGCAACTTCTGGAGGACAGATGTGTGAAATCAGGGAAGGTGATCATAGTTGAGTTCCAGGAGTTGGTGATGATGGACAAAGCCCAGTGCCAGGCAGGGGAAGGGAGAGGCCATTGGTACCGCGAACCCAAGGAGGGTCCACAGCAGGTCACAACAGAAAGGATGAGGCCCAGCCTCTAGGACTGAGAAAGCAAGGGGCAAAGGACATAGGACTCCACTCCATTAGCCCACGAATGACACAGTGACAACAACTCGGTAACATTTATTGGGCAACTCCTGTGTGGCAGGGGCTGGGCTAGGAGCTTTTCTTGCATTTTCTCATGTCAGCCTCACAGACTTGCACTAGTGCCCTCATCTTACAATATGGAAACTGAGGCCCATAGAGGTTTAGGGAGTTCCTGGGAGTTAGGGAAGCCAGGACTTTCCCCAGTTCTGTCTGCAAAGTCCCTGTCTTCCTCCTGCCCCCAGGTCATGGCAAAGGCACTGGCTGGCATCAAGCAGATTAGGGAGCATGGCCAAGACAAGTTCAGCTTTAGGTAGCAAGACCCTTTCTTGTAAATTGGGTTCAAGGCCAGGAATCCTAGGGAGGTGAGGGGACAGCAGAGAAGCAGAGGGAATGGCCAGTTGTGGAACGGCCACCATGGTCAGGCATCCACCGTTCTGGAAGCTTGGCAAACTCTTATCATCTGATCCCTCAACAAACTCTGAGCCTGCCATATTTCACAATGATGAGGAAACTGAGGCAGAGAGAGGTTATGAATCTCCCTCAGCATCACGCAGGTAAAAGGAGAGGACACAGGGCCCAGTGGCAAGGCTGGCTGACCTCAAGGCTGTGCCTCGCCTCTCTCCTTCTTGGCCAGGTCACAGCAGGCCCAGGTCCTAACAGGCCCAGGGACCACCACTGTAGGGAGGACTTGCTTCATGCCTGGCCCTACTTGGAGTACTTTATAGATATTATATTATTAATTCCCTATATGGGAATTATTGTTACCCAAACTTTACAGCTAATGAACTGAGTCCCAAGGAAGTCATGAAACTTACAAGATCAGGAAGTAGCAGAACTGGGATTTTTCCCCTGTGCGCGCCAAAGCTGCTGTTATAGCCACCGGGCTGCATTGCCTTTGGGGACCGGCACCTGGGGCCATCATCTGGGCTACAGCTGAGGAATGAAAGTGGCTACCAGGAATCTGGGTCCAAGGCCCAGAAGTCAGGGAGACCTAAATTCCTCCTGACCACAGCGGGAGGAGCCCCTGGCCAGGAGCAGGGCCAGGCCGGAGGGTCAGCTGACTCTAGCTGCCAGGGGGCGGGAGGCGGGGGTACGGAGCAGGGAACCAGGGCAGGAAGTTGGGCAGATTTTGAGCTGAAATTGTATTCTTAAGTTATTTAGAATGATTTTTATAAAAAAGATAGTAATGACAGGACAATGTGCATAGGATAAAATAATAAGTGAAAAAATCAGATTCGAAAACTGAACTCAGCCTAGTATGAAAAACAGGCATAGAAAGGGGCCTAAGGAAATACCTGGATGTTAACAGGAGTGCGGTTGCCCCAGGGGGACTATGTGTAAATATATGATGTGTACAGTGAGAACGTGTTGCTTTTTATCATCAGAAAACAGAAACAAAGGTAACCCGTGTATCCAACAAGAGTAAGTTCATCATTACTTGTTGAATGAATGAATGGTTGAATTAATGAAAAGAAAATTCAGTGATGGGTGGAACGCAGACAGACCATGTTTTCTTTTCTACTCCCCTTTAGAAAGGGAGGTTGAACTGCGATCCCACATTTGAGCTTGAAGAGATGATTCTAGAATCCAAGCCACTTCACAAAAAGAAGAAGCGATTGGCAAAGAACAGATCCAGGGATGGCACAAAGGACAGCTGCCCGCTGGTGAGTGCTTCGTGGGAGCCGTTCCGGGAGAGAAATCCTGTGCTCATAGGGAAATGACTGAGCCAGGCCACTGTTTAGCAAAAAGGGGACATTTCAATCCTCCCTTCCAATTTCCTTATTTTGCAGTAAATAAAATGCTACTATCAAACAAGTAGGGGGAAAGAGTGAAGTAAGGCATTCACACTCCTGGCATTCCTTGAGCGCTATTCCTACAGCAGGAAGCTTGTGTAGCTCTAAGGCAGGGGGAGGGACCCAGCGGTCCCACTGCGCCCTTGAGAAAGATTTTGTACCGCAGAGGCCCCCAGGGCTGCACGATGACTTTTGTGGGTCCTGGGCACTTTGCCTCTGTGGGCCTCTGTATTCGTTTCCTGGGGCTGCCACAAGCTAGGTGGCTTAAAACAACCCACATTGATTCTCTCACGGTTCTGGAGGCCAGAAATCCAAACTCAAGGTCTCCGCAGAGCCCAGCTCTCTCCAAAGGCTATAGGGGAGGGGCCGTCCTTGGCTCCCCAGGCTTCGAGTGGCGGCCGGCCCCCTTGTCCTTCGCTGGCTCGCAGCTGCATGGTTCCAGTCTCTCCCTCCGTCACTGCATGGCCTTATTCTCTGTGTCTTCGCATGTCTTCATATGGCCTTCATATAAGGACCCCAGTCATTGGTCTTAGGGCCTACCTAATTCACTGTGACTTCATCTTAACTGGATTACATCTGTAAAGGTTCTATTTCCAAATAACGTCATGTTTATAAGTACTGGGGGGCTGGGACTCAAGATACCTTTCAGAGGACACAATTCAACACACAACACCCCCCTCCCCTATGCAAGTGGAGCCCCTGGCATCATGGTTGTGAATTTCTGGTTTTCCATGCCCCTCACGTGGGCCTTAAGTGGTCAGGAAAATAAGCTCATGAATTTCAGCCCATATTCCATTCTAACATGGCTTTTAAGTTGGATTTCATGGCTTAACGTGGAGAAAAGCATCTTTGTCCACCAGGCTACCTTTGGACACAGCCACCCATGCAGTCAGGGTCAGCCCCAGACACTTAGCTTGGCTTGTCCCGGTCCCAAGCATCTGAGGTTTCCATCTAGGTCAGTCTGCCGTCCTGTGATGCTCCATTACCGCGCGTCCCCGGACCGTGCTTTGTCATTTAGTCACCCCTCTGTGCTCTTTGACAGAATGGACACCTGCAGCACTGTTTGGAGACTGTCCGGGAGGAATTCATCATATTCAACAGAGAGAAGTAAGTCCTTCATACTGTCCCCCTTGGGCAAAGCCTGTCCTAAGTGACCCAAGGTCCTCCTGGCAGAATCACAGTCCCTGCCCCCCAAACCGGCCTTGACGACAAAAGGGAAGGTATCGCTGAGGTGAGACACAGGGCTCTGGTGGGGGGTGAAACTCCTGGATTTTGAATTAGACAGGGCTCCGATCCTGCCTCTGCTGTGTGGCCTGAGCCAGTCTCTGGGAGCTCCCATGAGAATGGGGAGGCTGCAGCAGCCCTGAGCGGGCACACAGGAACACAGGCGGAGAGGCAGGCTCACTGTGATGAAAAGTAAGAGCGCTGGGGTCAAGTTGCCTGGGGCCAAGTCCTGGCTCTGCCACTGCAGAGTGACCTTGCCCTGCCTGAGCCTCCTGGTCAGCATCAGCCCAGTGGAGAGGCCTCCTTAAGACGCGGGGCTGTGAGAATTAAATGAGGCTGTGGTCCCGCAGCACCTGGTATGGAAGGGGTTCTCAACACGGCAAGGTAATGACGATTGTTACTAATATTTACTTGGGTAAGGTCGGTGGGGGATGCTGGAACCTCAGCAGCCTGGGATGGGAAAAGAGACACAGGGAATCTGGGAGGGGCTAGGTGGGGTGTGCCCTGGCCATGGGACTGCCCTCTAAGGGGCTGGTCAACAAAGCAGGCAGACACCTCAGGCTCGGTTCCAGCCAATGATAATATCTAGAGGAGGCCGGGCGCGGTGGCTCACACCTGTAATTCTAGCATTTTGGGAGGCTGAGGCGGGCAGATCACGAGGTCAGGATATCGAGACCACGGTGAAACCCCGTCTCTTCTAAAAATACAAAAAGTTAGCTGTGCGCAGTGGCGGGCACCTGTAGTCCCAGCTACTCGGGAGGCTGAGGCAGGAGAATGGTGTGAACCCGGGAGGCAGAGCTTGCAGTGAGCCGAGATCGCGCACACTGCACTCCAGCCTGGGCGACAGAGCAAGACTCCGTCTCAAAAAAAAAAAAAAAAATTATCTAGGGGATTTGTGGCTGTGGCTGACTTGTCAGAGCTGGGGCTCCAGCAGGGGCAGCCGATGAGCCCCATTGGACCCACACTAAGCCAAGCTTTGGGTTGGTGGAGGCAAATCAGAGATGCTTCCTGCCCTCCAGGAGATTCAAATATTGATTGACTCAAAAAATCATTGATTACAGGCCCTTATGCAATCCCCAGTATTCAACCGTTTTGGCTTTCAGCAGATGCTAACAGCGCAGGAAACACGTGCTAAGGCCAAGGGCCACCCAGGGCAGTGCATGTCACAGCAGACACCTGGCTCAGCCTGGGTGGTTGGGGAAGTTCTCTAGGTGGCGTGCTGGGCCAAGTCCTAAGGGACATGTAGGGGAAAACGCGGCATTCCAGGAGTAGGAAAAGTGCACAGAGAAGGAAGACAGCATGGCTGCCGCAGGGCCTAGAGAGTGAGGAGAGGTGAGGGATGGGGCAGGGATGGGTGTTTGGGTTCCAGCCATGGGCCAGTGGGCAGGACAGGGCCCCAGTCCCAGTCGATGCTGGGGAGGCAAAGGAGGCAGCAGCCTTTCACTGACCCTGAGTGGCTATAGCTCTGAGGGCCAATGGGTGCCCAGATCAGCACAGACACACACACCAGGCTTGGGCAGCAAGCCTCACCTGCTAGAGGACCACATGTTGGGGTCTCCCAGCTCTGGCCAACAACACAGGAAGGGCCTCTGCAGCCACAGCCCATCAGACTTGGGGAAGACGGGGGCTGATGTCGTGAGTGGTTTCGGAGCTTATCCCAATTTGCCTGTGGTCCTGCCTGCTCTGAGGCTCATGGCCCTTCCCCCAGACTTAGAAACCCAGACCCAGGAACTTCTGCTCAAAGAGCATCAGTGATCTTGGGCTCAGGCAGCCTTCATTCTCTGTGTGTGGGCCGTGGAGTCCAATGAGAGCAGCTGCTGGCAAACGTGAGCCTGCAAAAAGCTAAGCTGTGTGGGACCCAAGCAGACAGCAATCTCATTTCACCTTTTGCTGTGTGCCAGAACATGCTTCAATTTGGATTCTTCCTTTTAAAAGGAAGTGAGAATGAGACATCCTTCCCTGTGTCATTTAGGAGTTGCGTCTGCTGCTTTTAGCAGAAACCTCACTATATAGGAGCTTCAGCCGAGTAGATGTTTTCTTCCTCACGTGTAAATGGGAATTGATGAGGGAAATGCAGTTGGCCTGTGGACACCCCTGAGATTTGCAGTCAGCCTATGGACACCATTGAGATTTGGCATCGGGGATTGGAAGTGAGGCTGGCATAGTTTACCGGAGTCAGCAAAATAAAGAAAGAGGGCAGACGTCATGTGTTCCTGACAATGGGGAGCCACAGAGAGCATGGCTATGGGGGAAGCTGTTGGCTGAGGTCTGAGCTGTAGTTCTTCTTCTTCATCCTGTCTCTGCTTACCTAAGTGCTTCCTCTGCGGCCCTGATGGCTGATAGGCTTCCTGTCACAGCAGGCGTGCAGGCTTACTGCCATATAAAGGTGTCCAGGAGAGGGTTTTGCTGTGTCCCCCAAGATGCATCAGCCGACCCCATCCCCACCTCATCTTGTGGGAAGAGAGCCATGCTCCATCTACCCACAGTCCTCCCTTGCTGCAGTTTCTCAGCAGTAAAAAAAATGCCTATGAGAAGTTGATTCATGACTCATGATTGCCTCAAAACAAGCATTTTTACTTTAAACCAAGAAAAAAGTGAGACCTGTTTATCCTTCACTTCTGTCTGGAATCCCATGTTAGAGGCACTGCTGGCACTTGAGTAGCTGGAAAATTAAATCGAGCACCTTCTTCCCCACTTGAGCAGTGTAGTGAGTCGAGGGCTGGTCAGGGGGAGCCAAGCATCAAGCCAGGCTTGTCGTCATGCTCCGCCTGGACCACGTCCCCGGTCCCCAGCAGTTCCGCCTCCTTTCAATCTCTGCAGACCTGGCCATCAGCCTGACACCAGTTGCTCCTGCAGAATATGCAGGGGCATGCAGGATCCCTGCACAGTGGGGGCTGCAAAGATAAATCACACATCACACAGGAGGGCCACAGTCCCAGGGGGACAATCAGAATTGTCTGAGGGCCTGTTAGCATCTAGAGATACTGCACCTGCTGCAGGTTGCATGGTGTCCCTCAAAAAGATATGTCGAAGCCCTAAGCCCCCCTACTTCAGAATGTGACCTTATTTGGAAATAGGGTGGGTGCAGATGTAATGAGTTATGATGAGGTCAGACTGGAGTAGGGTGGGTGCCTAATCCAACATGACTGGTGTCTGTCCTGACAAGAGAAGAGGTGCAGGCATGGGGAGAAGGCCACGGGAAGATTGTAGTGATGCAGGTACAAGCCAACGAGCACCCAGCATTGGCGGCCATCCAGCGCTGGGAGGAAGGACTGGAGCGGATTCTCCCTCAGAGCCCTCAGAAGGAGCCAACCCTGCCCACACCTTGATTTCAGACTCTAGCCTCTAGAGCTATGGGGAATACATTTCTGTTGTTTAAAGCCACCCAGTTGGTGGTAACTTAGTTACGGCCACCCAGAGAAACTAATACAGCCAATACAGCTCCCTAATCCATTCCTTCCCAACCAGAAGCTGAGAGAGTAAGCATGGGGACCAGCGTTTTAATATGTCCCACAAGCGATTCTGATGCTAAACAGTTTGGAATCTTGCGCAGGAGACCAGGGTGTCTAAGTGGTGCATCCTCTAGTGGGTTCTGAGTTGAGTCATAAGGACCCGTCTAAAGCTGCAAACCCTCCCAGCTCTGACTCCCTTGCCCTTAGGGGTTCATCTGCAACTCCTACATTCAATGTGTCTTGAACATAGATTCCTGCTATACATGGTTTTAGCAAAAGCCTACTGGCTGCGGGATGCTCCCGGGGGCCTTAACTTCCCTGCACAGCTGACTTCCTCTTGCATAGGCCACGTATGCTTCCTCAGCTACAGAAAGCTCTTGGGGAGAGAGACGGTTCCTGCAACTCCCACTGTGGTAGAGCACCCATCATCTGCACCAAGCAGCAAGTAGGAGCTGAGAGGACATGGGCAGGGCATCCACTGTGTCAGCCCTGCAGGACAAATGCATTCAGTCATTTGACAGCTAAATCATAATCCTGGACTGGGCCTCACACAGAAGTGAGTCTTCAGGACTCGTGTCCTCAGGATGCCCATAGCCTGCAGCGGGGAGGATTACCAAACAGTGCGGTGTGTGCCGTGAATCAGACACACAGGGGCCACTGTGGGGACAGGAGGAGGTGCCCTGGGGCTAACCTCTCTGGACCTTTGTTTCGAAACAGAGAACAAAATTAAAATTAGCGCTGCCTACTTTTTTGGAAATGCAGCTTATTATTGGCTAATGGTCTCAGCTGGCAAAAGGCCACTGAGCCAGGTGGAGCATCTGCTTCCAGGGCTGGTCAGGGCTTTGAAGGCCTTGGCAGCTGAGACTTCCATTGGGTTGAGAAATGCACCAGGGGGCCCATCCTCCTATTCTTGGCCAAAGATCTGAGCAGGGCTGATTTTTCCAAGAGGTCTTTTCAATAGCATTTGACATTTTGCAGAATAAGAAGCTCCTGGTGAGGAAGGAATTTAAGGGGCATTTTCTATCTTTGCTATCTCTTGAAGAAACAGAAACATTTAAAATCATATAAAAGCTACCCCTGGAGTCCTTGAAAATATCACATTTAAAAAATCTACTATTGCATTTGTTACACCAAATAATACTATGAACACTAATAACAATCATCATTTGTATGTGACTTTATGGTTTTAGATCATGTTCCTTTAATCTAGGGTTTCTCAACCTTGGCACTGACTGTTGACATCAATTCTTGGTTGTGAGGGCCATCCTGTGCCTTGCAGGATACTTAAATAATCTCTGCCCTCTACCTACTAGATACCAGTAACACCTTCAGACAGTGACAATCAAAAATGTCTCCAGATATTGCCAAACGTTCCCTGGCAGGCAAAATCACCCCCAGTTGAGAGCCAGTGCTTTAGTCCTTACTTATCACATTTCCCTAAAAGAAATATCATTGGTATTCTCAAGGTCTTGCAATATGAAGAACTTGAACTCTAATCTCCCGTCTCCTAGTTCCCAGGCTCTTTCTGCTAGCTGTGCTTTCATCCAGTTGTTTGGCAGATGTTTATTGAGCATCTCCCTGGGGTCAGGTACAGGGATACTGCTGGGAGCAAGGCCCCTGCTCTCAATGGAGCTCACAGCCTGGTGGCACGAGCTTTCAGACGTGCAGGAAGGATTGCTTTGCACAAGTGGGTGGCCTTGAGGGTTCTCTCCAATGCACCCAATGGGCAGTGGCAGGCGTGGCATAGATGGTCATGAGAGCTCCCTTTTATTGGGTGTTCACTCTGTGCCATTTAGTCTGTACATCCGTCCTCTGAGCTGGTTATGCTTATTCCCCCCCATTTCACAGGTTAGGAAGTACAGGCCCAGAGTGGATTAAGGGCACACAGCCAAGAGGTGGCAGAGCCGGGGTTCCACAGAGACAGTGTGGCTCCAGAGCCCCAGGCTGAATCAAAATAGCCCCTGGCCATGTACATTAAATGTTGGGCAAGGAATTGTCACTCTCCCTGTAGACACCTTCTGTTGGCGAACCCAGACGTTTCAGGTGCAAGATTATACAAATTAACATGACCACAATGCATCCTCCTTACCCCTCCTCAGACCACACAATGGCAGCAAACCCAGCGCATTTGCTGTGGATGGAGGGTGCCCTGACTAAGTCCGCAGCAGGGTAGACAGTCAAAAGATATTTAAAGACCGGACACGGTGGTTCACACCTGTAATCCCAGCACTTTGGGAGGCCGAGGCAGGTGGATCACCTGAGGTCAGGAGTTTGAGACCAGACTGGCCAACATGGTGAAGCCCCATCTCTAGTAAAATACAAAAATTAGTCTGGTGTGGTGGTACATACCTGTAATCCCAGCTACTTGGGAGGCTAAGTCAGGAGAATCACTTGAACCCGGGAGGCAGAAGTTGCAGTGAGCCAAGACCGCGCCACTGCACTCCAGCCTGGGAGACAGAGCGAGACTCTGTCTCAAAAAAAAAGAAAAAAAATTAATGTTGGCTGACTTCATCTGCTTAGGTGGCCTCCCTGGAGAACTCTGGCCTTGGAGGATCCCAGCAATATGATAGGGACCCTCCAGCATGGCCTGGAGCCCTCGTGAGCCAGCGCCAATGAGGCACAAGGGGTGCAATCCATCACAGGCTTCAGAATCTGATGGGCCTGGGTCAAGTCTTGGTCTTGCTGCTCATGGTGCTGTGACCCCAGTGAAGCTCCAGCCTCTCTGAGCCTCGGACTTCTCATCTGTGCCATCAAGGGGCTGAACAGATGTCAATGATTCTTTGACTTTACCAAGGTCTGTGCCATCTGCGAAGTGCTTTGACATTTCTCGTATCTCTTCAGCAACCCAACTAGTAAGAAAAGGAAAGGTTAGTCCTTGTATTAATCTGCAAAATGGAGAAAACCCTTTGCACTTAGTCCCTTCCCCACAAACCTCACTGCTGGGAAGTAGCAAACTTCAAAACTCTAGGCCTCCCAAAGTGAAGGCCAGCACATGTAGGTTCTGTCCAGTCTTTGAATTAAACATTGTGGTTCAAACTTAATAGAAAAGGCAGTTAACAGTGAAGACCACCTTCTGTGTGCTGGCCATGGGGGAGCTACCTGCACCCATTTTCTCATTCCATTCTCCTTGAGATTGTATCCGTAGGTATTTTTATTCCCGTTTCACAGTCAGCTAAACTGATTAAAACATAATTCTGACTTGAATGGTGTCTCTGAAACTCAGAAGTCTAGAGGGTTTACTGCCCAATGAGGTGGAGGGGAGGGAAGAGCTCAGGCGATTGAGCAAGGCAGGGCCGAGCTTCCTGGGAACCTTGATACAGCAGAGCAAATGCCTTTCGAATGACTGGGGAGAATCAGCTCAGTGACCTGACGCAGCGGGAGGAATTCCAGCCAGAGATGAAGGTAGTCTAAAAGGCTGTGTGGATTGCAGAATCTTAATAGTGCCACAAAACTCACAATCAAGACACTGCATGGGAATTAGGGCCCGGTTTAAAAAGTGTGGCCAGGCACGGTGGCTCACACCTGTAATCCTAGCACTTTGGGAGGCTGAGGCTGGCGAATCACGAGGTCAGGAGTTCAAGACCAGCCTGGCCAACATGGTGAAACCCCCATCTATACTAAAAATACAAAGAAACATTAGCTGGGTGTGGTGGCAGGCGCCTGTAATCCCAGCCACTCAGGAGGCTGAGGCAGGAGAATCGCTTGAACCCGAGAGGCGGAGGTTGCAGTGAGCCGAGATCACACCACTGCACTCCAGCCTGGGTGACAGTGCAAGACTCCATCTCAAAAAAAAAAAAAAAAAAAGCGTGACTGGCTTGGGAGGCTGAGGTGGGCAGATCACTTGAGGTCAGGAGTTCAAAACCAACCTGGCCAACATGGTGAAACCCTGTCTTTACTAAAAATACAAAAATTAGGCAAGCGTGGTGGTGCACGCCTGTAGTTCAGCTACCCAGGAGGCTGAGGCAGGAGAATTGCTTGAACCTGGAAAGCAGAGGTTGCAGCGAGCCAAGATCACGCCACTGCACTCCAGCCTGGGCAACAGAGCAATACTCCGTTCCAAAAAAAAAAAAGTGTGACCGATTCTGACAAATCTCAGCCAATAAAAGATGTGGAAAATAAAAAAAAAAAGACATAGAAAATACTATCATTTTTAAGTGTATTGAAAAGCTGTTATGTGCCGTGTACTGTGCTTGGTTGGCATTTTATATATATTCACACTTGATCTACAATTAATCCTCACCACAATCTTTTTGTTTGTTTTTTTAAATTTTTTTGAAATGGAGTTTTGCTCGTCGCCCAGGCTGGAGTGCAATGCCGCAATCTTGGCTCACTGCAACCTCCGCCTCCCAGGTTCAAGCGATTCTCCTGCCTCAGCCTCCCAAGTAGCTGGGATTACAGGCACCCGCCACCACACCCAGCTAATTTTTGTATTTTTTTTTTAGTAGAGATGGGGTTTCGCCACGTTGGCCAAGCTGGTCTCGATCTCCTGACCTCAGGTGATCTGCCCACCTCGGCCTCCCAAAGTGCTGGGATTACAGGTGTGAGCCACTGCACCCGGCCTCACAATCTTGATTTATAAGTCTTAATGTCTGGAAAGAATAAGTCATCCGTCTGAGGTCACTGGTAAAGTGTTTTAGCTAGAGTGGGGATTCCACACATAGGTCTGAGGGATTCTCAAGCCCATTTTCTGTTTCACTATCCCCCTTCTAATGCTCACTTTTAATTTTTTAAAAATACAGAAACTGTAATTACAATATCCAAGTGAAGTAAAGGAGTGGTACTGCTGGGAAAGTATATAAAATACAGAATACAAACACTGAGGTGTTCTGAAATAAGCACACAGGGGCAACTAGTAACTTCTCTTATGGGTCCTTAAAGTTGATTTCCACTGCTTAATCTAGCTATCACACACCCTGGCTTCTTATGAAAAAGCCTTAGACTCTGCCTGAGAACCCTGTGTTGTGAGTTGAATTGTGTCCTCCTAAAGGATATGTTGGAGACCTGTCGCCTAGCACCTGTGAAGATGACCTGTCACCTGGCACCTGTGAAAATGACCTTATTTGGAAACAGGGTTTTTGCAGAAGTATTAAGTTTATGAGTGAATATGACCTTATTTGGAAACAGAGTCTTTGCAGAAGTATTCAATTTATGAAGAGGTCACACTAGATTAGGGTAGGCACTAAATCCAATGGCACATAGGGAAGAAGGCCATGTGCAGGTGCAGGGAGAGACAGAAGAGAGGCTGCCACAACCCAAGGGATGCCGCCACCAGATTGGTGGCTACCACCAGAAACTGGAAGAGACAAGGAAGGACTTCCCCCTGCAACCCTCTAAGGAAGTGTGGCCCAGCCAACACCTTGATTTCTAACTTTCTGGTCTCTAGAACAAAGCGAGACTATATTTCTGTTGTTTTTAAGCCACCAAGTTTGCGGAAATTTGCTAAGCAGAGCAAGGAAACAAATATACCTTCCAGGAACTTAAAAGGCTCCCCGATGGGTAGTGCTGTCTCACCGTGTAACCCTCGATTTCTCCTCAAAATTCAAACAAAACGTTAAGCATGGCTATTATTATCAGTGAGGTGTTCTGAAATAAGCACACAGGGGCAACTAGTAACTTCTCTTATGGGTCCTTAAAGTTCATTTTCACTACTTAATCTAGCTGTTATCACACACCCTGGCTTCTTATGAAAAAGCCTTAGAGTCTCTGCCTGAGACCTCTGTGTTGAATTGAATTGTGTCCTCTCAAATGGCCTAAAACCCTCAAATGCCTCATTTTCTGTCTAGAGACACAGTCTAGAGGTCCTGATGGGAGCTCTGGCTCAGAATGGCTCAGAGTCCATTATTCACCACCCACCAGCATCCGGATCCCCAGATCCCCTCTCTGAGTCCATAACCAGGTACAAATGCACAGTTTCAGTGACTTAACAACAACCAAGTGTGTTCCTTGTTCACGCTGTATGTCCATGGCAGGTCAGCTTGGAGTGCAGCTCCTACATCTTCCTGCTGCTTCTCACTCCACTCCATATGGCAGTGATCATGACAGAGGGAAGAGCCCTCTGGAGAGTTTTGCCCTTGGGAATTACACGCTCCAGCCTGATGGTAGCACGCAGCACTTCCATTCATGCTCACTGGCCGGAACTAGTCACGTGGCCTCACTTAACACCAAGGGAGCCCAGAACTTCAATCCTGCCGTGTGCTGGGAACAGGGGCCAGAGTGTGTGGTGAGGACCCCTAGTGACTGCCCATCCGTCAGACCCCCAGTGCAGGTCCTTCCAGTGCCCCCACCCACACCAAGAAGGACCCAGCAAACCTCACCCTTAAGCCAGCTGAGGCGGAAAAGCTCAGCCTCACCTCCGAGTCTAGGGAGAAATCAACTGGTACCAGTGCCCAGAATGGGGCCGTGGAAAGAATGCTTAGCTGGGAAGAGGGGAAGAGCAGAGTTCTGCATCTGAACTCTCAACTCCCCTCTGAAAAGCCATGTGACCTACTACCAGTTGCCCATCCATTCTCACCCTAAAAATGGGCCTGGTTCACTTTTCTCCCAAAGGATGGGATGTAGGTATTAAATGAGAAGTTGTGGAATGAAGAGACAACAAATAGGGAAAATCAATCCCCCATGACTCAGAAACCAGAGACTGCTGCCCTTCAGTTCTGTCAGAGCGGTCTCATTTGCAAAGGGGCGGAGAGAGGGAGAGGAGACGATGGTAAGAGAATCCCTTGCGTTTTGCATTTTCTGCATTTAGCACCCAGGGTTTGGCTGAATCCAACCAAAGACTCCCTCAAATGTGTGTTGCTTCAGGCAACAGCTGATAAGACTGGCAGAACTTTAATGCTTCTGGCCAAAGGCTGTTATTGAATTACAGAGATCAGAATTGCCTACAAGGTAATCTCCCAATAACTGTTGAGGTTTAAAAGTGGAACTGCCAGTTATATTGAGTTTTTACTTAGAAAAGAGAAATCTCCGGGAGACTGGAAAGATGTTGTATTAGAGTCCCAGAGAAAACACTCCAAGGATAATTTACTTACAAAGAATCGTTTACATGGAGTGGGTAGAGACGCCACAGAGGCTCTGCAGTACCTTGGGGCTCCATAGAAGCCAAGGTGTTACTCCCCGGAGGCTGGAGGAGATGAGGGGATGGAGAGCCTCAATCACCGGGCTGCCTTGACTGGAGCAGTGACCTCCAATGTTCCTAGCAACCCCAGGCGGCAGTGCAGGGAGGAAGCTAGGGAACCAGTGCCCACACTTGGCATCCCTTGCTCTCTATGATTTCTGCTGGGGCTTCCCATTGGCCACGCCCAGCTGGCAGCCCACAGGCATGGGCACCTAGGCTATGGCTCCTCCAAGTCAGACTCCCAGGCTGACAAGAGTTGGAGGTGGTGCAAAGCGGATCCAGGGGGAGGCAGGAGACAGTTAATCCCGGGGAGTTTTTTCTTTTTCTTTGTTCTTGTTTTTTGTTGGTTTTTGTTTGTTTGTTTTTGTTTTTGTTTTTTTTTTTTTTTAGATGGAGTCCTGTTCTGTCACCCAGGCTGGAGTGAAGTGGCATGATCTCGGCTCACTGCAACCTCCGCCTCCCGGGCTCAAGCAATTCTCCTGCCTTAGCCTCCCAAGTAGCTGGGATTACAGGCGCCCACCACCACGCCCAGCTAATTTTGTATTTTTAGTAGAGGCAGGGTTTCACCATGTTGGTCAGGCTGGTCTCAAATTCCCGACCTCAGGTGATCCACCCACCTCACCCTCCCAAAGTGCTGGGATTACAGGCGTGAGCCACCATGCCCGGCCTAGTCTAGGGGAATTCTAAGAATTGGAGGAATATTCCATGAGAAAGAAACTGGAATCATCCAAATATTTAATAGTTCCAGAAAGCAGACCTAAGGCCAGTGGAGGTGGAGTGGAGATGGAGCTCTCAGGCAGCAGATTTCTCCATTTCAATTCTATGTGAAGGAAAAGTTTCTCAGGACTTGAGCTATTCCCAGATGGGATGGGCTGCCTTGGGAGGTGGCAGCAGGGCTTGGGTAACACTGGCTGGGTCTCTTCCAGGGATTCTAGAGAAGGGATTCTTGCAGGGTATGCACGATGGAACTGAATGACTTTTGCTTTTTTCTCTTTCAATATCCACCCCCCATTTCCAACTCAATTACCATTATTCAATTTGGTATGTGTCCTCCCACAGCTTTCCAGTAATTTCAACTCTGTGTTTGCGGTTTTTTGGGGTTTTGTTTTGGGGCGTTTCTTTTTTAACTACAGAGAGGCAGGATATGTAAATGGCTAAAAGCACACACTCTGGAACCAGACTGCCTGGGTACAAATCCTGATTTTAGCTTTGTGGCCTTAGACTTCAAACTACTGCCTCAGCTTTCTAATTGTAAAATGGGGTATTAATATGTACTTCATAGGATTGTCGTAAGAACAAATGGCACACATGTTAAGCATTTAACAGCCTCGGTGACAGTCAGCACTACCCAATGTTTCCTAGTAATATTAATTATTTACAAAATTATCAGACCGATATAGTGCCATTCAATTAAGTATTGTGTCAGACATTATCTTCTTTTCATTTTTTAAATCAACACACACTGTTCACAAAAAGAGTCAAACTCTGTAAAATATTTCAAGAGGTTTATTCTGAGCCAAATATGAGTGACCGTGGCCCATGACACAGCCCTCAGGAGGTCCTGAGAACATATATGTGCCCAAGGTGGTCGGGGTACAGCTTGGTTTTAAACATTTTAGGGAGGAATGAGACATCAATCAAATACATTTAAGAAATACATTGGTTTGGTTCAGAAAGGCAGGACAACTCAAAGCAGGGTTGGTGGGGGAGCTTTCAGGCTATAGGTAAATTTAAACATTTTCTGGTTAACAATTAGTTGAGTTTATCTGAAGACTTGGGATCAATGGAAAAGAATGTTTAGGTTAAGATAAAGGATTGTGGAGACCACGTTTTTTTTTTCTTTCATTATACTTTAAGTTTTAGGGTACATGTGCACAACGTGCAGGTTAGTTACATTTGTGTACATGTGCCATGTTGGTGTGCTGCACCCATTAACTCGTCATTTAACATTAGGTATATCTCCTAATGCTATCCCTCCCCCCTCCACCCACCCCACAACAGGCCCCAGTGTGTAATGTTCCCCTTCCTGTGTCCATGTGTTCTCATTGTTCAATTCCCACCTATCAGTGATAACATGCGGTGTTTGGTGTTTTGTCCTTGCGATAGTTTGCTGAGAATGATGGTTTCCAGCTTCATCCATGTCCCTACAAGGGACATGAACTCATCATTTTTTATGGCTGCATAGTATTCTATGGTGTATATGTGCCACATTCCTTTAATCCAGTCTATCATTGTTGGACATTTGGCTTGGTTCCAAGTCGTTGCTATTGTGAACAGTGCCACAATAAACATACGTGTGCATGTGTCTTTAAAGCAGCATGATTTATAATCCTTTTGGTATATACCCAGAAGTGGAATTGCTGGGTCAAATGTTATTTCTAGTTCTAGATCCCTGAGGAATCGCGACACTGACTTGCACAATGGTTGAACTAGTTTACAGTGCCACCAACAGTGTAAAAGTGTTCCTATTTCTCCACATCCTCTCCAGCATCTGTTGTTTCCTGACTTTTTAATGATTGCCATTCTAACTGGTGTGAGATGGTATCTCATTGTGGTTTTGATTTGCATTTCTCTGATGGCCAGAGCTGATGAGCATTTTTTCATGTGTCTTTTGGCTGCATAAAAGTCTTCTTTTGAGAAGTGTCTGTTCATATCCTTTGCCCACTTTTTGATAGGGTTGTTTGTTTTTTTTCTTGTAAATTTGTTTGAGTTCATTGTAGATTCTGAATATTAGCCCATTGTCAGATGAGTAGATTGCAAAAATTTTCTCCCATTCTCTAGGTTGCCTGTTCACTCTGGTGGTAGTTTCTTTTGCTGTGCAGAAGCTCTTTAGTTTAATTAGATGCCATTTGTCAATTTTGGCTTTTGTTGCCATTGCTTTTGGTGTTTTAGACATGAAGTCCTTGCCCATGCCTATGTCCTGAATGGTATTGCCTAGTTTTTCTTCTAGGGTTTTTATGGTTTTAGGTCTAACATTTAAGTCTTTAATCCATCTTGAATTAATTTTTGTATAAGGTGTAAGGAAGGGATCCAGTTTCGGCTTTCTACATATGGCTAGCCAGTTTTCCCAGCACCATTTATTAAATAGGGAATCATTTCCCCATTTCTTGTTTTTGTCAGGTTTGTCAAAGATCCGATGGTTGTAGATATGCGGCATTATTTCTGAGGGCTCTGTTCTGTTCCATTGGTCTGTATCTCTGTTTTGGTACCAGTACCATGCTGTTTTGGTTACTGTAGTCTTGTAGTACAGTTTGAAGTCAGGTAGTGTGATGCCTCCAGCTTTGTTCTTTTGGCCTAGGATTGACTTGGCAATGTGGGCTCTATTTTGGTTCCATATGAACTTTAAAGTAGTTTTTTCCAATTCTGAGAAGAAAGTCATTGGTAGCTTGATGGGGATGGCATTGAATCTATAAATTACCTTGGGCAGTATGGCCATTTTCACGATATTGATTCTTCCTACCCATGAATATGGAATGTTCTTCCATTTGTTTGTATCCTCTTTTATTTCGTTGAGCAGTGGTTTGTAGTTCTTCTTGAAGAGGTTCTTCACATCCCTTGTAAGTTGGATTTCTAGGTATTTTATTCTCTTTGAAGCAATTGTGAATGGGAGTTCACTCATGATTTGGCTCTCTGTTTGTCTGTTATTGGTGTATTAGAATGCTTGTGATTTTTGTACATTGATTTTGTATCCTGAGACTTTGCTGAAGTTGCTTATCAGCTTAAGGAGATTTTGGGCTGAGATGATGAGGTTTTCTAGATATACAATCATGTCATCTGCCAACAGGGACAATTTGACTTCCTCTTTTCCTAATTGAATACCCTTTTATTTCTTTATCCTGCCTGATTGCCCTGGCCAGAACTTCCAACACTATATTGAATAGGAGTAGTGAGAGAGGGCATCCCTATCTTTTGCCAGTTTTCAAAGGGAATGCTTCCAGTTTTTCCCTATTCAGTATGATATTGGCTGTGGGTTTGTCATAGATAGCTCTTATTATTTTGAGATATGTCCCATCAATACCTAATTCATTAAGAGTTTTCAGGATGAAACGTTGCTGAATTTTGTCAAAGGCCTTTTCTGCATCTATTGAGATAATCATGTGGTTTTTGTCTTTGGTTCTGTTTATATGCTGGATTACATTTATTGATTTGCATATGTTGAACCAGCCTTGCATCCCAGGGATGTAGCCCACTTGATCATGGTGGATAAGCTTTTTGATGTGCTGCTGGATTCGGTTTGCCAGTATTTTACTGAGGATTTTTGCATCAATGTTCATCAAGGATATTGGTCTAAAATTCTCTTTTTTGGTTGTGTCTCTTCCCGGCTTTGGTATCAGGATGATGCTGGACTCATAAAATGAGTTAGGGAGGATTCCCTCTTTTTCTATTGATTGGAATAGTTTCAGAAGGAATGGTACCAGTTCCTCCTTGTACCTCTGGTAGAATTTGGCTGTGAATCCATCTGGTCCTGGACTCTTTTTGGTTGGTAAGCTATTGATTATTGCCTCAATTTCAGAGCCTGTTATTGGTCTATTCAGAGATTCAACTTCTTCCTGGTTTAGTCTTGGGAGAGTGTATGTGTCCAGGAATTTATCCATTTCTTCTAGATTTTCTAGTTTATTTGCGTAGAGGTGTTTATAGTGTTCTCTGATGGTAGCTTGTATTTCTGTGGGATCGGTGGTGATATCCCCTTTATCATTTTTTATTGCATCTATTTGATCCTTCTCTCTTTTCTTCTTTATTAGTCTTGCTAGCAGTCTATCAATTTTGTTGACCTTTTCCAAAAACCAGCTCCTGGATTCATTGATTTTTTGAAGGTTTTTTTGTGTCTCTATTTCCTTCAGTTCTGCTCTGATCTTAGTTATTTCTTGCCTTCTGCTAGCTTTTGAATGTGTTTGCTCTTGCTTTTCTAGTTCTTTTAATTGTGATGTTAGGGTATCAATTTTAGATCTTTCCTGCTTTCTCTTGTGGACATTTAGTGCTATGAACTTCCCTCTACACACTGCTTTGAATGTGTCCTAGAGATTCTGGTATGTTGTGTCTTTGTTCTCGTTGGTTTCAAAGAACATCTTTATTTCTGCCTTCATTTCGTTGTGTACCCAGCAGTCATTCAGGAGCAGGTTGTTCAGTTTCTATGTAGCTGAGCGGTTTTGAGTGAGTTTCTTAATTCTGAGTTCTAGTTTGATTGCACTGTGGTCTGAGAGACAGTTTGTTATAATTTCTGTTCTTTTACATTTGCTGAGGAGTGCTTTACTTCCAACTATGTGGTCAATTTTGGAATAGGTGTGGTGTGATGTGGAAAAGAATGTATATTCTGTTGATTTGGGGTGGAGAGTTCTGTAGATGTCTATTAGGTCCACTTGGTGCAGAGCTGAGTTCAATTCCTGGATATCCTTCTTAACTTTGTGTCTCATTGATCTGTCTAATGTTGACAGTGGGGTGTTAAAGTCTCCCATTATTATTGTGTTGGTGTCTCAGTCTCTTTGTAGGTCTCTAAGGACTTGCTCTATGAATCTGGGTACTCCTGTATTGGGTGCATATATATTTAGGATAGTTAGCTCTTCTTGTTGAATTGATCCCTTTACCATTATGTAATGGCCTTCTTTGTCTCTTTTGATCTTTGTTGGTTTAAAGTCTGTTTTATCAGAGACTAGGATTGCAACCTCTGCCTTTTTTTGTTTTCCATTTGCTTGGTAGATCTTCCTCCATCCCTTTATTTTGAGCCTATGTGTGTCTCTGCACGTGAGATGGGTTTCCTGAATACAGCACACGGATAGGTCTTGACTCTTTATCCAGTTTGCCAGTCTGTCTCTTTTAATTGGAGCATTTAGCCCATTTACATTTCAGGTTAATATTGTTACGTGTGAATTTGATCCTGTCATTATGATGTTAGCTGGTTATTTTGCTCGTTAGTTGATGCAGTTTCTTCCTAGCCTCGATGGTCTTTACAATTTGGCATGTTTTTGCAGTGGCTGGTACCAGTTGTTCCTTTCCATGTTTAGTGCTTGCTTCAGGAGCTCTTTTAGGGCAGGCCTGGTGGTGACAAAATCTCTCAGCATTTGCTTGTCTGTAAAGTATTTTATTTCTCCTTCACTTATGAAGCATAGTTTGGCTGGATATGAAATTCTGGGTTGAAAATTCTTTTCTTTAAGAATGTTGATTATTGGCCCCCACTCTCTTTTGGCTTGTAGAGTTTCTGCCTAGCGATCAGCTGTTAGTCTGATGGGCTTCCCTTTGTGGGTAACCCGACCTTTCTCTCTGGCTGCCCTTCCCATTTTTTCCTTCATTTCAACTTTGATGAATCTGACAGTTATGTGTCTTGGAGTTGCTCTTCTCGTGGAGTATCTTGGTGGCGTTCTCTGTATTTCCTGAATCTGAATGTTGGCCTGTCTTGCTACACTGAAGAAGTTCTCCTGGATAATATCCTGCAGAGTGTTTTCCAACTTGGTTCCATTCTCCCCGTCACTTTCAGGTACACCAATCAGATGTAGATTTGGTATTTTCACAAAGTCTCATATTTCTTGGAGGCTTTCTCGTTTCTTTTTATTCTTTTTTCTCTGAACTTCTCTTCTCGATTCTTTTCATTCATTTCATCTTCCATCACTGATACCCTTTCTTCCAGTTGATCGAATCGGCTACTGAGGCTTGTGCATTCGTCATGTAGTTCTCGTGCCATGGTTTTCAGCTCTATCAGGTCCTTTAAGGACTTCTCTGTATTGGTTATTCTACTTAGCCATTCGTCTAATTTTTTTCAAGGTTTTTAACTTCTTTGCCATGGGCTCAAACTTCCTCCTTTAGCTCGGAGTTGTTTGATCTTCTGAAGCCTTCTTCTCTCAACTTGTCAAAGTCATTCTCCCTCCAGCTTTGTTCCGTTGCTGGTGAGGAGCTGCGTTCCTTTGGAGGAGGAGAGGCACTCTGCTTTTTAGAGTTTCTAGTTTTTCTGCTCTGTTTTTTCCCCATCTTTGTGGTTTTATCTACCTTTGGTCTTTGATGATGGTGATGTACAGATGGGGTTTTGGTGTGGATGTACTTTCTGTTTGTTAGTTTTCCTTCTAACAGTCAGGACCTTCAGCTGCAGGTCTGTTGGAGTTTGCTGGAGGTCCACTCCAGACCCTGTTTGCCTGGGTATCAGCAGCGAAGGCTGCAGAACAGTGGATATTGGTGAACAGCAAATGTTGCTGCCTGATCATTCCTCTGGAAGTTTTGTCTCAGGGGAGTACCTGGCCGTGTGAGGTGTCAGTCTGCCCCTACTGCGGGGTGCCTCCCAGTTAGGCTACTCGGGGATCAGGGACCCACTTGAGGAGGCAGTCTGTCCGTTCTCAGATCTCCAGCTGCGTGCTGGGAGGACCACTACTTTCGGGGAAGCTGTCAGACAGGAACATTTAAGTCTGCAGAGGATTCTGCTGCCTTTTGTTTGGCTATGCCCATGCCCCCAGAGGTGGAGTCTCAGAGGCAGGCTGGCCTCCTTGAGCCGTAGTGGGCTCCACCCAGTTCGAGCTTCCCAGCCTCTTTGTTTACCTACTCAAGCCTTGGCAATGGCGGGCGCCCCACCCCCAACCTCGCTGCAGCCTTGCAGTTTGATTTCAGACTGCTGTGGTAGCAATGAGCGAGGCTCCGTGGGTGTAGGATCCTCCCAGCCAGGCGCGGGATGTAATTGCTGGTGTGCCGTTTGCTAAGACCGTTGTAAAAGCAGTATTAGGGTGGGAGGGACCTGATTTTCCAGGTGCCATCTGTCACCCCTTTCTTTGACTAGGAAAGGGAATTCCCTGACTTCTTGCGCTTCCAAGGTGAGGCGATGCCTCGCCCTGCTTTGGCTCACGCTCGGTGCGCTGCACCCACTGTCCTGCACCCACTGTCCAACACTCCCCAGTGAGATGAACCTGGTACCTCAGTTGGAAATGCAGAAATCACCTGTCTTCTGCGTCGCTCATGCTGGGAGCTGTAGACTGGGAGCTGTACACTGGAGCAGTTCCTATTTAGGGGACTGGAGCTGGCTCCACCCCCCTAAAATGTTTTATTTGGGAGGAAAGAATTGCAATTCAGGGCATACATTGCAGATTGGCTGGTCTTTAAGTATGTCCAAAGAACAAAGAGAAGGTTAGAGGTTTCATAAGAAGGAGAAATATTACATATTGCTCTTTGAGAAGTTTCACTGGCACCAGTAAGATGTTGAGCAGTTAGCAAGTTCTGATTGGTAAGTAATAGCAGTGGGCAAAACCAGTCTTAGAATTGCAGCAGGTCATTTACTGTATTTCAGTTGGGTATGACAAGAATGACCCAGTTCATATGATCAGTTTTTACAAGTTCCCTTTTTGGTCAAGCTGTTTCTCTGAAAGTGTTGTTGATCAACCATGCTGTAGTTAGGCTTAATTATCCCTCAGCACCAGAATGGATCTGTCCCAGTTGTCTCTGTCCCATGTTGCAGGGAAGATATGTGGGTCTTTGTCAGGGACCCAAACCACAGTAAAGTAACAAAAAGGCCAGAAGGAAAAATCTTCCCAGAATGGGTTTGACTGTGGTCTAGTATTGATTTCCATCTAATTAGTCCATGGGCATGAGCAGTCATCTGGAAGTGTTGAGTTAACATTATCCTGTTAGGAGACTTGGCATCACAAAGATTGGAGAGGCAGTAAGAGCAAAGTTTAAAAATTATAATACAATTATAATATGATAAATGATTAACAACAACACAATACAATTAGTTTGTACAATGATTTTGAACTCACAGCCGAAGCCTAAGGGCAACAAACTAAAATCTAAAGACTGTGGAGGAAACTGGGTGAGACGTGTTGTAGCCATTGAGTCACATTTTATGACTGGGTTGACTTAAAGAAGAAAATGTCAACTGACAAAAGAAATCACCAATACAACTTGACCAAAAAGCTGTGCTAGGGTTATCGTCAAAATAGCCTAGAGCAATTACGTATTGTAAAATGTGAATTACAGCATTATCCTGCCAAATGAAAAAGGTAGCATCGAGGAGGGGAGGAGTCTTATTCTGATATGGAGTCTCGTTCTGACACCTTAGGATAAGCTGTTTACAGTGTGGAAAACACCCCCTTCTTATTTTGGTTTGCAGTTTAAATGTCTCTGGTTATGGCATCAGGAAGCTTGGTGAACCTTCTTTGTGGCCCACACATGAGGCATGAAACCTGCTCCTTAAAATTTATCTAGTTTCAATGTATCAGGCTTTAGGAACAAAGCAAGTCTCATTTTAGTAATTTTATTTAAAAAAGAGAGTTGAATTTGAAGAATTCTAATTTAGGACCTAGGCTGGTCTATAGGCAGATAACAAGAATTCATAAACAATGTACAGAGTTACAACCTGATAACCCTATTCTTATATGGTCAGACCAGCCTGACCAACATGGTGAAACACTGTCTCTACTAAAAATACAAAAATTAGCTAGGTATGGGGCACATTCCCGTAATCCCAGCTACTCAGGAGGCTGAGGCTGGAGAATCACTTGAACCCGGGAGGCAGAGGTTGCAGTGAGCTGAGATCACGCCACTGCACTCCAGCCTGGGTGACAGAGTGAGACTCCGTCTGAAAAAGAAAACAAAATCAATGTAAGATTTTATGGTGTAATGGTGAGCACTCTGGACTTGGAATCCAGAATTAACAAACAGAACATCCTGCAATTTTATTAAGAGCAGATCAATATTTCAAAAACATTTTTTATTTAAATATAGGGAACTTTTTTTTTAGTTTTTTACTAATGTATTTTGAATGTCAAAACTCAGTTGTTAGAAAGGTTATCATAAATAATTACCTTTTAATTGTAGTCAACTTGATCACACACATTACTTTCATAAATTTCCCTTTCACAAGCCTTTCTGTGACTCACATAGACCATGCATGACATGCCTTAAATATTCTGCTTTGTCTTCTGCCTCCTCCTTAAATAACTCAGTCATTTTATTTGAGGACAAAAATTTACCACACAAGATTCTTTCTCATTCAAAATTAGTCTCTTTTCTTTGCAACCTTCCTTAGCAAAAATTTATCTTCATATCTATAACTTTCTTCACATCTTTCTCTCCTACTTACCAGTTCTTTTATATCTTGTTTCTATTTTCTTGCTAGATTTATATTTTAAAACCACCTCTAAATAGCCTCTGAATTAGACAAAACATTTTTTTCTCAATAAAGAATATATTTTATGTCTGTCTTATAATTCTTATTAAAAACTTCATATTTTTATATTTTATATACAGAATGTTATATGTTAATTAAAATTTTTAACTCTCAGTAACCTTGAATTTTAGTAAAACTCTAGGACTCAAGATCTTTAATTGTCTGTCATGTATCAATATTTTGAACGAGAACCAGTTTATAATTTGAAGTCGTAATTGAAAATGACCCAGACATTTAATGAGTACCTATTAATTAAACATAACCTTAAGATTTCAAATCACATGAAAAGTTTATTCATAGACATTTGTCCAATTTACGTTTATCTGCTTTATTAATTTTTAATAGCTTACCTAAATTACCTATGAGAATTGAGATATTAGACAAAGCTAATCATCATTTCAAGTTTTTTCTCTATTAATAATTTTTTAGCCTGTAAATATCAATTGTTTACCTAAGCAAGAACCCTAAAGTTAAATGCATGGTTTCCTGTCCATAACTCAGAAAATATGGCTGTTTTGATTAAATTAGCAATACTTAATTAATTCTATTCATCAAGTAATTGCAGGAAGATCATTTTGTTTTAGGCTGGGTTCATAGCCTTATGATCTGAAAACATAGAAAAAGCAAAATATAAAACTGTCTGATAAGTAAACCCAGGCAAAAAAACGTATGTAGACAATTATGAAGACATTTTAAATTTTATTTCATTAACAACAATTTTATTTTATTTTATTTATTTTTTATTATTTTTTTTGAGATGGAGTCTTGCTTTCTCACCAGGCTGGAGTGCTGCAGCACAATCTTGGCTCACTGCAACCTCCGCCTCCCAGGTTCAAGCGATTCCCCTGCCTCAACCAACTAGTTTACCAAAGATTTACTTACGTGACATGAACTTTATAAAATGGGTTAATTACTGTATATTTTATATGAGTGCTCATTTATTGAAATCAATCAAAATACAATTTCTTAAGAGATTTCTGGCTGGCTACATCAGATTTTATTATGTAAACAGAAGATACAGTGTAATACATGTATATATACATAAATACATCTAGACAGACATATATACATACAAATGAAGATCTTGTAGTTTTTATTTTAGAATTTTGTCATTGGATAGTAATACAAACTCACTGGTTTACAATTGATGGTTGGACCCAAATTATTTTTTGAAAAAAATGAGATAAGGCTAAATTTTAAGATCTTTTTGTTGTTTTAAGTAGGCATTTTTTTTTTTTTTCTAGACAGTCTCACTCTGCCACCCAGGCTGGAGTGCAGTGGCATGATCTTGGCTCACTGAAACCTCTACCTCCCGGGTTCAAGCAATTCTCCTGCCTCAGCCTCCCGAGTAGCTGGGATTACAGGTGTGTGCCACCATGCCCAGCTAATTTTTGTATTTTTAGTAGAGATGGGGTTTCACCTTGTTGGCAAGGCTGGCCTTGAACTCCTGACCTCAGGTGATCCACCCACCTCAGCCTCCCAAAGTGCTGGGATTACAGGTTTGAGCCACCACGCCTGGCCTGTTAGGCAGTCTTATGAAGGCTGTCAACCAAATTTGGGGTAAGGCAGTTTGACTAGGTTGCCAATATACTGAATTGGACAAAGAATAATGTGACTAAATTATGTCAGGAGGCCTAAAAGATAAGTTATTTTATTATAGCAGAGCCTCGTCTTTTTTTTTAATTTTTTAAATTTTTTTATTATTATACTTTAAGTTTTAGGGTACATGTGCACAAAGTGCAGGTTAGTTACATGTGTATACATGTGCCATTTTGGTTGCTGCACCCATTAACTCGTCATTTAGCATTAGGTATATCTCCTAAAGCTATCCCTCCCCAACTCTCCACCCCACAACAGTCTCCAGAGTGTGATGTTCCCCTTCCTGTGTCCATGTGTTCTCATTGTTCAATTCCCAACTACGAGTGAGAATATGCGGTGTTTGGTTTTTTGTTCTTGCGATAGTTTACTGAGAATGATGATTTCCAATTTCATCCATGTCCCTACAAAGGACATGAACTCATCATTTTTTATGGCTGCATAGTATTCCATGGTGTATATGTGACACATTTTCTTAATCCAGTCTATCATTGTTGGACATTTGGGTTGGTTCTAAGTCTTTGCTATTGTGAATAGTGCCATAATAAACAGACGTGTGCATGTGTCTTTATAGCAGCATGATTTATAGTCCTTTGGGTATATACCCAGTAATGGGATGGCTGGGTCAAATGGTATTTCCAGTTCTAGATTGCTGAAGAATCACCACACTGACTTCCACAATGGTTGAACTAGTTTACAGTCCCACCAACAGTGTAAAAGTGTTCCTATTTCTCCACATCCTCTCCAGCACCTGTTGTTTCCTGACTTTTTAATGATTGCCATTCTAACTAACTGGTGTGAGATGGTATCTCATTGTGGTTTTGATTTGCATTTCTCTGATGGCCAGTGATGGTGAGCATTTTTTCATGTGTTTTTTGGCTGCATAAATGTCTTCTTTTGAGAAGTGTCTGTTCATGTCCTTCACCCACTTTTTGATGGGGTTGTCTGATTTTTTCTTGTAAATTTGTTTGAGTTCATTGTAGATTCTGGATATTAGCCCTTTGTCAGATGAGTAGGTTGTGAAAATTTTCTCCCATTTTGTAGGTTGCCTGTTCACTCTGATGGTAGTTTCTTTTGCTGTGCAGAAGCTCTTTAGTTTAATGAGATCCCATTTGTCAATTTTGGCTTTTGTTGCCATTGCTTTTGGTGTTTTAGACATGAAGTCCTTGCCCATGCCTATATCCTGAATGGTAATGCCTAGGTTTTCTTCTAGGGTTTTTATGGTTTTAGGTCTAACATTTAAGTCTTTAATCCACCTTGAATTAATTTTTGTATAAGGTGTAAGGAAGGGATCCAGTTTCAGCTTTCTCCATATGGCTAGCCAGTTTTCCCAGCACCATTTATTAAATAGGGAATCCTTTCCCCATTGCTTGTTTTTCTCAGGTTTGTCAAAGATCAGATGGTTGTAGATATGCGGAGTTATTTCTGAGGGCTCTGTTGTGTTCCATTGATGTATATCTCTCTTTTGGTACCAGTACCATGCTGTTTTGGTTACTGTAGCCTTGTAGTATAGTTTGAAGTCAGGTAGCGTGATGCCTCCAGCTTTGTTCTTTTGGCTTAGGATTGACTTGGCAATGCGGGCTCTTTTTTGGTTCCATATGAACTTTAAAGTAGTTTTTTCCAATTCTGTGAGGAAAGTCATTGGTAGCTTGATGGGGATGGCATTGAATCTATAAATTACCTTGGGCAGTATGGCCATTTTCATGATGTTGATTCTTCCTACCCATGAGCATGGAATGTTCTTCCATTTCTTTGTATCCTCTTTTATTTCATTGAGCAGTGGCTTGTAGTTCTCCTTGAAGAGGTCCTTCACATCCCTTGTAAGTTGGATTCCTAGGTATTTTATTCTCTTTGAAGCAATTGTGAATGGGAGTTCACTCATGATTTGGCTGTTTGTCTGGTATTGGTGTATAAGAATGCTTGTGATTTTTGTACACTGATTTTGTATCCTGAGACTTTGCTGAAGTTGCTTATCAGCTTAAGGAGATTTTGGGCTGAGACAATGGGGTTTTCTAGATATACAATCATGTCGTCTGCAAAGAGGGACAATTTGACTTCCTCTTTTCCTAATTGAATACCCTTTATTTCCTTCTCCTGCCTAATTGCCCTGGCCAGAACTTCCAACACTATGTTGAATAGGAGTGGTGAGAGAGGGCATCCCTGTCTTGTGCCAGTTTTCAAAGGGAATGCTTCCAGTTTTTGCCCATTCAGTATGATATTGGCTGTGGGTTTGTCATAGATAGCTCTTACTATTTTGAGATACGTCCCATCAATACCAAATTTCTTGAGAGTTTTTAGCATGAAGGGTTGTTGAATTTTGTCAAAGGCCTTTTCTGCATCTGTTGAGATAATCATGTGGTTTTTGTCTTTGGTTCTGTTTATATGCTGGATTACATTTATTGATTTGCGTATATTGAACCAGCCTTGCATCCCAGGGATGAAGCCCACTTGATCATGGTGGATAAGCTTTTTGATGTGCTGCTGGATTCGGTTTGCCAGTATTATTTTATTGAGGATTTTTGCATCAATGTTCATCAAGGATATTGGTCTAAAATTCTCTTTTATGGTTGTGTCTCTGCCTGGCTTTGGTATCAGGATGATGCTGGCCTCATAAAATGAGTTAGGGAGGATTCCCTCTTTTTCTATTGATTGGAATAGTTTCAGAAGGAATGGTACTAGTTCCTCCTTGTACCTCTGATAGAATTCGGCTGTGAATCCATCTGGTCCTGGACTCTTTTTTCTTGGTAAGCTATTGATTATTGCCACAATTTCAGAGCCTGTTATTGGTCTATTCAGAGATTCAACTTCTTCCTGGTTTAGTCTTGGGAGGGTGTATGTGTTGAGGAATTCATCCATTTCTTCTAGATTTTCTAGTTTATTTGCGTAGAGGTGTTTGTAGTATTCTCTGATGGTAGTTTGTATTTCTGTGGGATCGGTGGTGATATCCTTTTATCATTTTTTATTGCGTGTATTTGATTCTTCTCTCTTTTCTTCTTTATTAGTCTTCCTAGCAGTCTATCAATTTTGTTGATCCTTTCAAAAAACCAGCTCCTGGATTCATTAATTTTTGAAGGGTTTTTTTGTGTCTCTATTTCCTTCAGTTCTGCTCTGATTTTAGTTATTTCTTGCCTTCTGCTAGCTTTTGGATGTGTTTGCTCTTGCTTCTCTAGTTCTTTTAATGGTGATGTCAGGGTGTCAATTTTGGATCTTTCCTGCTTTCTCTTGTGGGCATTTAGTGCTATAAATTTCCCTCTACACACTGCTTTGAATGTGTCCCAGAGATTCTGGTATGTTGTGTCTTTGTTCTCATTGGTTTCAAAGAACATCTTTATTTCTGCCTTCATTTCGTTATGTACCCAGTAGTCATTCAGGAGCAGGTTGTTCAGTTTCCATGTAGTTGAGTGGTTTTGCGTTAGTTTCTTAATCCTGAGTTCTAGTTTGATAGCACTGTGGTCTGAGAGACAGTTTGTTATAATTTCTGATCTTCTACATTTGCTGAGGAGAGCTTTACTTCCAAGTATGTGGTCAATTTTGGAATAGGTGTGGTGTGGTGCTGAAAAAAATGTATATTCTGTTGATTTGGGGTGGAGAGTTCTGTAGATGTCTATTAGGTCCACTTGGTGCAGAGCTGAGTTCAATTCCTGGGTATCTTTGTTAACTTTCTGTCTCGTTGATCTGTCTAATGTTGACAGTGGGGTGTTAAAGTCTCCCATTATTATTGTGTTGGAGTCTAAGTATCTTTGTGGGTCACTCAGGACTTGCTTTATGAATCTGGGTGCTCCTGTATTGGGTGCACATATATTTAGGATAGTTAGCTCTTCTTGTTGAATTGATCCCTTTACCATTATGTAATGGCCTTGTCTCTTTTGATCTTTGTTGGTTTAAAGTCTGTTTTATCAGAGATTGGGATTGCAACCCCTGCCTTTTTTTGTTTTCCATTTGCTTGGTAGATTTTCCTCCATCCCTTTATTTTGAGCCTATGTGTGTCTCTGCACATGAGATGGGTTTCCTGAATACAGCACATGGATGGCTCTTGACTCTTTATCCAGTTTGCCAGTCTGTGTCTTTTAATTGGAGCATTTAGCCCATTTACATTTAAGGTTAATATTGTTATGTGTGAATTTGATCCTGTCATGATGATGTTAGCTGGTTATTTTGCTCGTTAGTTGATGCAGTTTCTTCCTAGCCTCGATGGTCTTTACATTTTGGCATGATGTTGCAGTGGCTGCTACCAGTTGTTCCTTTCCATGTTTAGTGCTTGCTTCAGGAGCTCTTTTAGGGCAGGCCTGATGGTGACAAAATCTCTCAGCGTTTGCTTGTCTGTAAAGTATTTTATTTCTCCTTCACTTTTGAAGCTTAGTTTGGCGGGATATGAAATTCTGGGTTGAAAATTCTTTTCTTTAAGAATGTTGGATATTGGCCCCCACTCTCTTCTGGCTTGTAGAGTTTCTGCCTAGCGATCAGCTGTTAGTCTGATGGGCTTCCCTTTGTGGGTAACCCGACCTTTCTCTCTGGCTGCCCTTAACATTTTTTCCTTCATTTCAACTTTGGTGAATCTGACAATTATGTGTCTTGGAGTTGCTCTTCTCGAGGAGTATCTTTGTGGCATTCTCTGTATTTCGTGAATCTGAATGTTGGCCTGCCTTGCTAGATTGGGGAAGTTCTCCTGGATAATATCCTGCAGAGTGTTTTCCAACTTGGTTCCGTTTTCCCTGTCACTTTCAGGTACACCAATCAGACGTAGATTTGGTCTTTTCACATAGTCCCATATTTCTTGGAGGCTTTGTTCGTTTCTTTTTATTCTTTTTTCTCTAAACTTCCCTTCTCACTTCATTTCATTCAGTTCATGTTCCATCGCTGATACCATTTCTTCCAGTTGATCTCATTGGCTCCTGAGGCTTCTGCATTCTTCATGTAGTTCTCGAGCCTTGGCTTTCAGCTCCATCAGCTCCTTTAAGCACTTCTCTCTATTGGTTATTCTAGTTATACATTCGTCTGAATTTTTTTCAAAGTTTTCAACTTCTTTGCCTTCAGTTTGAATTTCCTCCTGTAGCTCGCAGTAGCTTGATCGTCTGAAGCCTTCTTCTCTCAACTCGTCAAAGTCATTCTCCCTCCAGCTTTGTTCCGTTGCTGGTGAGGAGCTGCATTCCTTTGGAGGAGGAGAGGCACTCTGCTTTTTAGAGTTTCCAGTTTTTCTGCTCTGTTTTTTCCCCATCTTTGTGGTTTTATCTACTTTTGGTCTTTGATGATGGTGATGTACAGATGGGTTTTTGGTGTGGATGTCCTTTCTGTTTGTTAGTTTTCCTTCTAACAGACAGGACCCTCAGCTGCAGATCTGTTGGAGTTTGCTAGAGGTCCACTCCAGACCCTGTTTGCCTGGGTACCAGCAGTGGTGGCTGCAGAACAGCGGGTTTTCCTGAACTGCGAATGCTGCTCTCTGATCGTTCCTCTGGAAATTTTGTCTCAGTGGAGTACCCGGCCGTGTGATGTGTCAGTCTGCCCCTACTGGGGGGTGCCTCCCGGTTAGGCTGCTCGGGGGCAGGGGTCAGGGACCCACTTGAGGAGGCAGTCTGCCTGTTCTCAGATCTCCAGCTGCATGCTGGGAGAACCACTGCTCTCTTCAAAGCTGTCAGACAGGGACATTTAAGTCTGCAGAGGTTACTGCTGTCTTTTTGTTTGTCTGTGCCCTGCCCCCAGAGGTGGAGCCTACAGAGGCAGGCAAGCCTCCTTGAGCTGTGGTGGGCTCCATCCAGTTCCAGCTTCCAGGCCACTTTGTTTACCTAAGCAAGCCTGGGCAATGGCGGGCGCCCCTCCACCAGCCTCGCTGCCGCCTTGCAGTTTGATCTCAGACTGCTGTGCTAGCAATCAGCGAGACTCCGTGGGCATAGGACCCTCCGAGCCAGGTGCGGGATATCTCCTGGTGCACCGTTTTTTAAGCCCTTCGGAAAAGCGCAGTATTGGGGTGGGAGTGACCCGATTTTCCAGGTGCCATCTGTCACCCCTTTCTTTGACTAGGAAAGGGAACTCCCTGACCCCTTGCGCTTCCCGAGTGAGGCAATGCCTTGCCCTGCACCCACTGTCCTGTGCCCACTGTCTGGCACTCCCTAGTGAGATGAACCCGGTACCTCAGATGGAAATGCAGAAATCACCCATCTTCTGCGTCGCTCACACTGGGAGCTGTAGACCGGAGCTGTTCCTTTTCGGCCATCTTGGCCCCAGGCCCATTTTCCTGGTCTTAAGTCTCTGTCCTTGAAGATCAAAATGTTGCCGTTCCTTTTCAGTATGAAGAGAATGTCTTTAACATGGAAATTTTTTCTTTGCTTTAAAAAAAAAAAAAACAGCATGAAGATCAAAGTGATTTTATTTCATTTCTGCTGGTTTGCAAGTGTTCTTCATAGATATTATGTCAGACTAGCTAAGGAGTTTTAGAGAAGTTTTGAACAAAGAGGGTTTAGCTTAGAGAACGATAAAGAAAAGAAATTGTGAGGATGGGGAGAGCTCTGGAGAGAAAAGAGTTTCAACTAGTTTTAAGATGGTATATTGTAGTGAGGCAGTCTTTGAGTTTTCAACAATTTTTTTTTAGCCTCAAGATATCAATGAGCTATCATATCTTATTTGAAATCCACGATTTTATAGTCATGGTATTTTAATGCAGTTTTAAGAACGCAGACTCTTTAAATAATCCCTGCAGTATTTGAACATGTTAGCAGCTGGAATCCCAGAAAATATGTTGGCATGCCTTTGAACTTTGAGAGCCCCATTCTGTGAATGTTCTGGTCTAATGTCAAATACACAAAAGCCAATTAAACACAAGTGCTGAATGCAAAAAGTCCAAATAAATGCAAACACAGACAGAAAATAAACTATATATTTACTAAGAAGGATGATAAGCCACCTCTTCAACTGAGGGTAAGAGGAAATATCCCATCACCAAGGCCTCAACCCGAAGGGAGCCTCCCAGCTCTGTCCTCTGGTTCCTGCCCAGTCCACTAGGATGATGCATTTTAACCATGACCACCTTTCCCAGTTGCCCTACCTGGAGAGCTGCAAGCCTTGGGGGCAGAGGAACTGCCCACCTTGGTCCTGGGCCTTTGCATGAAGGGTTGGGGGAAGGAATGACCAATTCGCTGTCTTATGAAACACAGTGTTGCTGCTGGTATTTCAGTGTTATCTGAAGGACTTACTCAAGTACCAGCATTGTTGCAAACACTAGGCATTCCCACTGTGCGCACACACACACACTCATACACACAACTGTGACCTGTCTAAGGGCATAGACTGTTGTAGTCATCTTAGGATAACCCTCAGGACCCTGCATATAAGCAGCATACACAGAGGCTTGCTGGGTGAAACAGCTCTTTCATTTAAATCAAGACAACAGGTGTTGACAACCTGCTCTGCACTCTGTTGGAAAGAAACATACTAGTTTTAAAATTCAGGCTAAAACCTCTTTTTCAGAACAAGGTAGAACTAATAGTAATTATTATTATTCCCAGCCCTATACTAGATATTTTACATGTATTCTCTATGATCCCCTTAGCCTCCTGCAAAGTGAACAATAGAATCCCTAGTTTTACATAAGAAAGCTGAGGCTAAAAAGATAAAGTGACTTGACTAACATAACTCAAGTAGACAGTGTTGAGAGCCAGGATGTGAGTTGAGTTCTTCCCTGCTCTAAAAATTCTCACTGCCTCCTTAAACGTCTCCATTCCGTTCTTGCTGCCACCATCCACATGCAATGACAGCTGTGGTATAGCGAATGAACTTTAACTTGAAGATCAGAAACAGAGGGATATTGACATCTTCCAACATGTGAAAGGTGACCAAGTGGCCCACTGCTAGGAAATGCAATGTTCGGAATCATACCCCCTCAACATAGTTTGTAATAGGATATTTTGTAAGTCTGTGTTTAACAACTGTTTGGATATTTACTGGTGGGATTCTTTGATTAGTGCCTGTCTCCCCTTTTGTCATTGAGCTCCTTGAGGACAAAGAATATGACTGTTTGGCTTGCCAGAGGATCCCCTGCTCCTAGGCATGGTGGCTGGTACACTCGTGAGCATTTAATACATGTATACTGAATGAATGATACCTGGGACTCACCACCTTTACCGACTGTGAGCTTGGGAAATATAAATATATGGTATATACAAAAATATAAATATGTGATCTCAAGTAAACATCACAAGGAAATACAAGATGGGAATTATTATCTCCATTCTGTAGACAGAGAAATTACTATGCATTAAGTAACTCACCCAAGTGCACCTGAGCTGCGCTTTGATCCGAGGCCCATCTGGCTACAGTGCACAGCACCGTGGATGCCTTAATGATCAATCTTCCCAGGTAGGGGAAGGTTTGAGCTGAAGGCTCCACAGTTGCCCTGCCTGCCCAGTGTGTCTCCTGGATGTGCCTCCACAACCCCATGCCGCACCACTAACTCAGATCTGTGCTTGTTTGCAGGCTCAGGAGGCAGCAGGGACAGGGCAGCCAGCTCTTGGACACCGACAGCCGAGGGGGAGGCCAGGCCCAAAGCAAGCTCCAGGACGGGTGCAACAACAACCTCCTCACCCACACCTGCACCCGTGGCTGCAGCAGCTGAGCCCACACTTGTTGCTGCTCAACAGGACTGCACTCGTCTCTGCCCTGCCCACCCAGAGCCCCTCTTTGTGCCCTGATGGTCCCTGTCTCACCCCTGAAAACATCAGATGCAGAAAAAGCCCTGGACTTGGAGCTGGGAAGCCTGGGTTCTGGTCCCATCTCCATGACTGATTCACGTGTGACCTCAGACAAGTCACGCCCTCTCTGTGCCTCCGTTTTCTGCATCTGCCAAAGGGGTTAAACACTTCTGCCCCACTTCAAATTACAAGATTATGGGGAGAACCCAATTAGGTAGGAAACATGAAAAACCTTTGATATTTATAAAATCATTTTTACGTGCAAAATATAACCTTAATATTTGAAGTGACCCCCATTCCCCAAAGCAATCAAACCGTCATGACTTTGCAATTTGGCACATCCTAGCTTGTTAGAGGGCACTTCCGAAAAACACAGCCCTGACAGCAAAATAAAGGTCTGATATGTTGGCCCCTTCTATGGAAACAACGCTGCCAAATCCTGGAGCAAAACCTGAAGTGTCTTCATGTGCATTCTCTGGCAGGCCACAGTCCTGAGCTTGTAAGATGGTGCAGCATGCAGACCAGACTTGTCCCCAAGGTCTCAGCGCTGCGGTCTCACTCCTCCCCTCATTTAAGAAGACTATCCTTACCTTTTAGTTTCAGCAGTCCTCACCACCACCATATCCCCAGTGCTGGGATGGCACACAGGTGTCCATTCAGATGAGAGTTGGGTCGCTGAGCATTGGTTACTCCTGCAGAGTGTAATCAGCACCCCATCCAACTGGCCCGAAAGCCCAGACCTGCAGCAGAACTCTCCAACTCTCTATCAGCTTTCAGGGTTTTCTCTCCTGGGAAGGGTGTAAAATCAGCTTGTCAGATTCTTCTTACAGAGAGTATCCAATCGGTATTGGTGGAGCGGCTCCCTATTTATACAATAGGAAGCATGGGTGCTTAGAAAGTTTATTTCAGGAGGAAAATGGGTTCACACAAAAAGCAAACTACATTCTGGTCTGCTCAGGGAGAAGCTTGCCTTTGAACTGGAAGATGTTGGGATGAGCAGGGAAAGCTTAGACTTTGGAGTCAGGTTTGTGTTCAGAATCCAGCCCTGCTGGCTACTAACTAACTGGGAGACCTTAGGCAAAGCATGCAATCGCTCTGAATGGCAGTTTCCTCATTTTTAAACAGGGATAATAAAACTAATATTGCAGGGGAGTTACAGGGTTAAATAAGATCCTGTGTGTAACCCCAAGCATTGGATGACTCATAGAATGGCCTTTTTTGTCAGCATAATCGTCATCATTATTTAGATACTTTCTTCCTTCACTCACCCAGCAGGTCAGTTTTCTGTGCAAACAAACCTGTTTAGGATTCTTCCAAATGTTCTTCCTGGGGTCTTTGATATTTGTTTGTTACATCCTGCTGAAGTTCGACTGTGTTTTTATTTTTTCATCCAACTTCCATTTTTCACTTTTTACATGATTACTCAATCCTTGGGGCTGTCCATGTCATCTCTTAGATTTCTTAAAAGACATTTTAATGTATGGTTAGGTTTTATATTTTTATTTTTTAAAAAAGAAATAGTCAGTGTTTTCCTCCTTTCAACCGAGACTATTTCTGGATTGTGTGCTCCTCGTCAGTTGACTTGTTTTGCACACTTTTCTTTACTTCATGTCCCCATCAACAACCGTCCTGCTCCCCACCTCCCCCAGGAAATAAGGGGCCTGCTCCTCTCCCTACTGTGACCCTGGAGGCTCTTAAGATGATGATGGTTTTTTTTATTGGGCTGAGTTCACGAATTAGGGGCAGGAGCTGGAAGTCGCCCTAGGAACACCAGATTTCCTGGTTCTGTTCAAGTTGGCATTTCTTGTTTGGAATAAACTATTTCTTGGACATTCCTTCTCACCACTTTGTTCTTAATTCAGGGTTGGGTGGGATGGGCCACGTTCCTCTTAGCGTGAAGAGACTCAAGTTTAATTAGAAACACAAAAATGGGCATGGTTGGTGGTGTGGACACCAAGCCAATGATGGAATCACTTTGATTGGTGGTATGGACACCAAGCCACAGATGAAATCAAACTTAGCTTGGCAATTCAAGGCTCTATCTAACTTGATCACAATCTACATGATTATTGTTACTATTTTGTATTTCCTAAGGTACCATCTATTCACTAAGGAAAAAGTACAGAAAATTCTTCATCCAGAGAAAGACACTCTTTAACATTCCCTCAAATTACCACTCAAACCTTTATACAGCACACACACAGGTGCAAATGAACCAGTATTTTCCTTTCCATACAGACTTCTTGATTTTCCACTTTCCTGCTTTCATTTGTCCTGTCCTCTCTACTGGGGATGCCTTTCAGCTCTCGTCGACACATGTTAAAATTCCCCTTTCTCAAAGGCCAATTCCATTTCTCCCATGATGTCTTCTGGGGCTTATGGCACCACCCACCCAAGCTAGACGCCACCTCCTCCAGGAACTCTCGGGCACACTTGCTGTCACTCACGGCTCTGCTTGCTGACAACTGCACCATCGCGTTACTCTCACCCATGCCTCACCCTCCTTACCTTTAGGCTCCCTCAAAGAAGCCGGGTCAGATTCATGTCCATCTCCTCATCCCATCCTCCTGTCCTGACAGTGCCTGGCTCCTAAGGAGCAATCAACAAACTCTCTGTCTAGGGGCGACTTACTTTTGGCACCCTCCTGTCTTCCACTTGGCTCCACGGTCACTTCCCAGAGCTTTTTCCTCTGCAGGTCCCAGTGTTTTCTCAGGGGTTACCCTCCAGTGGCGTGCCCAGTCCCCATTCACCCCCTTCAGAACCACCTTTCCGTGATCTCCAAGTTCCAAATGAGTTTCACCCTTCCCTCATCCGAACCCCGACTCCCAGTACTGGCAAGAAAGCAATCTGATTAAAGAAATCCATTCCCATGCAAGAATTTGTGTTAGGGTTTACCTTATGAGTGGAAATTCAGGTGCATCAGGGCCAGCTGTAGACCAGTGGGTGCACCAGGACATGCTGACAATACCAAGTCAGGGTCCACGCTGTGAGTAGCAAGGATCTAGAACTTCTGCCTGTGGCCAAACCAGCCATGCCTGTTGATTTCTGTATAGTCTATGGTTGTTCTCTTGCTACAACTGCAGTGCTGAGCAGCTGCAACAGAGACCCTGTGGCCCACAATGCTGAAAATATTTACCACCTGGCCCTTTAGAGAACAAGTTGCAGAGCCCTGATCTAGAAGACACATCTGGGACACTAAGTGCATAGATGGCAGATGCACATTTGCTTTGCTCACCTGCAAAAGCCAGGGGGTCCCAGAGCTTGGCAGTTCAGCCCTGTGGGTTCCCAGGGGGAAGAATTTGCAGGGGAATGTATGGTTGATTTGCCCTCACCAGTTGACCCTTGAGCTTTTTCCACACTGGAGCTTTAACCAATAACATTTCCCAGGTCAGTATTATTGAGTCTCTGTATTAGTCCGTTCTCACATTGCTATAAGGAACTATCTAAGGCTGGGTAATTTATAAAAAAAAAGAGATTTAATTGACTCACAGTTCCATAGGCTGTACAGGAAGCCTGGCTGGGGAGGCCTCAGAAAACTTAGAATCATGGCAGAAGGCAAAGGGGAAGCAGGCATGTCTTACATGGCTGGAGAAAAAGGAAGAAAGAGTAAAGGGGGAGGTGCTACATACTTTTAAACAACCAGATCTTGTGAGAGAACTCACTATCAGGAGAACCACCCCCATGATCCAATCACCTCTTGCCAGGCTCCTCCCCCAATATTGGGAATTACAATTTCAAATGAGATTTGGGGCCCGGTCCCGTGGCTTACGCCTATAATCCCAGCAATTTGGGAGGCCAAGGTGGGCAGATCACCTGAGGTCAGGAGTTCGAGACCAGCCTAGCCAACATGGTAAAACCTCATCTGTACCAAAAATACAAAAAAATTAGCCGAGAGTGGTGGCGCATGCCTGTAATCCCAGCTACGCAGGAGGCTGAGGCAGGAGAATTGCTTGAACTCAGGGGATGGACATGGCAGTGAGCCGAGATCACGCCACTGCACTCCAGCCTGGGTGACAGAGTGAGATTTCATCTCAAATAAATAAATAAATAAATAAGATTTGGGTGGGACATAAATCCAAATCATATCAGTCACCCTCTTCTTGTGACCCTCCTCCCATGTAACCAGGCCCTCCCAGAAGTCCTCTACACAATCTCTGCTTCTTGTAGTTTGGTTTCCACAGCACTTGTCACACTGCCCAGCTGATGGTTTTGTGTCCCACTTCTCCCCCTGGCAGGCTGTGGGCTCCACAGGGTGAGCTATGCACAGGCGGCCCCCAGCACAGAGCAGCCTCAAGGCGGGTCCTCAGTCGATATAGAAGTTGCACAGACATGCTCACCCCAGCCCCCAACTTGAGCCACGTTTAGCAAACAGCTGTCACTTTGATGATTCAGCCCATGCACTGTGCCTCTCCTGTGGCATCATTTGCTATCTGTCCCCTTTCCTCTCCCAATCTCAAACATGAAATCACAGCACAGTCTCTTCCATGTTTAATTAGCGACTGCCACAAAGAACAGATATCTGTTTCTTCCTGGGTGATCACAGACAAACATGATTAATGCATTTCCCTCTCGGTGTCTCTGCATTTCATATCCCCTGCCTCTCTCAGCACATGTTTTCTAATTCTTTCCACCCAGCAGGGAGAGTGGCAAGTCACACATGAGCCTTTCTCAGGCAGCATAGCTGCCATCCTTGCATCATCCTAACTCTAAAAATCGATTTGTGCAACCACCTTCTGTGCTTAATAGCATTTTCTAAATAGAAATTAATTTCACACATTGCTTTAGTCTGAATGTTTGTGTCCTTCTAAATTCATATGTTGACATGTCAACCTCCAGGGTGATGATATTGAGAAGTAGGGTCTTCGGGAGGTGATTGGGCTATGAGGGTGGAGCCCTCATAAACAGAATAGTGCCCTAAGAGGTGTCAGAGCGCTTTCTGGCTCCTTCTACCATGTGAGGACGCAGGGAAAAGGTACCAAAAAGTGGATCCTGCCAAGACACCAAATCAGCCATAATCCTGGACTTCCCAGTCCCCAGTACTGTGAGAAGCAAATTTCTGCTGTTTGTAAACTACTCAGTTTATGATATTTTGTTATAGCAGCCTAAACAGACTAAGACACACATCATATTTGTAATCAATTCTTGACAATTAAGAGTGTGGTTGGGAAGTTCTCTAACAGAGTTTTGGCTAAGACCAAGAGAAATCTGAGTCCTGCCTGATCAATCAGCTTTCTCCATCTTTCTCAAAGCTCTCTTCTGTTCCCCACCACCACACCATGTTCCCAAGAGAGTTAAGGAAACCACAAAATAGGAATCAAAAAGACTATATCAATATTAAAGCCCCAACATATAACCCTGCTAGAAGGTCAAGTCAAAGCAAGAAGCACAGTATCAAAACCTTAGCAAGACCCTGGAATCTTCCCAAAATTTTACCTTGGCACCAGCAGACTCAAGGGTGCCAAGCACAGCAGCCCAATCCATTAGTAATACTGGCCCCATCAATGGCTCAGGTTCAGACCTGTCAGAAGGGACATTTCTCTTTCATTGTGGGAGAAATGAGTAAGGGTGCAGACATGCCTGGCAGAGGAAAATGTGCAGAGATTCCCTTTTTCTTTGTATTACTAAGCTGTCAGAGTCCTACTCTCTCACAGAAACCAAAATCAAATAAACCCAGAATGTATTCACTTGCCTTCTAGACATCTTCTTCCATAGAATTTCCCCACTCACTCTTTGTGGTCATGACAAGAATATATTGGCGGATATGCTCTTCTATATGATATTTTATGTCTATACCTCTGAAGTATTAGGCCCAGAGCCCTCCAAGCCTCCATCTTGGAGGGCTCTGGATGTTACTAAGGTCTTGACACTGGCCCACCTGCCCACACAATAACAGGGCAACCCAGACAGGGGAGCTACCTTGGTGTGCTCAATGAACACCTCCTTTGTCAAGACCGGCACGTTGGAAAAGAGATGATGGAGGATGCATTCCAAGCAAAGAAGACCAACAGACAAAGGGCCCTGAGTTCAGAGTTACCCTCAGTTCTTCCAAGAACAGTAAGGAGGCCAAGGTGCTGGAACTTAGTGAATTGAGTGAAAAGTGGTACAGAGACAGCCGCTCAGCCAAGCATGACCAGATTATGGAAATCCTAGGGAACCCTGGGGAAGAGTTTGGATTTGTGTGATGAGATGCCTTTGAACTGTTTAGGGAGGGGAGTGGCTACTGTGTAGACAAAAGACAAAGGGGTAGGGGTAGTGACAAGTGTAGAAACTGGGAGGATACCAGTTGGATGGATGATACAGCAATCCAGGAGAGATGCCATGGTGGGGTGGCTCGGCGGGGAACCCTGAAGATGTAGATGGATCAGTGATATAGAGCACATCACAGTGACCTACCACTACATCATAGTGGCTCTCAAATAGATGGATTTGAGACATTTCTAGAGAACCTGAAGGTTGGATTCGGGTGATAAAGAAAAGAAGCAGGACTTTAGAGTCAGACTGACCTGACTGTGTTACCTTGGACCAGTAATTTGAGATTTCTGAGTCCCAGTAATAATATGTTAGAAAACCAGCATGCAGATTAAATAAAATCATGTATTTAGAGCTCCTATTGCCTGACATGCAATATATACTCTGTGAGACGTATCCTCTCCTCTCCTTCATCTCTCTTGCAAGAGCAATAAAAGCTTTAGAAGCTTTGGGTTGAGCTCTTTTCTCCCATCTGCTTCTCTTCTTAGGGAGTTGGCTTTCCCTCTGCCCAACACCCATACCCTGCCTCTTCTTCCCCTTCAGCCCCTGATTCCCACACTTTACCTCTCAGATAAAAACATCAGCCTTGTTGAAAGGAGATCCTAGTAAGAGTCTCTGCTGTGGTCTTCTGAAAAGATTGCTTGTTGGCAAGAGGATTTTTCTAAAGGTGTACTGTATCTATTTGCTTTGTGCTACAAGCAATGGAAAACCCAAGTCCGACTGCCTTACAGGAGGATAAGTGTTATCCCACTTAATAAAGAGTCCAGCCAGGCACAGTGGCTCAACCCTTGTAACCTCAGCATGTTGGGAGGCCTAGGCAAGAGGATCCCTTGAGGCCAGGAGTTCGAGACCACCCTGGGCAAAAAATTAAGACCCCATCTCTACATAAAAAATTTAAAAATTAGCCGGACACAGCAGCATGCATCTGTAGTTTCAGTTGCTTGGGAGGCCGAGGCAGGAAGATCACTTGAGCATAGGAGATTGAGGCTGCAGTGAGCTATGATCACGCCACTGCACTCCAGGCTTGGCAACAGAGCAAGACCTGATCTCTAAACAAACAAACAAACAACAACAACAAAACAATGAGTCCAGGGGAGGGAAAATCCATGGCACAGAATGGGGTTTAGATCAACATCATGGGAGCCCAGGTTGGTCCATCTCACTGCGGTGATGTCCTTAATGTGCTGGCATTGTCTTCAAGCTGGCAGCACCCGTGGTTTTAGGTGGTGCCACAGATATGCACATACTATCCAGACACAAGAGCACTCAGGGGACATAGAAGGGGCTCTGCCCTCCTATGGATTTCTCTCAAAGAAGAGAAGTTTGTCCCAGAGTGCCCCAGACTTTCCCTCGTAACTCACTGGTCAAATTTGGGTCACATGCCCATCCTGAACCAATCATAGGCATGGGGATTGGGATTGCTATGCTTGGTTTATGCCAATTATAATCCACTCTCTTAACCAGGAGATGGGCTCCCCTTCCCCTGTGTGATGTGGAAATGGAGATGCACATGGCCAACACTGAAGTTCTGTAAGGAAAGAGGAGAAGACATGTTGGCTAAACACATAGCTCTTAACAGGGGGAAACTGAGACTTCATTGGATTTGACAGAAATCATTACAGTTCTGTTAGCAATGGTCCCCACATAGACCTTTCTAATTTTGATTTACCAAAGAGAGACAAAAGGCACAGAAATTATAACTTTGTGTTTTCTTATTGTTTCATCCCATAAAATCCCCTTCTGTGAACACAATTAGCTCATAGTCGTTTATGCTCTATGGTGACTATAACTTGCCAGGCTTCAGCACATCAGAGGTGGAGGACACATGAAGAGCTTGGACAAAGGGAAACTGGTATTTATTGAGAACCAACAACATGCTGGGCCCTGGGCCACGTGCTCGGCCTGGATCATCTCATTTGATCCTCAGATTTCTGCAAGGTCAATATTGTTATCCCCTTTTAACAAAGGAGGAAACTCAGACCCATTCTCTCATACCACAGAGTAGCTTTCTGTGCATGATGAATTGAAAAAGTGCCCGCAGTGGGTCTCTAATCCTAAAAATTAGTTACCTAGAGAGAGAGAAAGACTGTCTACTGTGTCTTCCATGTCCAAAGTCTCAGAAAATGCACTCATTACCCAACTTGGTTGAGGAAACAATCCATCTACCAATCAGGAGTTGCCAGGGGGATGTGTACAGGGAAAAGCATGGTAGTCATCCTGGAACCCTATGGGCTGGACTCAGAGACTCACTTCTAACAAACAGAGCATGGAAAAGGAAAGCAAGTAATGTTACAGTGGAGAAACGCAGCAGACCCCACCTAACCAAGTGATCAAAGATATCACTGACAGAAAAAGTCACGTTGATATCATCTATCCCCTGAAAAGATATGATGGGAAGGGCACTTCCGTTCTGTCATACATTTCCAAAACATCCACAACTTCAGCCTGTTAATGAAAACACATCAGATAAACCTCAATTGAAGAACATTTTACAAAATACCTGACCATCACTCACCAAAAGTATCAAAATCATGAGAGATAAGACAACAAAACAAGAAATTACACAGATGACAAGAAACGAAGGATACCTGACAGTTAAATGTGATGAGGTGCCCTGCATTGGATCATGCCACAGAGAAAGTGCATTAGTAGAAAAACTGGTGAAATCCATATGAGTCTATAATTTAGTTCACAGGAATGTCTCAATGATAATTTCTTAGTTTTGACAAATGTGCCATGGTTATGTAAGATGCTGGAATTAGGGGGAGGTGAGTGAAGGGTATATAAGAACTCCTTTGTGCAATCTCTGGAGCTGTTTGATAAAACTGAAATTATTTTAAAATAAAAAGTTTTTGAAAAATGTCTGCAGAGCTGCCTGGCATCAGCCCCCCTGACACCTTTCCCTCTACCCTCACCCAAGCAGTAGCATCATTTTTTTCTAAGACTGACCTTGGAATTCTGCTTTCTAAAGAAACAGAAAGATACTCCTGAGAAGGGCAAACTTTCTAATTGTAGGTATTGGTGGAGCTCACATGTGCAAGGAGAAGCATCACCCCTTCTGTCTGTCCTGGTCTGTACAGACTGACATCAAGCCTGCTGGCTGAGAGCCCCATCCCCAGGTGGAAAACTCAGTCAACCTTCCCCTTGTTGGGGAAGCTGAGAGACCATACACAGCCACACAAGCATGGCAGAACCCATGGGGCCACCTACGTTCATCAGCTTGGTCCTTTATTGATCAATTGAAAGCACAGGCCAGGATCACCCAGGCACTGGGGGGAATCAGTAGCACAAAAGAAAGGGAGCAGGCAAGATACACACAGAGAAGCTCTCCACAAAGGACATAGTAGATATGGGGAAGAGAAGAGAACTTTAACAGATTGAATTCATCTCCTCAAAAAGATATGAGAAGACATTGCAGCTATAAAACAACAGAACAAACTACTCTGAAAAAGAATGAAAGAATATGAAGGAATTTTTGAAAGGTGATGGCTATCCTGAGTATATGGAGAAAACAGAGACCACACAAATTATATGGATGTATTAAATTATCACTTGTACCCAAAGACTGTATACATCTATTATGCATCAGTAAAAGTTTTTTCAATTATTGTCAAGATAGAAAATTCAATAAAAGAGCTGAAGGAATAAGTAGGAGAAATCCCACAGAACTTCAATCATCTCAGTAAACAGAGAAAAAGCTTCTGATAAAATCCAACATCCCTTCATGACACAAACTCTCAATATCCTGGGGATTGAAGGAATATACCTCAAAATAATAAGGGGCCATCTATGACAAAGCCACAGCCAACATCATACCGAAAGGGCAAAAGCTCAAACAATTCCCTTTGAGAAATGGAACAAGACAAGGATGCCCACTCTCACTACTCCTGTTCAGCACAGTACTGGAAGTCCTAGCCACAGCAATCAGGCAAGAGAAAGAAACAAAAGGCATCCAAATAGCAAAGTTATCTCCCTTTGCTGATGACATGATTCTATACCTAGAAAATCCTGAAGACTCTGCCAGAAAGCTCCTAGAATTGATAAGTCAATTTAGTAAAGTTTCAGCATACAAAATCAATGTAAAAAATCAGTAGCATTTCTATACAGCAACAATGTCCAGGCTGAGTGCCAAATCAAGAACATGGCCTCACTTATAATACCCACAAAGAAAATGAAATACCTAGAAATACAGCTAACAAAGGAGGTAAAAGATCTCTTCAAGGAGAACTACAAAACACTTCTGAAAGAAATCAGAGACCACACAAATAAATGGAAAAACATTCCATGTGCATGAGTTGGAAGACTCAGTATAAATATGGCCATACTGCCAAAAGCAATGTATAGATTCAATGCTATTCCTATCAAACTACCAACATCATTATTCACAGAATTAGGAAAAAAACTATTCTAAAATTTATATGGAACCAAAAAAGAGCCCGAAGAGCCAAAAGCAATCCTAAGCAAAAAGAACAAAGCTGGAGGCATTACACTATTTGACCTCAAACTATACTATAAAGCCACAGTAACCAAAACAGCTTGGTACTGGTACAAAAACAGACACATAGGCCAATGGAGCAAAATGGCAAACTCAGAAATAAAACTGCACAAGTACAACCATCTCATCTTCAAGAATGCTGACAAAAAGAAGCAATGACAAAAGGACTCCCTATTCAATAAATGGTGCTGGGATAACTGTCAACCCATATGCAGAAGATTAAAACCCCCTACCTTTTACTATATAAAAAAATTAACTCAAAAGACATTAAAGATTTAAATGTAAAACCTCAAACTGTAAAAATCCTGGAAGATAACCTAGAAAATATCTTCTCGACACCGGTCTTGGCAAATAAGTTTTGGCTAAGTCCCCAAAAGCAATTGCAGTGAAAACAAAAATAGACAAGTGGCACCTAATTAAACTAAAGAGCTTCTGCACAGTAAGAGAAACTATTAAAATAGCAAACAGACAACCTACAGAATGGGAGAAAATATTCACAGACTATACATCCAACAAAAGCCTGATATTCAGAGTTCATAGGGAAATTAAATCAATAAGCAAAAAATATAAAGCCCCCCCCCCCCAAAATGGGCAAAGAACATGAAGGGACACTTCTTAAAAGACGACATACAGCCAGAAAACATATGAAAAAATGCTCAGCATCACGAATCATCAGAGAAATGCAAATCAAAACCTCAATGAGATACCATCTCACACCAGTCAGAATGGCTAGTATTAAAAGGCCAGGCAACAACAGTTGCTGGTGAGGCTGCAGCAGAAAGGGAATGCTTATTCACTGTTGGTGGGAATGTAAATTAGTACATCCACTGTGGGAAGCAGTCTGGAGATTTCTCAAAACAAACAAGCAACAGACAAACAAACTGAAAACAGAGCTACATTCAACCCAGCAATCCCATTACTGGGTGTATACCCAAAAGAAAACAAATCATTCTACCAAAAAGATACTTGCACTCATATATTCACTGTTGTGCTATTCACAATAGCAAGGACATGGAATCAACCCAGATGCTCATCAATGGTAGACTGGATAAAGAAAATGTGGTATAGGCTGGGCACGGTGGCTTGTGCCTGTAATCTCAGCACTTCGGGAGGATGAGGCAGGTGGATCACTTGAGGTCAGGAGTTTGAGACCAGCCTGGCCAACATGAAGAAACCTCATATCTACTAAAAATACAAAAATTAGCTGGGCATGGTGGCTCACACCTGTAATCCCAGCTACGCCGGACGCTGGGGCGCGAGAATGGCTTGAATCTGGGAGGTGGATGTTGCAGTGAGCCAAGACTGTGTCACTGCACTCCAAACTAGGAGACAGAGAAAAATTCTGTCTCTAAAAAAAAGAAAGAAAAAAGAAAAGGTGCTACATATACACCGTGGAATACCACACCATGCAGACATAAAAAAGAATGAAATCATGTTCTTTGTAGCAACATGGATGGAGCTGGAGGCCCTAATCCTAAACAAATTAATGCAAGAACAGAAAACCAAATACTGCATGTTCTCACTTATATGTAGTAGCTAAGCACTGAGCACACATGGACATAAATATGGGGAAAACAGACACTGTGGACCACTACAGGGTGGAGGAGTGGATGAATTAAAGAAAAAACTACCTCTTGGGTACAATGCTCACTACCAGAGTGAAGGGATCCATGCTCCAAACCCCAGGATCATACAATATTCCTATGTAACAGATTAGCAAATATGCTCCCTGTATCTAAAATAAAAGCTGAAATAAAAAAGGGACTATGAGAAAAATCTGATTGGGAAATTGAGACACAGAAGATCAATAATATTAATAATAACAGTGAGGTGTATTGAGTGTTCACTATATGCTAAGCAGTGTACTAAGCACTTTGCACACACATACACACAAAATTTTCACAACCCAATGAGACACATGAAGTCAGGATTTCTATTTTATAGAAAAGGAAACTGAGGCACAGAGATGAGGAATGACTTTCCTTCACACAGCTAGTGAAGGAAAACACCAGATCTCAAACCTAGGCCTAAGCCACTTTCCTACTCTGCTACTCCCACCAGTGGCTTCATCTCCAAGTAGTCTAACCAAACTACTTGGCTCAGTACATGTATTAGTCATTTCCATACTGCTATGAAGAAATACCAGAGACTGGGCAATTTATAAAGAAAAGAGGTTTAATGGACTCACAGCTCCATATGGCTGGGGAGGTCTCACAATCATGGTGAAAGGTGAATGAGGAGCAAAGGCACATCTTACATGGTGGGAAGCAAGAAAGCATGTGCAGAACTGCCCTTTACAAAACCATCTGATCTCATGAGACTTACTCACTATCATGAGAACACCATGGGAAAGGCCCACCCCCATGATTCAATTACCTCCCACCAGATCCCTCCCACAACACATGGGGATTATAGGAGCTACAATTCAAGATGAGATTTGGGTGGGGACACAGTCAAACCGTATCATTCCACTTCTGGCCCTTGCAAAATCTCATGTCTTCACATTTCAAAACCAATCATGCCTTCCCAACAGTCCCCAAAAATCTTGACTTGTTTCAGCATTAACTCAAAAGTCCACAGTCCAAACTCTCATCTAAGATGAGTCAAGTCCCTTCTGCCTATGAGCCTGTATGATCAAAAGGAAGTTAGTTACTTCCTAGATACAATGGGGGTACAGGCACTGGTTAAATACGCCCATTCCAAACGGGAGAAATTGGCCAAAATGAAGGGCCTACAGGCCTCATGCAAGTCCAAAATCCAGTGGGACAGTCAAATCTTAAAGCTCCAAATAATCTACTTTGACTCCATGTCACACATCCAGGTCACACTGATGCAAGAGGTGGGTTCCCACAGTCTTGGGCAGCTCTGGTCCTGTGGCTTTGCAGGGTACAGCTCTCCTCCTGGCTGCTTTCACAGGCTGGCGTTAAGTGTCTATGGCTTTTCCAGGTGCAAGGTGCAAGCTGTTGGTGAATCTACCATTCTGGGGTCTGGAGGACAGTGGCCCTCTTCTCACAGCTCCCAAGGCAGTGTCCCAGTGGGGACTGTGCGGGGGCTCCCACCCACCATTACCCTTCTGCAACTGCCCTAGCAGAGGTTCTCCATGAGGACCCTGCCCCTGCAGCACACCTCTCTCTGGACATCCAGGTGTTTCCATACATCCTCTGAAATCTAGGTGGAGGTTCCCAAACCTAAATTCCTAACTTCTGTGCATGCAAAGGCTCAGCACCATGTGGAAGCCACCAAGGCTTGGGGTTTGCATCCTCTGAAGCAATGGCCTGAGCTATATGTTGCCTCCTTTTAGCCTTGGCTGGGATGCAGGGCACCAAGTCCTGAGACTGCACAAAGCAGCAATGCCCTAGGCCTGGCCCAGGAAACCATTTTTCCCTCCTAGTCCTCTGGGTCTGTGATGGGAGGCATGAAGGTCTCTGACATGCCCTGGAGACATTTTTCCCATTGTCTTGCTGATTAACATTGGGATCCACATTACTTATGCAAATTTCTGCAGTGGGCTTGAATTTCTCCCCAGAAAATGGGTTTTTCTTTTCTTCTGCATCTTCAGGCTGCAAATATTTCAAAGTTTTATGCTTTGCTTCCTCCTGAATACTTTGCTGCTTAGAAATGTCTTCCTCCAGATATCCTAAATCATCTCTCTCAAATTCTAAGTTCCACAGGTCTCTAGGGCAGGGGCAAAATGCCACCAGTCTCTTTGCATAGCAAGAGTGACCTCTACTCCAGTTCCCAACAAGTTTCTCATCTCCATCTGAGACCACCTCAGCCTGGACTTTTTGGTCAAAACCATTCAACAAGTCACTAGGAAGCTCCAAACTTCCCCACATCTTCCTGTCTTCATCTGAGCCCTCCAAACTGTTCTAGCATCTGCCTGTTACCCAGTTCCTAAGTTACTTCCACATTTCTGGGTATCTTAATAGCAGTGCCCCCACTCTACTGGCACCAACTTACTGTATCAGTCCATTTTTATACTGCTATGAAGAAATTCCTGAGACTAGGTAATTTATAAAGAAAAAGAGGTTTCATGAACTCACAGATCCACATGGCTGGAGAGGCCTCACAATCATGGCAGAAGGTAAAGGAGGAGCAAAGGCATGTCTTACATTATGGCAGACAAGGGAGCATGTGCAGGGGAATTGCCCTTTATAAAACCATCAGTTCTCGTGAGAACTAACTCACTGTCATGAGAACGGCATGGGAAAACCCGCCCCCATGATTTAATTGCCTCCAATCGCGTTCATCCCACAACATGTGGGGATTATGGGAGCTACAATTCAAGCTGAGATTTCGGTGGGGACACAGCCAAACCATATCAGTAAAAAATTATATTCATATAAACATAACATTGCAAAAGTTTTTAATGGCTTAAAAATTTTAGAATCAAACCACGGACAAAGCACAGATGCTTTCCTTGTATTCAGTAAAGAGGATGTGCTTGTAAGGTAGCTGATGGAAGTCAGGAGTGGGGGTATGGAGTAAAGAGAAAGAATTGGCAATGTGCTAACCAACTCATTTTTCACAATGGGAGTCCACAGGCACGCTTTCAAAGTGATGAAATAAGAAATAGAGTTTATTATCATCCCCATTATATTATGATGATTATATCTTGTTAGTGTTGTTATACTGACTTTATAAAGTTAATGGGGGCAGATCTAGATTTTGAATGGCTGGAGCCTATATAACTTGGGGTTTCTCTTTAAAGAACATGAGTACATACTGCAAATTCGAAATTAGGTCCAGAACATTGGAAGGAGCCTGAGAAATTAAAGGTCCTGAAGCTGAAACTACTTTCTATTTACAGTCAGTCTACCTCTAGTTTCAATTAGAAACCAAATGAAGAAAACTAAAAAAAATGTAGGAGGAAAGGGAATGTAGATTACAGAGCAAGTTCCTTTTCAATGTAAAGAATAAGTAAATAATATCAAAAAAGTATGTATATATAATTATCAAAGCACACAGATATGAATATATAAAACTGGATGATAATCAGAAAAAAATAAAAGCAGAAACAGTTAAACGGTATTTCTGCTGCAAGACTCATCTGGAGGTGGTGTAGTGGCAATGGGGAGATTTTATTTTTCACTTCATCCCATTCAGAACTGCTGTGGGAAAAACTCCCCTCCATCCTCTTAAGGGCCTGGCTGAGTTCCACAATTAAACTGACAGAAGATAGGCTAACACAAGTTTTGTATGGCCTGGGAAACTTCATAAAGAAACAGAGACCCACAGAAGCAGTTGCAGTCAGTTACAAGATTGAACAAAGAATAGCAAACTGTGAACATGTGATAAAGCAAAACGTCCTGGGCTAGGGTGGTTAATTGGGTAAAGTAGCCAGGATGGCAAGGGTTAGTTTAACAAAGCTTGTTTGTACAGAATTCCTTCAGCCTCGGCCGAGTGCGGTGGCTCACGCCTGTAATCCCAGCACTTTGGGAGGCCAAGACAGGCGGATCACGAGGTCAGGAGATCGAGACCATCCTGGCTAACATGGTGAAACCCCGTCTCTACTAAATAAAATACAAAAAATTAGCCAGGCGTGGTGGCGGGCGCCTGCAGTCCCAGCTACTCGGGAGGCTGAGGCAGGAGAATGGTGTGAACCCAGGAGGTGGAGCTTGCAGTGAGCTGAGATCACACCACTGCACTCCAGCCTGGGCGACAGAGCGAGACGCGAGACTCCTTCTCAAAAAAAAAAAACAAAAAAAAAAAAACAAAAAAAACAAAAAAGAATTCCTTCAGCTTCACCTATCTTGTCCTTCATGATAAGAATTTTGCCTCTTCTCTAGTGTAGGGAGGACATTTTTCACATGGGCATCTCATCTTCTGCTTTTAAGTTTTGGAGTCAAGAGGGCAGTGGTTGAGATGTCTAGATGTTGGGTTCAAAGAATCTCCAACTGGAGTGGGACAGGCAGTGACCATCTGGCAGGTTTCCCTGGTTGGCTGTTTGCATGTTGAAATGGTTGTTCATGTATGAGCTGTTACAGTGACTTCTCTGAAGTCTGTATCAAAGTGTCCAGTTTCAGCTTACAGGAATTCCAGAAAAGGACAGTTTTAACTTTTAGTGATTCCAAGTCAGAAGAGTGGGAGAAAATTGGAAATAGTAGTTTGGATACTAATAGCCAGATACTGGAGGAAACTAGAAGAATTTAGAATCTAGTCACTATTAGAGATAAATAAAAACCTCAAAAACAATGAGTAGGACTAATGTATCCATCTAATAATGGATACTGTATAGTTTTCTTCTGAAATATAATTTTTTCTCTCTAAAATTGAGACACCCAGGTGGGAGGGGGGTCCCTGGAAAAATTCCAACTGGCCTGTGCACTGGGAATGTGCACTGGGGTGGAGCCACAGAAGTTCATGCCCTTTGCAGCGGGGAGGAGCCCGGCCCATCCTCTTCCTGTTTGGGACCTGGGATTCAAGCTGCGAGGTGGGAAGTACACAAGAGAAACTCTGGCCGTACACGAGAGAAACTCTGGCCTTACAGAGAGTCCCTGTTTCCCCCTTTTTTTTCTTTTCACCCAATAAAACCCTGCCCTGCTCACCCTTCAATTTGTCTGCAAACTTAAATTTTCACGGCCATGTGATAAGATCCCCTGTCTTTAGCTGAACTAAGGAGAAGTCCTGCAACAGAGTCACCACATTTTTACCAAAGGTAATCAACATAAAGCTGATTTGTTAGTCAAATAATGTATTCTCATTAAACTTGGCCTGATTATTTACATAAGTGCAGCAAGAATAGTGATGGATCATTTAGGCTTTTTAAAAAGTCTACTTTGCTGGAATCTCAGATTGTACATTTAAAAGCATCTAAAGGACAGGAAGCCAAGTCCAGGACTTAGCATTAGACTTCATCTGTGATACCTGTAGATTTGGTGAATTCCTCTCTTCTCGAGGTTCCCAAAATATCCTGAGGGCTTGGGGCCTGTCAGAAAGTGACATTCCTTACTCAGCTATAAAGCCAAGAGCCTTTTAAAGCCAGGTACCAGGCCAGCTTTTCCAAGAAAGCTTTATAAGCATTGGCTCCATAAAGTCAACCTTAGTTCCTTAAAGTCATCTAGTCATATCTGGAAATGTGATATTCCAGTCAAAGCCTTAATAATATAACCTATGTTTCCAATTATGTCCTGTTATAATGAGAACAGATTCTTACTGAACTCATGTAGGCAACCACATTGCCATGAAAATAAGAATACTCACTGACAGTTTCTAAATTTGGGAAGGATCTGGTAGGAAAAAAAGATAAATGGCTCTTTTATGTTTACTAAGGTATGCCTTACTAACTTGCTATAAGCTATACATTGTTAAGAGAAAAAAAGAAAACTTTTGTTAAATCTGTAAAGCATGATGTTAAAGAATCATCAGTGTTTTAGACAAAAGTCATAAAAAGTTATCTTCATCAGTTTGTTTAGTCCCATGTAATTAACTCTTATTCTGCTGGATTTTGTGATAGTACTTCCAAGAACCCATCGGTTTCTTCATTGGAGTTCTGGAAATTCTTACCCCGTCTGGCTATACGGTCTTAAAGTTACTAGAAAACTGTGTTTTAGAGTACTTGTCAGGGGCTTTTTCTATGACTCTGTTTGAAACAGTAGCAACTTTAGCCAGTAGCTGATTGTAAATGCCTTCAGGAAGAATCAAAATAAACAATAGCTGTCTGTGAATAACGAAAGACTCAAAATGGCCATGGTTAAGGATCTGATAAGAGTTCACTAAAATGATGATTAAACTGACAAGGAATTTGGTTATTCCTATGACATACAACATTTTAACATGCTAACTAGAATCATTGCTGGTAATGTATTAGAACATATCACATTTCCAGGAATTTTATATAATTTTTAGAACACTTATATTAATGATATACATTCATATAAATATAACATGAAGGTTAAATATCATTTTGACTATGTTTCCATATACTTTAATATATCAAATAAGCGTAATTCGTTTACTATCTTCCTTAGTGTAAGGAGAGAAAACAACTCTTTTGTAATCCTCCAGATAACCATCTGCAAAATTCTAAAGTTTGCTCAAGGTCAAATAGATTTTATTTAGAATTTGGTTTTGGAAAGTTTATCAAAAATGTCAAAAAGTTAAAATAATTAATTAAAACACGATCGTAGATCGTGAAATAATACCAAAGTGACAAAAGATTTCAGAGGCAAATACAGAAAGTTACATCATTATTAAAAAAAAAAAAAAAAACTTTAGCTTTGTTCATATTGAGAAAACTTAGTTTACTTAAGTAATCAAAGACAATAAAGACAATATGGGAGGGAGCCAAGATGGCCGAATAGGAACAGCTCCAGTCTACAGCTTCCAGCATCAGCGACGCAGAAGACGGGTGATTTCTGCATTTCCATCTGAGGTACCGGCTTCATCTCACTAGGGAGTGCCAGACAGTGGGTGCAGGACAGTGGGTGCACTGCACCATGCGCGACCGAAGCAGGGTGAGGCATTGCCTCACTCGGGAAGTGCAAGGGGTCAGGGAATTCCCTTTCCTAGTCAAAGAAAGGGGTGACAGACGGCACCTGAAAAATCGGGTCACTCCCACCCGCATACTGCGCTTTTCCAACGGGCTTAAAAAATGGTGCACCAGGAGATTATATCCCACACCTGGCTCGGAGGGTCCTATGCCCACGGAGTCTCGCTGATTGCCAGCACAGCAGTCTGAGATCAAACTGCAAGGTGGCAGCGAGCCTGGGGGAGGGGCGCCTGCCATTGCCCAGGCTTGCTTAGGTAAACAAAGCAGCCCAGAAGCTCAAACGGGGTGGAGCCCACCACAGCTCAAGGAGGCCTGCCTGCCTCTGTAGGCTCCACCTCTGGGGGCAGGGCACAGACAAACAAAAGACAGCAGTAACCTCTGCAGACTTAAATGTCCCTGTCTGACAGCTTTGAAGAGAGCAGTGGTTCTCCCAGCACACAGCTGGAGATCTGAAAACGGGCAGACTGCCTCCTCAAGTGGGTCCCTGTCCCCCGAGCAGCCTAACTGGGAGGCACCCCCCAGTAGGGGCAGACTGACACCTCACACGACCGGGTACTCCTCTGAGACAAAACTTCCAGAGGAATGATCAGGCAGCAGAATTTGCGGTTCACGAAAATCCACAGTACAACAGCCACCCCTGCTGATACCCAGGCAAACAGGGTCTGGAGTGGACCTCTAGCAAACTCCAACAGACCTGCAGCTGAGGGTCCTGTCTGTTAGAAGGAAAACTAACAAACAGAAATTACATCCACACCAAAACCCCATCTGTACATCACCATCATCAAAGACCAAAAGTAGATAAAACCACAAAGATGGGGAAAAAATAGAGCAGAAAAACTGGAAACTCTAAAAAGCAGAGCGCCTCTCCTCCAAAGGAACGCAGTTCCTCACCAGCAATAGAACAAAGCTGGATGGAGAATGACTTGGACGAGTTGAGAGAAGAAGGCTTCAGACGATCAAACTACTCCGAGCTACAGGAGGAAATTCAAACCAATGGCAAAGAAGTTAAAAACTTGGAAAAAAATTAGACGAATGGATAACTAGAATAACCAATGCAGAGAAGTCCTTAAAGGACCTGATGGAGCTGAAAACCAAGGCTCAAGAACTACATAAAGAATGCAGAAGCCTCAGGAGCTGATGCGATCAACTGGAAGAAAGGGTATCAGTGATGGAAGATGAATGAAATGAAGCGAGAAGGGAAGTTTAGAGAAAAAAGAATAAAAAGAAAGGGACAAAGTCTCCAGGAAATATAGGACTATGTGAGAAGACCAAATCTATGTCTGATTGGTGTACCTGAAAGTGACGGGGAGAATAGAACCAAGTTGGAAAACACTCTGAAGGATATTATCCAGGAGAACCTCCCCAATCTAGCAAGGCAGGCCAACATTCAGATTCAGGAAATACAGAGAACACCACAAAGATACTCCTCGAGAAAAGCAGCTCCAAGACACATAATTGTTAGATTCACCAAAGTTGAAATGAAGGAAAAAATGTTAAGGGCACCCAGAGAGAAAGGTCGGGTTACCCACAAAGGGAAGCCCATCAGACTAACAGGTGATCGCTCGGCAGAAACTCTACAAGCCAGAAGAGAGTGGGGGCCAATATCCAACATTCCTAAAGAAAATAATTTTCAACCCAAAATTTCATATCCAGCCAAACTAAGATTCATAAGTGAAGGAGAAATAAAATACTTTACAGACAAGCAAATGCTGAGAGATTGTGTCACCACCAGGCCTGCCCTAAAAGAGCTCCTGAACGAAGCACTAAACATGGAAAGGAACAACCGGTACCAGCCACTGCAAAAACATGCCAAATTGTAAAGACCATGGAGGCTAGGAAGAAACTGCATCAACTAATGAGCAAAATAACCAGCTAACATCATAATAACAGAAACAAATTCACACATAACAATATTAACTTTAAATGTAAATGGACTAAATGCTCCAGTTAAAAGACACAGACTGGCAAAATGGATAAAGAGTCAAGACCCATCAGTGTGCTGTATTCAGGAAACCAATCTCATGTGCAGAGACACACGTAGGCTCAAAATAAAGCAAATGGAAAACAAAAAAAGGTAGGGGTTGCAATCCTAGTCTCTGATAAAACAGAATTTAAACCAACAAAGATCAAAAGAGACCAGGCCATTACATAATGGTAAAGGGATCAATTCAACAAGAAGAGCTAACTATCCTAAATATATATGCACCCAATACAAGAGCACCCAGATTCATAAAGCAAGTCCTGAGTGAACTACAAAGAGACTTAGACTCCCACACAATAATAATGGGAGACTTTAACACCCCACTGTCAACATTAGACAGATCAATGAGACAGAAAGTTAACAAGGATACCCAGGAATTGAACTCAGCTCTGCACCAAGCAGACCTAATAGATATGTACAGAACTCTCCACCCCAAATCAACAGAATATACATTTTTTTTCAGCACCACACCACACCTATTTCAAAATTGACCACATACTTGGAAGTAATGCTCTCCTCAGCAAATGTAAAAGAACAGAAATTATAACAAACTTTCTCTCAGACCACAGTACAATCAAACTACAACTCAGGATTAAGAAACTCACTCAAAACCGCTCAACTACACGGAAACTGAACAACCTGCTCCTGAATGACTACTGGGTACATAACAAAATGAAGGCAGAAATAAAGATGTTCTTTGAAACCAACCAGAAGAAAGACACAACATACCAGAATCTCTGGGACGCATTCAAAGCAGTGTGTAGAGGGAAATTTATAGCACTAAATGCCCACAAGAGAAAGCAGGAAAGATCCAAAATTGACACCCTAACATCACAATTAAAAGAACTAGAAAAGCAAGAGCGTACACATTCAAAAGCTAGTAGAAGGCAGGAAATAACTAAAATCAGAGCAGAACTGAAGGAAATAGAGACATAAAAAACCCTTCAAAAAATTAATGAATCCAGAAGCTGGTTTTTTGAGAAGATCAACAAAATTGATAGACTGCTAGCAAGACTAATAAAGAAGAAAAGAGAGAAGAATCAAATAGACCCAATAAAAAATGATAAAGGGGATATCACCACCGATCCCACAGAAATACAAACTACCATCAGAGAATACTACAAACACCTCTACGCAAATAAACTAGAAAATCTAGAAGAAATGGATAAATTCCTCGACACATACGCCCTCCCAACACTAAACCAGGAGGAAGTTGAATCTCTGAATAGACCAATAACAGGCTCTGAAATTGTGGCAATATTCAATAGCTTACCAACCAAAAAGAGTTCAGGACCAGATGGATTCACAGCCGAATTCTATCACAGGTACAAGAAGGAGCTGGTACCATTCCTTCTGAAATGATTCCAATCAATAGAAAAAGAGGGAATCCTCCCTAACTCATTTTATGAGGCCAGCATCATCCTGATACCAAAGCCGGGCAGAGACACAACCAAAAAAGAGAATTTTAGACCAATATCCTTGATGAACATTGATGCAAAAATCCTCAATAAAATACTGGCAAACCGAATCCAGCAGCACATCAAAAAGCTTATCTACCATGATCAAGTGAGCTTCATCCCTGGGATGCAAGGCTGGTTCAACATACACAAATCAATAAATGTAATCCAGCATATAAACAAAACCAAAGACAAAAACCACATGATTATCTCAATAGATGCAGAAAAGGCCTTTGACAAAATTCAACAACCTTCATGCTAAAAACTCTCAAGAAATTCTGTATTGATGGGACGTATCTCAAAATAGTAAGAGCTATCTATGACAAACCCACAGCCAATATCATGCTGAATGGGCAAAAACTGGAAGCATTCCCTTTGAAAACTGGCACAAGACAGGGATGCCCTCTCTCACCACTCCTATTCAACATAGTGTTGGAAGTTCTGGCCAGGGCAATTAGGCAGGAGAAGGAAATAAAGTGTGTTCAATTTGGAAAAGAGGAAGTCAAATTGTCCCTGTTTGCAGATGACATGATTGTATATCTAGAAAACCCCATTGTCTCAGCCCAAAGTCTCCTTAAGCTGATAAGCAACTTCAGCAAAGTCTCAGGATACAAAATCAATGTACAAAAATCACAAGCATTCTTATACACCAATAACAGACAAACAGAGAGCCAAATCATGAGTGAACTCCCATTCACTATTGCTTCAAAGAGAATAAAATACCTAGGAATCCAACTTACAAGGGATGTGAAGGACCTCTTCAAGAAGAACTACAAACCACTGCTCAATGAAATAAAAGAAGATACAAACAAATGGAAGAACATTCCATGCTCATGGGTAGGAAGAATCAATATCGTGAAAACGGCCATACTGCCCAAGGTAATTTATAGATTCAATGCCATCCCCATCAAGCTACCAATGACTTTCTTCACAGAATTGGAAAAAACTACTTTAAAGTTCATATGGAATCAAAAAAGAGCCCGCATCACCAAGTGAATCCTAAGCCAAAAGAACAAAGCCGCAGGCATCACGCTACCTGACTTCAAACTATACTACAAGGCTACAGTAACCAAAACAGCATGGTACTGGTACCAAAACAGAGATATAGATCAATGGAACAGAACAGAGCCCTCAGAAATAATGCCACATATCTACAACTATCTGATCTTTGACAAACCTGAGAAAAACAAGCAATGGGGAAAGGATTCCCTATTTAATAAATGGTGCTGGGAAAACTGGCTAGCCATATGGAGAAAGCTGAAACTGGATCCCTTCCTTACACCTTATACAAAAATTAATTCAAGATGGATTAAAGACTTAAATGTTAGACCTAAAACCATGAAAACCCTAGAAGAAAACCTAGGCAATACCATTCAGGACATAGGCATGGGCAAGGATTTCATGTCTAAAACACCAAAAGCAATGGTAACAAAAGCCAAAATTGACAAATGGGATCTAATTAAACGAAAGAGCTTCTGCACAGCAAAAGAAACTACCATCAGAGTGAACAGGCAACCGACAAAATAGGAGAACATTTTCCCAACCTACTCATCTGACAAAGGGCTAATATCCAGAATCTACAATGAACTCAAACAAATTTACAAGAAAAAAACAAACAACCTCATCAAAAACTGGGCGAAGGATATGAACAGACACTTCTCAAAAGGAGACATTTATGCAGCCAAAAGAGACATGAAAAAATGCTCCTCATCACTAGCCATCAGAGAAATGCAAATCAAAACCACAATGAGATACCATCTCACACCAGTTAGAATGGCAATCATTAAAAAGTCAGGAAACAACAGGTGCTGGAGAGGATGTGGAGAAATAGGAACACTTTTACACTGTTGGTGGGACTGTAAACTAGTTCAACCATTGTGGAAGTGAGTGTGGCGATTCCTCAGGGTTCTAGAACTAGAAATACCATTTGACCCAGCCATCCCATTACTGGGTATATACCCAAAGGAATATAAATCTTGCTGCTATAAAGACACATGCACACGTATGTTTATTGCGGCACTATTCACAATAGCAAAGACTTGGAACCAACCCAAATGTCCAACAACGATAGACTGGATTAAGAAAATATGGCACATCCACACCATGGAATACTATGCAGCCATAAAAAATGATGAGTTCATGCTAAATGACGTGCATTATGGGTGCGAAATGTGCTAAATGGGTGCAGTACACCAACTTGGCACATGTATACATATGTAACAAATCTGCAAATTGTGCACATGTACCCTAAAACTTAAAGTATAATAATATTGCTGGTTTAATTAAATCAGCAAACTTTAAGTAGGTTTTTATTTACCAAAGATTATGTAAAACCACGTGAACTTGAAAAACACTTAGGTTAGTTTCTCTTTTTCTGAGATAACAATTTATATAAGTTTTTTTTTCTTTTAAGCCAAATCTTCACATAGGTACCAATAGGACAGTTACTTAGGATGAGAGTTCTCTTAAAAAAAATACTTTTAGATACAAAAGTCCAAATTTTCAAAGGTATACCTACTTCAGTTTTGACTCAAAACTGATCATCTTTTTATGGTTTAATCATGGACAAAAGAGGCATCCATAAAGAGGGTACAGAAGTCCCACCCCCACCCCAGATCCAAAGTTTCCTCCAAGGATACCTAAGAAAGTGAAGACCCTCATTGTTAACAGGGCAACAAAGGCTGAGACAATTACGACAAACTGTCCTGAGAGCTGGCACAGTTCATACAAAGAGACACTTCTTGTTTCAGAATCCTGGAGAGCTGGCTAACTGCTGGGCACAAGCCCAACAGCTTGAGCCCCAGGCTGATAGAAACCAAAGAGCACATTTTCACTGATTACAAAGCCAAGCTCTTATGACTTCAGAGAAGATGAAGCAGAGTCTGATGCAGGACAGGTGAGCCTCAAAATTGGGGATCAACCTGAGAGGGTTGTTGGCTTCACCCAGGAACGAACTCAAGGGTGAGCCAGTGGTGACAGAAAGCAGTGTTTATGGAGCCAGTGCTGCTCCTTGCAGAGCAGGGCTAACCCATAAGCAGTGTGCCCAGAGTCAGCAATGTGTAAGCTGTTGGCAGCTGTATTTATACCCACTTTTAATTATATGCTAATTAAGAGGTGGATTATTCAGAACATTCTGGAAAAGGGGCCGAGAGCGTCCAGAACCATATATGGTAACTTCCAGGCCATTGCTATGGCCCATTGCCATGGCATGTGTAAACTGTCACGGCACCCATGGGAATGTCTTTATGCTAATGAGTAGTGAGGGCAACTACAGGTCACTTTCATGGCCATCTGCTTATTTTGGCTGGCTTCTTCACTGCATTCTGTTTCAACCATATCCTTTCAAACCAGATCAGTGAGGTCATGACCAGAAAACAAGCCCTGCCAGCCTCCTACCTCAAATCTAATTAATTATAATTTTCTTCCTTATGACAACCCACACAAAAGACAGAGATAAGAAAAACAAGGACTTCCTGGGAGGCTGTGGATCAATTACCAATGGACACCCAGAAGCAAATTCACAAGACTCACAATTCAAAGAACCAATTTTTTACAATTTTTTTTTTCCTGTCAGTTGAATTTGGGAAGGAAGGAACACGCAAAAATTTTTACCTTCTTCTTTCAATTGGACACTATGGACGGAAATCCAGGAGAGCTGACCTTGGTAAGAATTCCTACTTTCTTCCATCATTTATTAGGCCCCTCAGGATCCCATCTGCAGGCTCCAGAGTGAGTCGGAAGGTGCTCAGCCTTTTAGGACAGAAACTGTTGGGACAGAAGAATACTACTTCACCCTTTTAGGGTCCCAGGAGGGTCCAAGAATTACATTGACATAACATAGATTAACAGGAGCAAAGCACAACACAAGTTTTACATAGCATAGGAGCCTCATAAAGAAATAAAGACACAAAGAAGCTGTCAGAGTCAGTTAATTCTTTACCAGATTTGACAAAGAATTATAAACTGTAAACATGTGATCAGGCAAAGGGTCTTGGGCTAGGGTGGTTAACTGGATAGAGAAGTAGCCAGCATGACAAGTGTTAGTTGAACAAGGCTTGTTTGTACAAAATTCGTTCCACTTCAACTTTCTTGTCCTTGATGATAAGAACCTTGCTTTTTCTCTAGTGTAGGGAGGACATCTTTCACATGGGAATTTCATCTTCTGCTTTTAAGAAAATGAAGTTCAGACTGATCTCTTTGCACCTGCTGTTTTTCAAGTGCCTTTAACTGAAATAGTCAACCTACCAAAAGAGCATATTTTAGCCCCTTCAGGAATGTTGATTTTGTTTATTTTCACGCATTGCTTTTATAATTATAAAAGCTCATTTTATAATTATATAAAAGGAGACCTGGGAACACCAGCCTTCTTCCCTCTACATACAGGAACTGCAGACACTGCAGATAAAACAGAGCCAGAATGCTTTGCTGCCAGCTGGACCTTTGACCCAAACCCCAGTGTGACTGTCTCCGGTGCTCACTCAACTGCAGTGCATCAATGAAGGTAACTTTCTGTCCAGATCATGGAGTCTACATGAAAAGAAATCAATGCAATCCTATTTTTTTTTTTTTTTACTGCTTTCTCTCTCTCAATTCTTGGATTAAAGAAAAACAGCAGACCCTGATGGTGCCCAGCTCAGACCCCCTCTGAAGCCTTTTACCAGCCCTGTGCATCCAGCCCAGCCCCTGTATGCCCTGCTGCTAAGTTTCCCCTGAGCACTGGGGCCTTCCCTGGAGAGCTGGAACAACTTGGCAACTCATTCTCAGCCCTTCCCATCCCCCCTAAGCCACAGCCAGTGACTGACCATTGTGGGAATACAAAAGCCCAGCACCTGTGCCTTGGAGAGGACAAACTCTGAGATATCATCTCTGCTTCAGCACACCACTCAAGACCAAGATGAGGCTGGGGTGTCACCCAAGATGATACACTTGTTGAGTCTCCTCTCCTCCCCTATTTGTGCCCCACCCCCAACTCCCTCACTGGTACATCTCGGGAGCACTGCCTCAACAAATCCCTTGCATTGAATCCTTGGCTCAGGCTCTGCTTCTAGGAGAATATGACCTACTGGGGACAATAGTAATGGTGAATACAGTGGTGAACCAAACAAAGCAGGCTTTGACTTCATGAAGCTAATGGGGAAGAATAACTATCATTTCATTGATTGGATGCTTGGCACAGAAGGAGGAGTACCTATATTCATAGATGAATTCTGTCAGGCAAGGTGGGGGAGTTGCTTCAGCCATCCTCTTTGGTGCTTATTCTAAGTGTGCTGTTTCCAGCATCCCAGCTTCTCAAATGCACTGTGCTGCCTTCAGACACAGGGCCTACGGAAAGTGTGTCCACATTTATTGGGAGGGGGAGAGCCAACCTTCGCCTTTGTGCCAAGTCTCCTAAGAACAAACACGCAGAGCCTGCTCCCAGATGGACAAAGGTCCAACTCCCTTTGTCTTCCCCTTAGAAGGCAGTCTCCTGAGACTCTGCCTTGAAGAAGTAGGATTGTGTCTGATGTGTTTATGTTTGTGGGGTTTTCATGTGTTTTCTTTTTTATCTTCCCTAGGAAAAAAGAACTGAGCATTGGCAAAAAGCTGAGGATGACAAGCTTAGGGGATGAAAGGCTGCCTTTTCCCCCCCTTCTGAGCGTTTCTGACAGCTCCCAGCTGGGAGAAACCAACATGACGAAAAGACAAAGAATACTGGAGAAGAGAGAGGGTGGGCAGAGCCACAACCTCATCCTCCCAGTGGTTCCTCTTGAGTTTGATTTGACAAGATGCCTTCCCACCCAGGTAACCCCGTGGGAACGTGCCAGTACCTCACCGCACGACCTCACTGAGTCCTCACAACAAATCCAGGCTGCAGATTTTTTTCCCCACTTGGAGATGACAAATTGAAATGCAGGAAGGTTAAAGAGTTTGCCTGAGGTTGCTTAGATAATAAAAGAATCTGGATTAGAACCCAGACCTACCCAGCTAAACAACTGAGTCCTTTTTTACTGGATTACACCTATCTCATGGGCATAATTTTATCTACAGTCTCTCTCTATTCCAGTGTTTAAGATAAATCCTGTGAGGGTTAAATGAGATCATGCATGTTCAGCACTTAGCCTGGAGACTGGTGTCAGACAAGCACTCTATAAATGCTACCTAGCCTTGTTATTGCTGTTGATGGTGTTGCTGCTGTTTTTGTTATTGTTACTGCTGCTGCTGCTACTGCTCTTGCTATTTTTGCTGCTGTTTCTGCAGATTATGTGGTTGCTGATGTTTTTGCTGTTGTTGGTGACAGTGTTTTCACTACTGTTCTGATTATTTTTGATACCGCTGTTGTTGCCATTTTGTGGCAGTTGTTGCTGCTGATGTGCTGCTACTGTTGCTGTGATGATGCTGTTGACATTGTCACTGTGGATGTTGCAATGATGCTGTTGACAGTGTCACTGTGGATGCTGTGATGATGTTGTTGCTGTGGATGTTGTGATGATGCTGTTGAAGCTTTACTGTGGATGCCGTGATGGTGGTGTTGACACTTACTATGGATGTTGTGATGACGCTGTTAACACATTTACTGTAGATGTTGGCGTGATGCTGTTAACACAGTTGCTGTGGATGTTGTGATGATGTTACTATGGGCACAGTGATGTGCTGTTGACACTATTACTGTGGGTGCCGTGTCACGATGAGGCTATTGACACTATTACTACAGGTGTTGTGATGATGCTGCTGATGTTGTTTCTTGATACTGTTATATCGCTGTTGATGTTGTAACTATGGAAGTAGTGATGATGCTCTAGACACTGTTTCTGTAGATGTTGTGATGCTGCTGTTGGCATTGTTACTGTGGGTGTTGTGATGATACTGTTGACATTACTGCGGGTGTTGTGATGATGCTGTTGATGCTGCTACTGCGGATGTTGTGATGATGCTGTTGGCGTTGTTACTGTTAATGTTCTTGCTGATGTGGTTGACAGTGCTATTGTTGCTATTTTTATTCTTGTTGCTGAGATGTTATTCTATTGTCGTTGTTGCTGCTGTTGGCACTACTGCTGTGCTGCTATTGTTGATGTGATAATGTTGTTGACGTTACTAATGTTGATGTTGTTGTTGATGATGTTGGTGTTAATATACCCATCCAGACTCACTACTTTTGTTACACACTTCCAAACCAAATTTAATGTAGGCATAACTTACTAGTCGTACAAGGATATATATATAGCTTACCCCTCATGTTTCCACGGAGGCCGAGAATTTCCATTCCACTCTCCGGGAGAGATTTTGAGAGCCATCTGTAGCCTCTGCCTCCTTGCTGAATGGGGCACACTCCTCTCAGCCATCCCTTTCAGAAATCTATGCTGGTCAATGGTACATGTGACTGGGAGAATGAGGCTACCTCATTCAGGGGGTAAAGTAGGAGGAATCCCATATGGCTACCCACCTCAGGTACATGGGTCAATTCAGCCTTTTAGTGTGATATTTTCATCCTCATCTGTCTCGCTCCTGTGTCTTAATTGGTTCAAAATTAGGAGATGAAGAAATAGGTGCTATATTTACCTCCAAGACAACAACCAAGTCTTCGTGATATAATTCAATTCGCTTTTTACCTCCCCGAAGAATCCTTTCCTTATTTCTACAACCCACAGTGGTCTCACCCAACTATGAAGTTTTATAGCAGTTTGTTATTTTCTCACATGCCAATAAATATTGTGAAATATGTGAACCTGGCTAGACTGTGAGCTCCTTCAGACTAAGAACATATCTTAAAACATCCTCTCACTTATTGTGGTTCTAGACACATAGTAGGTGCTCAATAAATGCTTGTAAATTGAAATACATTGGAAGCTTAATACTTAGGAATGTTCCCATGTGGCTGAGTTTTTATGCCATCCTATGTTTTTGAATAAAAAATATTAATTGGAAATTTGTGTTCCAGAACTTACATATGATGCATGAATGCCCTTGATGATACAGAAATGGGAAGAACTGATTAAGTTATTTAGGTTTTTTTTTTTTTTTTTTTTGACGGAGTCTCACTATTGTCACCCAGGCTGAAGTGCAGTGGTGCAATCTCGGCTCACTGCAACCTCCACCTCCCGGTGCAAGCGATTCTCCTGCCTCAGCCTCCTGAGTAGCTGGGATTACAGGTGCCCACCACTACGCCTGGCTAATTTTTTAACTTTTAGTAGAGACGGGATTTCGCCATGTTGGCCAGGCTGGTCTTGAACTCCCGACCTCAGGTGATCTGCCCTTGGCCTCCCAAAGTGTTGGGATTACAGGTGTGAGTCACCATGTCCAGCCAGTTCTTTAGTTTCTAAGGTCCATCAGTCGACATTAACTTCTTGTCATTACATGCAATTCAATAAAAGCATAAGTCCTTACCTGTAGGGGCACTCGGATGGATGCCAGGCTTCCAAAATTGAGCGTAAAATCCCAAGGGGTTTCAAGGTAGGCCATTCTTCAATGCTTCCTTTACAACAGACATTGTGCCTGCAGGCTCAAGGGGCCATGGGGCCTAAGGAGGATCCCATGAACCTTTCCACGAAATTGCGTGTGTGGCTTTGTATAATGCTTACCCCTTATCTCTCTAGGATAGTTGTTTATTTATTATTGTATCTATTTAAGGTATACAGCATGATGTTGTGATACACATGGTGAAATGACAACTACAGTCAAACAAACTAACATATGAATCTCCTCACACAGTTACCGCGTGTGTGTGTGTGTGTGGTAAGAACACATAAAATCCAGTCTCTTACCAAATGTTCAGCATACAATACAATATTATGAACCATAGTCCTCCTGCTGTGCATTAGGTTAGACTTATTCATCCTACATGACTGCAAGTTTGTACCCTCTGACAAATCTCTAGGATTTTTCAATTCCTGAATTTGCCAGCAAATTTTAGCTGATTGAGGTTACCAGACAGCTGACTACCTCATAAGGTAAACTATTGTTCCTCAAGTATTTTAAGCTTTTGTAGGTCTGGGTTCAATTCATACTTACCTGGTGAATAAGGTTTCAGTAATTTACAAATAAATATTGTGTTAATAGTATCATCTAACAGGTGCTGAGAACTTGGTGTGAGCCACACTCACCTAGCAAGCTACTTACCATGCTGAGCAGTTGCATGGATTTTCTCAGTCCTCATGTCCTGATAGTAAAGACCAGTGCATCTCTAGCCTTCAGCACTCATGGGCACAAATGCATTTAATTCTCACAATAACACTCTGAGGGTGGTTATTACTGTTATTACCCTCCCAACTTTGCAGAGGAGCCTGGAGCATGTAGGGGTTCAGTTATGTGCCCAAGGCCAGGAGCCATTGAGGGAGTGGCGGCCTACATCAGCTGGCTCTGGAGGCTGCACCAGTGACAAGCGAACTGAGTCCCAGGTTCACTAAGGCATGAAAAGACTTCCCTTGTATTACCCAGGGCGCTCCAGGGAAACAGAACCAATAGAATGTGTATATATGGTCCTCCCTTGGTTTCAGGAGATTGGTTCCAGGACCCCTCGCAGATATAATAAAATGGTGTGGTATTTGCATATAACCTACAGCACATCCTCCTATGTACTTTAAGTCAGGGGTCTCCAACCCCTAGGCCACAAACCCATCCGGCCTATGGCCTGTTAGGAACTGGGCCATACAACAGGAGGTGAGTGAGCTAAGTGCTGTGTGAGTGAGCGAAGTTTCATCTGTATTGACAGCCGCTCCCCATTGCTTGCTCGCATTACTGTGTGAGCTCTGCCTGCTGTCAGATCAGTGGCGGCATTAGATTATCTTAGGAGCACAAACCCTACTGTGAACTGCACATGCGAGGGATCTAGGTTGCGTGCTCCTTTTGAAAATCCAATGCCTGATGATCTGTCACTGTCTCCCATCACCTCCAAATGGGACCATCTAGTTGCAGGAAGACAAGCTTGGAGCTCCCACTGATCTACATTATGGTGAGATGTATAATTATTTCATTATATATTACAATGTAATAATAATAGAAATAAAGTGCACAATAAATATAATGGTTTGAATCATCCTGAAACCACGCTCCTGCCAGTTCATGGAAAAATTGTCTTTCATGCAACCGGTCCCTGGTGCCAAAAAGGTTGAGGACCACTGCTTTAAGTCATCTCTAGTTTACCTATGATACATAATACAGTGTAAATGCTATATAAGTACTTGTTACATGTATTGTCTGGGGAATCACGACAAGGAAAAAGGCTGTACACAACTTTCATGGGTTTAACTAAATTTTTGATCTGCAGTTGGTTGAATCCACAGATCCGGAACCATGGATACAGAGGGCCACTGGTATATTGATAGAGATTTACTTTAAGGAGGCTAAGAAGTCCAAAATTTGCAGGGCAAGCAGGAAGGCTAGAGACCCAGAGGAAAGCTGAGGCTGCAGCTCCAGCCTAAAGGCCATCTGTGGACAAAATCCCACTTGCTTAGGGGAGGTCAGTTTTTTCTGCTGTTCAGGCTTTCAACTGATTGGACGAGGCCCACCCACATTATGGAGGGCAACCTGCTCTGCTCAAGTCCACCAACTTAGATGTTAATCTCATCCAAAAACACCCTCACAGAAGCATCCAGAATCATGCTGACCATATCTCTGGGCACTATGGCCCGGCCAAGTTGACTCATACAATTAACCAGCACACCCAGTATCACACAGATACAACAGACCCAAGACTCAGGCCCTTGCAGTATGACTGAGCCTGCATGTTCTTACACACGGAACTGGGAGCCTCTGTTTTCACCAGCTCTTCAGCCCACCTCATCTGCCAGCAAGCCGGGGTCAGTTGTGTCCTTCCTTCTAAAGCTGACTGTCCTTGTCCTCTCCCCAGCGGCTGCCTAAGTGTGGCCACTGCTGCCTCTGCACTGACCGTCTAGCAGAGAGAGCTTAGCTGCTGATATTTATTGGCTTTAAGACTTCGTCAAGCACAGCCCTCGAGATGCTCAAGGTGAAGAGCATTGATCGAATCTGTTTCCTGGGCTGCTTGTCTTGGGTGGGAAGCCAAGCATGCGAGCTGAGCAGGGATGGGAGCAGAGATGGCCAGCACTGGCGGGCAGTGTGCTGGACTCTAATGCCTGAGTCTCACCCCATACTCAGTACCCTGATATCAGGAAGGGACTCTGACTATCCACTGCAAAGAAGAGGAATAAAGGAACCGAACCTTATTCACTCATTCATTCAGCAGATCTGCCCACCATGTGCCTGCATCCTAGATGCTAGAACGTATCACGGACAAAACAGAAATCATTTCTCATGGAGCCGTCATTGTGGTGGAGGGAGACAGACAATAAACCAGCAAATAAGCAAATGACAGTATGTGACAAGCTGATGAGTGCTAAGGGGAGAAATCAATGAGGGGAAAGGGATATGGGTTGGGGAGGAGGTGGGGTTGCGATTTTTAATAGGGCAACTAGTGAAGGTCTCGCTGAGATGGTAATGCTTGAATGAAAGCTTAAAAGCCACGTGGGTGTTGGAGGAAGAGCATTCCAGAGACAGAAAGCAGCAAGTGCAAAGGCCTGGAGGCAGCCACAGTCCTGGCTGCTCAAGGAACAGCAAGGGCAGAAGTGGCTGGAGCAGAGCCAGTGGGGGGTGGAGTGGGAGGAGAGGTCGGGCAAGGAATGGGTCCAGTTGGATGGCTTTTCAGGGCATAGAAAGGAACGTGGCTTTTTCTCTGCCTGGGATGGGAAGCCCTTAAAAGGCTTTGAGCAGAGGAAAGACATGGTCTGGTTTCCATGTTCCAAGGACTGGAGAGATTAAGATGCTTGTCTCACGCCCTGCAGCCAGTAAGGGGCAGAAGAGCCGCCAGGGCATCTAGCTGTGGATAAGAGCTTGTTCCCCTGCACTACCCATGTATCTGCCAGAGTTCGTTTGCTGGAGTCCATATTGCCGCTAAGAAAGCTGACTGCCACAGCCATGTGAGAAAGAAAACAGGGCATGGGGGAAAGAGGGGTGGACAAGTCCCAAAAGGCCTACTGGAGGAGGTGATATCTGAGCTGAAACCCAAATGGCAGAAATCAGCCAAGGAAATACACAGAGAGCAGAGTGTTCAGAAATAGATGGTGCAAAGGTCCTGAGGCAGGACCCTGCTCAGAGTCCTGGGAGAGCAAAGAGAAGACAAACATGGCAGAATTGCGATGAGCAAGGGGGAGATGAGGTCACAGAGGGAGCCAAGAGGCATATCCTTCACGGTCTCATAGGCTCTGGTAAGGAATTTGGATTTTATTCTTAAGAGCGATGAGGAGGCACTAGAAGATTTTAAGCAGGGAGTGATTTACATTTTTAAAAAAGATCAGCCTGGCTGCTCTGTGGAGAAAAGACTGGGAAAGGGCTACAGGCTGCATGCCTGGCACCTCAATTTTTCATATGAAAAATGACACTGATTTTAGAGAGTTGCTGTATGAAGCTGTGAGAGAATGACATGAGAATGTTAACTCATTGAAGGGTGGGAATTTGTGGGTGCTGTTCACTGCCACATCCCCGATTCTGCAGCAGTGCCCACAGCAGATGCTCCAGCAACTATTGGTTCAGCGAGTGAGTGGATGGATGGGTGGATAGATGGATGGATGGATAGATAGATGAAAACAGAGGCATCATATAAAGGTGAGAGACTGGGATGTTTCAGTGACCATCAAAAGTTAAAGCATTGCCCAACAAAACCTTCCTCACAGCAGCGGGAACTAAAGGGTTAATGTGACCTCTGACGATTTTTCTTCCAGAGGATTGTGATACAGTGCTAATAAATTTCCTGTGACCTTGTTACGGGAAAATAATAAGCCCCTGCTAATGTATCAAATTAACATGTTTGGGCTTCCTGTTCAGAAACCTCAAACATCTCACCTCCATGTGGTCTGCAGAAAATTATTCTTTAGATGCAATTGCGTTGAGTGATGGAGGCTTTGTGGCCTCTACTATCCCCACCGGTGGAAGAGTTCTGATACCCTGGTTTTTCCTCTGCAGTTCACAGTGGTCTGGCACTTAGCATAGCATCTGGTAGGAAAAAAAAAAAAAAAAAAAAAAAGCTAGATTCCTATTTGAATGAACAAAGGAAATGGTTAATGGCCATAACACAAGGGTTTTCTCTCATCTCTATTTTCTAGGGAAAACAGGAGAATTTAAAAAAAAAATTATCTCCCTTTTCTTTTTGTCAGCTGTGAAGAAGCTGCAAGTTTCAAATATGTCACCTTGCTGACGAGCCTTAAGTGATGGGCAGTAGGCAGAGGTTCCCTCAATACCAGTTTAAAGACATTAAAGACCCGCCACCCCCAGACTCCTCAAAGAATACCATATCCAGGATGAATGTTCAAATCCCCTGGCTGGTCACCTGCAGTGAGGACCGCCCATCGCCATCTCCAGTGAGCACAGACATCTCAGCTCCCAGTGCCAGCTCCCAGTGCCAACTGGGAGGCTGGACCCCCGAACGTCAGCCCTGCTGCCCTCTCTGAAAGTAACCTCTGCCGTAATCCACACCAGAAAGTGGATGTGTCAATGTGCTTGCCTCATCCAAGCATTTTTCTCTTCCAAATCAAGGTTTTCTGTGAGTTCGTCTGATTCGTGAGGCCCAACTCACTTACCTGTCCTGAATCTCGAGGGAAACTGAGAAAGTGAGTTACAGGCTTCTGCTTTAGGGAGGCACATATGGTCTCAGTTGGCTCGGACTGCTATAACAAATTATTACAGACTGGGTGGCTGAAACAACAGACGGTTATTTCACACAGTTCTGGAGACTGAAAGGCCAAGATCAGGGCACAGCATGGTCCTTGGTGTGTGCATGCTTAGAAAGAGAGAGAGAGAGAGAGAGAGAGAGAGAGAGAAAGAGATAATCTCCTGTTCTTCCTCTTTCTTTAAGGGCACTAATCCCACCATGGGGGCCCCACCCTCATGACCTCATCTAAACCTAATCACCTCCCAAAGCCCCACCTCAAAATACCATCGCATTAGGGGCTGGGGCTTTAACATATAAATTTTGGGGGAGAGGGACACAGTCATTCAGTCCAGAGCAGAAATCATTAGGAGGGATATTTTCCAAATATAGGCCAGATATACCAAAAACAAGGTAGCCCCAAAGACGCCCATACCCACTGCAGCCTTTGTCTTCTACACCTGTCTCCTACACAGTGCCTGGCACATAGCAGGTGCTCAGTAAGTGACAGCGCCTCCTTTCCCTTGCCATACTTCCCTGTTTAGCCTCTGCCCATCTCTACCTACAGGCCCATCTGCTTGGATTCCTGTGCTTGGAATTTTTTCCCATGGACCCTTTCACTACAACCAGCACTTTAAAAGAAAGAACAATTGAATACGACATGCAAGGTTCACCATATCCAACTTTAGCACCAATTTTAAACATAGACCCATGCAAATATTCAATGCAAATATATTTATAAGATACTATTCTCTAAAAAATGTGGGTATTGACACTCTACTTATTATATCAGAACCTAGTGCCCCTCACCCAAGAGATATTTAAAGAGCTTATTTGTATTCTTTGGTTTCCACCTAATGTGCTTATTTATGTCTCTTGTTTTATAAGAAATACATTTAATAATTTAGAAGCAATAAGGGAAAATATTTTTACATAAAAATTTAAAAACATTTGCATCACAAGAAACATAAAAATTAAAATGACAAACATTACACTGGAGAAATATTTTTAATTTAAATCACAATACATTAAAGAGTTATGGCTGGGCGCGGTGGCTCACACCTGTAATCCTAGCACTTTGGGAGGCCAAGGCGGGCAGATCACGAGGTCAGGAGATCGAGACCATCTTGGCTAACATGGTGAAACCCCGTTTCTACTAAAAATACAAAAAATTAGCTGGGCATGGTGGCGGGCACCTGTAGTCCCAGCTACTCGGGATGCTGAGGCAGGAGAATGGCGTGAACCCAGGAGGTGGAGCTTGCAATGAGCAGAGATCACGCCACTGCACTCCAGCCTGGGCGACAGAGCAAGACTCTGTCTCAAAAAAAAAAAAATAGTCATTATCCCTAACATATAAATCTCTGTAGCATTTCCCAAAGCCTCAGGAGAAAGAAAAACCCTGGAGAAAAATAAGCTAAGAAGTGAACAGACAATTCATAGAAAAAGACAAAGCATCTTAATTGTATGAGAAGATGATATCCCTGTCATCTGAGAAAGGTAAATTAAAAGTAGTCTAAGACTGTCAACAAACACATAGTAATAAGGACCGGATTTATCTTCCCACTTGGAAAATATTTTTAAATGGACAAAAGGTGCAAAACAATAGTTTTCAAGGTGTTGGACATTAGACAACAAAGGATAGTGACCCTGGAAGGCAGGAGAAAGATGAGGTGAGCCTAGAGTTGCCCCGCTTTCTGCCTTGGGAGACTTTCCAGGCACTGCTGCAGGGAAGGGAACCCAGGCAGAGCCCAGGGGAGTTCAAGAGATTGCAGGGCAGAGTTTTGGAGAGAGGAGAGCTATGGAGAGCCAGAACACTGGAATCTTCAGGGGGCTATCCTCAACTATTCAGTAGAGTGACATCAGTACATGCATTGAGAAAATTCCTTGAGGCCAGGGAGAGAATCACCCAAAAGGATTCCAGGAAACAATATTCAGTGCTCACACCAGCCGGGAAATAGTGCTGTTTCCCACCAGCCAGACTTGAAGACTTTGGAAGTCAGGGGTCATTTGGTAGAGGACTCAGAACGATCTTGTCTCAATAGTGGGGAATCATTAGCCATAGACTAAACATCTTAATAAATTATAAAAGCTAAACTCAAAAGGATCAAAGTATTTCCAAATTCTTAACTGTATACCAGAACAAAGCCCAACAATAGTTACAAGAATACAAAGTACTCAGCCCCCAACAAGTTAAAATGATTGGCATTCAATCAAGGAGTACCGGGCAAGTAAAGAAGCAGGAAATGTGGTGCAAAATAACGAAGAAAATAAATCAATTGAACTCAGTCCGGAACTGACATTATTGAAATTTGTGGATGTCACTAACACATTTACTAGAGAGAAATTTATGGCACTAAATCCTATATTTAGAAAAGAATTCTCAAGTCTATGACTTCAGATCCCCCTTCAAGAAAATAAAAAAAGGAGAGCATCTTAAACCTAAAGTAAGCCAAATAAAGGAAACAACAAAGATAAGAGCAGATATCAGTGAAATACAAAACAGAAAAACAGTATAGAAAATCAATGAAGCTATAAGCTGATTCTTGGAAAAGATCAGTAAAATTGATAAACCTCTAGCCAAACTGATCTGGAAAGAAATAGAAAAAAAAAAAAAGGAAAGAAAAGAAGGAAGGGAAGCAGGGAGGGAGGGAGGAGGACGCAGATTATCAATATCAGGAATGAAAAAACTGGTATCACTATAGATTCCACAGAAATTAAAAGAATAATAAAATATTATGAACAGCTTTATGCCAGTAAATTCAACCACTTAGATGAAATGAATAAATTCCTTAAAGTACATACATTACCAACTGTTATTTAAGAAGAAACAGATACTGTATACTCAAAGAAATTTAACTTTTAGTTTAAAATCTTCCAATAAAGAAAATGCCAGGCACCAAAATTCAAGGGGGTAATTTGAACAAATATTTAAGGAAGAAATAATACCAATTCTTCTCATACTCTTCCATAAAAGTGAAGTGAGAATATACTTTCCAACTCATTTTATGAGGCCAGCGATAGCCTGATTCCAAAACCAGACAAAGACATTACAAGAAGAGAAAACCAAAGATCAATATTCCTCGTGAACTTAGACGCAAAATTCTTAACAAAATTTTAGCAAATAGAAACTAACAATAGATTGCAAAAAAGAATAGTATATCATGACCAAGTTGAGTTTATCCCAAGAAGGCACAGTTGATTTAATATTTTTTAAAAAATCAATCAATATAATTTACTCTATAAAATGATGAAAAACTAAAATATATGGCCATCTCAATGGGGAAAAAGCATTTGACAAAATCCAATGTCCATTTCTGATTAAAATCATTAACAGAGTAGGAATAAAGGGAAACTTCCATACAGTAAAGGTTATCCACGAAAAACCCACAGCTAATATCATACTCAATGGTGAACAACCGAATCGAAACTAGTGGGTTATATCCGCTCTCACCAACTCATTAAACATTGTCCTGGAAGTTTTAGCCAGTAAAGTAAGGCAAGAAAAAGAAATAAAAAGCATTCAGATTGGAAAGGAAAATTTAAAACTGTCTTTATTCAACAACACCATGGTTGTCTAAATAGAAAACCTGATAGAATCCACAAAAAAGCCACTAAAGCTAATCAGTAAGCCTAGAAAGCTTGAAAGATTCAACTAAACCAACAAAAATCAATTGGATTTCTATGATTTAGTAATAAAAAACAGAAACTGGAATTTTAAAAGGCAGTGTGATTACTAGTAGTATTCCAATACTTAATATTTATGGATGAATCTGACAAAAGTACACTGAAACCTGTAAAACATTGCTGAAGGAAAATTTTAAACATTTAAGTAAATGAAGAGCTATACTGTATTTGTGGATTGGAAGACACAATATTTGTTAAGATGTAAATTCTCCCTAAACTGATCTATAGATTCGACACAATCTGAATCAAAATCACAGCAGGATATTTTGGTCAGAATTGAGAAGTAATTCTAAAATTTGCATGGAAATGCAATGGACCTATGATAGCCAAAACAACTTACTTTGCAAAAGAAAAAAATATATACATCTAACACAACCTGATTTAAGACTTATCATAAAGCTACAGTAATCAGGAAATGGTGCTATTGGTGTCAAAATAAACAAATAGATCAATTAAACAGAAGAGAGATATATAAATACACTCACTCATATGTATATGACTGATTTTCAACAAAGGCGGAATTCAATTCCATGGAAAAAACAGTCTTTTCAAAAAATGATGTTGTACAATTGCATGTGCAAACAAAGAGAAAGGAACTTTGATTCATAGCTTGCACCATATACTACAAAAACACACACACACACACACACACACTTTAAAGTGTGACCTTGAGTTGAGCAAATATTTCTTAGACACCAAAGCAAAATCCATAAAAGAAAAAGTTGACAAATTGGACTTTATCAAAATTAATAACTTCTGCTCTTCAAAAGATACCGCTGAAAGAATGAAAAGACAAACTGCAGAATTGGAGAAAATATTCCCAATCCATATACTTGACAAAGACATTGTATCTAGAACATACAATGAACTCTCAAAACTCAAATATAATAAAATAAACAACCCAAAAGATCTAACCAGACACTCCACCAAAGAAGACAAATGGTTGGCAGACAAACACATGAATCCAAATTAAAACTGCAAAGAGAAATCGCTGCTTGACTATTAGCATAAGTAAAATTTAAAAGACTGACCACACTCAAGGTGTGTGAGAATGTGGAGGAACCAGAACTCCCCTCCATGGCTAGTGGACTGTAACGTGGTGCAAACACTGTGGAAAGCTGTTTGACAGATTCTTACAATGCTTAGTATACACCTGTCATATGTTCTAGCCATTCCACCAGCTATATATCCAAGAGCAATGAAAGTTTATGTTCACACAAATACATACACAAACGTTTGCAGCAGGTTTATTTGTAATGGCTGCAACCTAGACCGACCCAGATTTCCATCAACAGGTGAATGTGTAAACAATGTATGGTACATCCATACTGCTCTGCAATTAAAATAATGAACCATTGATACATGCGACATGTGGATGAAACTCAAAATAATTATGTTCAGTGAAAGAAGTCAGAGTATATGCTGTTTGGTTCCATTTATATAAAATGCTTTAAAATGCAAACGAATCTACAGTGATAGAGCAGGTAAGCTGTTACCTGGGTGTGGGCAAGGGGGTGCCCTAGAGGGAGGAATTTACCAAGGGCCACAAGGAAATTTTGGGGGAGGATGGAGATGTTCATTGTCTTGATTGTGGTGATGGTTTCACAGTCATATCCATATTTCAAAGCACACCAAAGTGTATATCTTAACTATGTGCGATTTATTATATATGAATTATACCTCAATACAGTTTTTTTAACTGCCTTAAAATACAATGTCTCACCCATCAGATCGCCAGAATTCTAAAACGTGGACACCATCTACTGCTGGCAAGCTTGTGGGGAGGCAGAGCTTCTTTTCAGAGAAGCCCTTTAGGTTTTAGGCTCCCTCCCTCAACCAGGGTCTAAGCATTCCCCATCATTGCACACTCATCCATGCTAATGAATTTTTAAATTTTAATTTTAGCTTTTCCAGCTGCCGCTGGCCTTTTCCGACAGCAGAGTGTTAGGTGACTATAGTGATAACATTGCTCTGTAAGAATACGACTTTTTAAGGGAGGAATCAGGGTAGGCAAAAAAGAGAAGCAATTTCACGGATTCACTCATCTGCATTCATTCCACAACTATTCATTGACTGCCTAGGAGGTGCCAGGCACTGTTCTAGGCACTGGGGATACAGCTGAGATCAAGCCCCACAAAGTCTTTGTTCCCATGGAGCTGACAGTCCAGCGCCAGGCTGCAGACAATAAACACCCATCAGATCAATAGGGAGTGCGTCCAGTGGTGACGAACACAGTGAGAGGGAAGCTCGGAAGCAGTTATTTCAAAGAACGGGGTCAGGCAGGTCTCAGTGAAAGACGATGTTTGAGCAGAGACTTGAAGAGAGCGAGTGCTGGAATAAGATGATTCAGAAAGGTTGAAACCAAGCTTCTTTGAAAGCACGTGGCTTCCTTTCCCTCCGTACATGTTTGGAATATGCAGGAAGGACTTCACATCCTTGTGTCTCAGCCTCTCCACCTTCCTACCATGGCTTGAAGCAAGGTTTTTGATGTGTATGGGTGTGTTTGCCAATGTAAACTCGGCATCCCAGGCCTCGCAGTGCCTCTCGCCAGCTTGGTGACTCTGGGCAGGTCAGTTATCATCTCTGAGCCTTGTTTTCCTTTTCTGTAAAAATAGATGATTAGGAATTCACCCGTTCATTCAACCAACATGTATTAAGCAGTTACATGGCGGGGCCTGTTCTACGTAATAAGACATAGTGGAGAACAGGACACAGTCCCTGCCCTCACGGAGTTTATGTCCCGAGCAATGGACTGAATGTGTGTGCCCCCCTCCCCAAATTCAATTCATATGTTGAAACCCTAATTTCAATGTGATGGCGTCAGGAGGTGGCAATTTTGGTAGGTGGTTAGATCATGAGGTTTGGCCCTCATCCCATAAGGATAGGGCCTTATAAGAAGAAGCCAGAGAGCCAGCTAGCCCTTCCTGCCATATGAAGATAAAATGAGAAGGTGGTCATCTGCAACATGGAAGAGAGCCCTCACCAGTATCTGACCATGCCGGCACCCTGATTTCCTGTTTGCAGGTAGGGTGTGGTCACTCACACCTGTAACCCCAGCACTTTGGGAAGCTGAGGTGGGAGGATCACTTGAGCCCAAGAGTTTGAGACCAGCCTGGGAAACGTGGTGAAACCCCACCTCTAGAAATAATTTTTAAGAAATTACCCAGGCATAGTGGCGCATGTCTGTGGTCCCAGCTACTCAGGAAGCAGAGGTGGGAGGACCACTTGAGCCTGGGAGTTTGAGGCTGCAGTGAGTGGAGATGGTGCCACTGCACTCCAGCCTGGGCAATGGAGTGAGACCCTGTCTCAAAAAATAATCCTCATTTGCCAATGCCCACAGCTTTGATGGGGACCTCCTAAAAGGGCCAAGAGGCCCATCCCTCTGGGGCCACAACTCACCCTTGTCATCTGAGGAGGATGCAGGTTCATGGAGTAGACTGCCCAGGTTCTAAGCCTGGCTCCATCACCTACACACTGGAGAGTCTGTGCCCAGTATTTGATGATCGTGCCTCAGTTTCCCCATCTATAAAATGGGGATGATAATAGTAGACCCGACCTTGCAGAGCTGTTGTGAGGCATTCACGGTTATTACACATGAAGTGCTACTCACAGTCCCTGGCAACAGGGTCAGTTGTCAGGATTGGCTCCTCCAAGTCATCCTCGTCATGAGGGCCATGACATTGTGTCAGCGCAGTGTGCCCACAGCTGGGCTCATAGGAACAACAGCAGCTCTCCCAGGCCCTTCCTTGGTGTTCCAGGGCCACTGAAAGGATCAGCAGCATCGGTAACCAATGATTTTCTCTGCCCTGCAATGTAAACAAGTCCTCCCACACTTCTCCCCTCCACCCACACTGTTAAGTGATGCGGGCAGAGCAGAATTCTGTATTTTTCTGACTTACTATTACGCAAACAGAGGCTCCAACGATTGCACTGCTCAGTCCGAGGTAACTCATCTATGTTTGGGACAAACTTGCAGGTAAGTTCTCATTTTTCAGACATCCACTCAATTAACCCAATCTCTGGAGTCCCTACCAGGTACTGCCAGAAGCTCTCTTGGTTCCCTGACCTGGAACAGGATACAATCCTGGTCTAACCAAAGTCTCTCCCATCCCTACCCACATTGTACCATCACCATCCACCCCAAGCCGGCAGGAGCACTCCATAAACACACTCTTCCCTTCTTAATGACACAGTGAAGATCAGGGTTAAATTCTCAGCCACTGACTTCCAAAATAAGCTCTTGAAATCCATAGAAGACACAATTTTGAAGCCCAAAGCATTCAACGGCAAGAGGCTAGCCTGCAGGGTTCGAAGTGTTTCACACACCTAGGAGTTGGTGGGGAGAGGTTCTTAGTATACAGAGTATACCACAAATAACAAAATTGGCAAAAATACATTACAAATAAAAACCAGTTTCCTAGCCCAACAGGAGGTAAGGTGCCAGGGGGACGAGGAAGAGAGGAGAATCGGGAAAGGGGCTGATGGGAGTGTGTTCCAGAAGGAGTTCCACACCAAATCCCTCCAGGAAGAACCATAGGGGTGGGGGATAATAGGGAATATTATAGAAACCCCAGGTAGGTAAGAGGTCAGGGGAACCGGAGAGGGAAATGGTACCTGCTTATTAATTGCAGTTCCAGCCCCTGTGGGGTTGGCACCAGGGCTGCGAGGGGCATCTGGGCAGGACACTCTCACAGCATCCACCACCCCTGCATAGCACATTTCTTGTGCCCAGAAAGGGGTGCAGGCCTCAGGCCTCAGGTCTCAGCTAAGCCCGAGGGCTCCAGGGCCATCATGAGGAGACCCAAGCACAGGTGACAGTGTGGGCACCCTCGTGACCAGTGGACAGGAGATCGACCTCAGAACATCAGGTCGGCAAATTGTGCACCTCCAGGTGCTCACGCGGTGGAACTGGGCACCAGACACCCACTTGCCACATGAAAACTGAAATCTATGAGAGAAGAGGGAGGGAGACACCCTGCGGTCACCTGAGTTTAAACTAAAATTAACTAGGAAATCACTGAATTTGACAGGGCTTACCTGGCCACAACCTAAGGCTTTTTGCAAAATGAATGTTGGCTAGAAATGGAAATGAAGTTGTTATGGAAAAAAAAAAAAAGAGAGAAAATTCTGTTTTCACAACCTTTATCTGCAAGTTGTCAAATAGTGGATCAACAGCAGAAGGAATTGATTGGTCCCTGCTTTCACAGAGCCCTCTGAGATTCAAATTTATTTTCTCTGGAAATAATTTGATTATCCGTCTCATGCTACCCCCCACACACATGCACGCACACAAGAGGTGCAATTCTGTGGAAAGTTTGGGTACCTCCCATACTCATTAGCCTTCAAAACAAGTGCAACACAATCAGTGCAGGAGTCAGAGAGCTGAGAGTGACTCCGTGGGAAGCCCTTGGCTGTTCAATCCTCCCAGGTCCCCAAGAGGGAAGAGTAGACTCCCATAATTCAAAAAAAATGAAACAGCTTCAGGACAAATCACCAGAGTTCTCCGCATATCACACTGGATGTTCACTTTGTAAACTCCAAAAATAGAATCACAGAGAACTAAACAGAGAAGAGAGGGGGTGAGGAGTTACCAATACTGTGGGGAAAACATGGAGTGAGTGACCACCGTTGGATGCTCAGGATTGGGACCCACAGATCAAAACTCGGTTTCTCAACCTGTTCCTCCCAAGGACATACAGATCCAGCCCTGCAGCCCCCAGCACCAGCCCTGCCCACCCTGGCTCCCTTAGCTTCAGAGCCTCCTCACTCCTGTCTCTCCAGCCACAGTAAAATCCCTACAGCACTGGCACTGCACCTCAAGCCTGAGCACATGCTGTTCCTTCTGCTTCCAACACCCTTCACTGACACAGCCTGCTGCTCGGCCCTCCAGGCTCAGGTGCAACGTTCTATTCTTCGTGTAGTTTACCTGAGGCACTCCCAGAAAGGGGGCTTCCTTCCACAATGCTTCACAACACCTATAGATGGCCCTGTATGGGATCTGTGTCCCCATGTAGATAGTGAGCTCCTCTCCAGGAGACATTCGCTCATTCATTCATTCATCCATTGAACAAACATTTACTGAATATCTACTAGATGCCCATAAATAAATGACACACAGAAATGGTTGAAAGAATAAATAGATAATGATTCCACTTTCAGGCCAGGGAAGTCAGTATGGTGTGTTAGAAAGAACACAGGCTTCCGAGTCAGACAGATGAGTTAGAAGCCTGACTCTGGAATTTGCTAAGCTGGTGACTCTGAGGGAATTACTCATCTGAGCCCAGTTTCCTCAGATATAAAAATGAGAACAGTAACAGGTAATGTTTGCTTCTGATATTATTATTCATTACTCAAAACACAGAGTTATCAGGAGGAAGCAGGAATCTATGCAGAAGACAGGAGCTTCCTCTCCCTGCAAGAGAAGAGGCTGGACCATCTCTGGTTCCCTACTGGCCACATGGGAATTTGGCAGAGACGAGTTACCTACCCAAACCCTTTCTCCCTTTCTATCATACTAGAGAGTCCCAATTTAAAATGACCTTTCTTATCATCCCTTGCAAGTTGGGGTGGTCATGGGACTCAGTTCTGTATAAAGATTTAGTATAAAGATTATACCACAAATAACAAAATTGGCAAAAAAAACCATTACAAATAAAAATCCATTTTCTAGTCCAACAGGAGGTAAGGTGCTGCAGGGATGAGGAAGAGAGGAGAATTGGGAAATGATTTGCAAGAAGATGTCACTAAGTGGGGCTTCTGGAAAAGCTCTTAAAAGGGAAAAGAAGACATTTATGCAGCCACAAAACACATGAAAAAATGCTCACCATCACTGGCCATCAGAGAAATGCAAATCAAAACCACAATGAGATACCATCTCACACCAGTTAGAATGGCAATCATTAAAAAGTCAGGAAACAACAGGTGCTGGAGAGGATGTGGAGAAACAGGAACACTTTTACACTGTTGGTGGGACTGTAAACTAGTTCAACCATTGTGGAAGTGAGTGTGGCAATTCCTCGGGGATCTAGAACTAGACATACCATTTGACCCAGCCATCCCATTACTGGGTATATACCCAAAGGACTATAAATCATGCTGCTATAAAGGCACATGCATACGTATGTTTACTGCGGCACTGTTCACAATAGCAAAGACTTGGAACCAACCTAAATGTCCAACAACGATAGACTGGATTAAGGAAACGTGGCACATATACACCATGGAATACTATGCAGCCATAAAAAAATGATGAGTTCATGTCCTTTGTAGGGACATGGATGAAACTGGAAACCATCATTCTCAGCAAACTATCGCAAGGACAAAAAACCAAACACCGCATGTTCTCACTCATAGGTGGGAATTGAACAATGAGAACACATGGACACAGGAAGGGGAACATCACACACCAGGGACCATTGTGGGGTGGGGGGATGGGGCAGGGATAGCATTAGGAGATATACCTAATGCTAAATGACGAGTTAGTGGGTGCAGCACACCAACATGGCACATGTATACATATGTAACAAACCTGCATGTTGTGCACATGTACCCTAAAACTTAAAGTATAATAATAATAAAATTGAAAAAAAAAAGGGAACTGACATAGCTATTACACTTTGCTCTATTGCTTTCTCCATCTGATGGCAGCAGCAGCCTGTCTAGAGTGGCTGCTGCCATCATGCTGGCTGCAGCAAGGAGGCATACTCCATGGAGCTGGTGGGAGCCAGGGACAAGTGGGAGCCCTGCACCTTCCAGATTGGTGGGGAAGGAGCTTCCCTGGTGCAGCCACAGCTGCCCAAGTTGTGACTGTGGAACCAGGCCTTCTACTCCATGGAGCAGGCAGGAGCCCCACCCCTGTGGCCACAGCTACAGCCTCCCAAACCACAGCTGCAGACTCAGGAATCTCTGCACTCTTGGGGGTCCAGGAAGGCCCCCATGCCCTTGCAGGCTCAGAAATGCCTGCTCCCACTGCCTGGCTTCTCCCTGCTGTTGGTGCCTGCTCCGATCTCAGAGCAAAGTCAGGGCCAAGTCACAGCTTCGCCAGGTGTGCACACACTTTGGGCGGTGCTGACATGCCAGCCCCCCACTGCCTCAGCCCCCTCTGGACTTTGGACACCAATAAGCATAGGAGGGAAGCCAAAGGGGTGCTGAAGGCAGCTTATGGCTGGCCTGCAGGTGCCTCTTGGCACCTACAGCCTGGGCGCCATGAATGGCAGCAGGAGGCAGAGAGGTTCCTGGGTGGAAGGGGGCAGATCCCCAGTGAGGCACCACCTTCAGGCCCTCCTTCAGGGAGGGAGGATCTGTAGGCTGGGGGCCCAGCTGCCGGTCCCACGGACCAGAGTGGGAACTTGTGGTGCCTTTTCCAGGCCATTCATGGCCATCCATGGACCAACTGGCATACACTTCCTCCCCTCTGAAGCCCATACAAGCCCCAGGTTCAGCCAAAGCTGAGCAGACATCAGGATGACCAGCTGCAGAGAGGAGCTACCCACTCCTGGGCCTCCTCTGAGCTACTGTGTCACTCAATAAAGCTCCTCTTCACCTTGCTTACCCTCCACTTGTCTGCGTGCTTCATTCTTCTTGGACGCAGGATAAGAACTTGGGACCTGCGGAAGGCAGGCTGAAAGAGCTATAACACAAACAGGGCTGAAACATACCCCTTGCTCGCCATGTTGTGGTTGAAGAGAAGAGAAGAGCTTCAGCCCTTCAGTAAGCCCAGACCTGGGAGCTCCCTGAGCCAAGGCTGTGACTTCCTCTTTGGGGCCCAGTGGTTCCTGGATTCTCCAAGCTTCCGTGTGCCACCGCATTCCCCAGTGGCAGCCATGGAAGCTACCTGTGGTGCACCTGGTCTAGCCACAGCCTCGCAGAGAGTCGGTGCCCACGCCGGCACCTGGAGCTGCCCACCCCATTGCAGCAGCTGGTGTGCCTGACTGTGCACGGTGGCTGGACCCCTCGCTGGTTCACTCACACACCCCTTGCCACTCCATGCCTTGCTGCCTTTGGCAGGCATGGGATCTAGGCTGGTAGTGTGAGCCAAGCACAGCCTGCCAGGACAAGTGGGAAAAATGAACCCAGCAGGCCCAAGCAAAACTTGGGCAAAGGTGCCACCAGCCACAGAGATTTCCAGCCAGAAAAGTGATACCCCAAAGATCCCTCAAAACTTCTCTTCACCTGGAATGAGGAAGAAATGATGGGAGCTGCAGCAGCCACCTTGAAACCATGAGACAACCTTGAGGGTGGAAGCCATGCATCTAGGATGACCAAGCAGAAAGATGGCATTGATGACATTGTGGAGCTCTTCTCCAGCCCACCTTGCCTACTTCTAAGTTGTGTGTCACATGTGAGGAAATTAAACACATATTTTATTTAAATCACTACTATTTACATGCAGTGGAACTCAATGTTTATCTGATGCAGAGAGTGTCTGCAGAAAATTTACCCAATCATAGAAAAGTACAATAATTGCTAAGAAGAATCATTTTGTGGTTGATTATTGTTATGTGAAATGGATTTTAGATACCCCTAAGCCAGAAATATGATTACAAGGTAAAATATGAAAAATTATTTTCTCTATTCCAAACCTGTGATTTCAGATATCATTTTTTGTGCTCTTATCTGATGACAAAGGCAATAGAGATTCATTTACACAAATTTGGAAGCTACAGAAGGCACAAAGGAAAAATAAAAGAAAATCACCTGTAGATGACCCTCCAGGGACAAGCAGTGCTAACATTTGCTCTACTTTCCTTGTTGTTTTTATTTATATGTACTCACTTACTAAAACAAGAGCCCTTCCTTCCTTCCTTCCTTCCTTCCTTCCTTCCTTCTTTCTTTCTTTCTTCCGTCCCTCCCTCCCTCCCTCCCTGAATAGACAGTGATTGAAGGCTGGGTACTATCATTTAATACTGCTTCTTTTTTTATTACCATTATTTACTAAAGCTTTCTCAGGTCATCAAATATTCATTAACATAATTTTGAAACTGAATAGCAACAATAAAACTAACCTACAATTTTTATATTAAGATATATTGTTATAATGTCAATATAATTTCATCAATAATACAACACAACTAGCCATCATTGATTAGGCACTTAACCTGTACTGGGTACCCGGGTACGGGAGTTTGCTTTCTATTTTACTCCCTGCAATAATTGTAAGATGAGGATTGTTTCATATCCTCCTTCGACAGGGGAATACAATGAGTAGTAAAGAGGTTGAAGAACTTGTCCAGGGTCTCACAGGTAGTCTGAGGGGCTAAGCAGAGCCTAACACAGGGGCTGTCCCCTGACAATGCCCACATGTGCATCTCCCATTCTGCCACACAGATTTTCTTCATAGTGATTTAAAGCATTTACCCATTTTCCAGCTGATGTGCTCATCATTGGACATTTAGTCTTTCTGATCTTCACGATCCGCTTACTTAGCCAGTGATACAGTCTCCATTTTACAAATAAGAAAAATGAAGCTGTGAGGTCAAACCCTCTCACAGAAGTGACAGAACCGAGAATGAACCCAGAATTCTGATTCCAAATACCAAGGACTTTGAGGTTTTTAATAAAAGTAATGCATATCCAAAGTTTAGAAGTAAATAACTGAATGAATTTTATGGCATAAGACAACAGGCCCTGCTCACTCTTCCTTCCCTTTATATGGTTTTGCTGTATCCCCCCAAATCTAATCTTGAATTCCCACATGTTGTGGGAGGTAATTGAATCATGGGGGCTGGTCTTTCCTGTGCTGTTCTTGTGATAGTGAATAAGTCTTATGAAATCTGATGGTTTTAAAAATGGGAGTTTGCCTGCACAAACTCATTTTGCCTGCTGTCATCCATGTAATATGTGACTTGCTCGTCCTTGCTTTCTGCCATGATTGTGAAGCCTCCCCAGCCATGTGAAACTGTAAGTCTATTCAGCATTTTTCCTGTATAAATTGCCCAGTCTCGGATGTGTCTTTATTAGCAGTGTGAAAATGAACTAATACAGTAAATTGGTACTGGGAGTGGGGTGCTGCTGAAAAGATACCCAAAAATGTGGAAGCAACTTTGGAACTGGGTATCAGACATGTTGGAACAGTTTGGAGGGCTCAGAAGAAGACAGGAAAATGTGGGAAAGTTTGGAACTCCATAGAGACTTGTTGAATGGCTTTGACCAAAATACTGATAATGATATGGACAATGAAATCCAGGCTGAGGTGGTCTCAGATGGAGATGAGGAACCTGTTGGGAACCAGAGCGAAGGTGACTCTTGTTATGTTTTAGCAAAGAGACTGGTGGCATTTTGCCCCTATCCTAGAGATTTGTGGAACTCTGAACTTAAAGAGATGATTTAGGGTATCCGGCGGAAGAAATTTCTAGCAGCAAAGCATTCAAGAGGTGACTTGCGTGCTGTTAAAGGCATTCAGTTTTAAAGGGGAAACAGAGCATAAAAGTTTGGAAAATTTGCAGCCTGAGAACGCAATAGAAAAGAAAATCCTATCTTCTGTGGAGAAATTCAAGCCAGCTGCAGAAATTTGCATAAGTAATGAGGAGCCCAATGTTAATCCCCAAGACAATGGGGAAAATGTCTCCAGGGCAGGTCAGAAGTCTTCACAGCAGCCCCTACCATCACAGGCCTGGAGGCTTAGGAAGAAAAAGTGGTTTTGTGGGCCTGGCCCACGGTCCCCATGCTGTGTGCAGCCTAGGGACTTGGTGCCCTGCATCCCAGCTGCTCCAGCCATGGCTGAAAGGGGCCAACATAGAGCTCAGGCTGTGGCTTCAGAGGATGCAAGCCCCAAGCCTTGGCAGCCACGTGGTGTTGAGCCTGTGAGTGCACAGAAGTCAAAAATTGTGGTTTGGGAACCTCTGCCTAGATTTCAGAAATTGTATGGAAATGCCTGGATGTCCAGGCAGAGGTGTGCTGCAGGGGTGGGGCCCTCATGGAGAACCTCTGCCAGGGCAGTGTGAAAGGAAAATGTGGGGTTGGAGCACCCACACAGAGTCCCTACTGGGGCATCACCTAGTGGAGCCGTGAGAAGAGGGCCACTGTACTCCAGACCCCAGAATGGTAGATCCACTGACAGCTTGCATCATGCACCTGGAAAAGCTGCAGACACTCAATGCCAGCCCATGAAAGCAGCCAGGAGGGGGGCTGTGCCCTTCAAAGACACAGGGGTAGAGTTGCCCAAGACTAGGGGAACTCACCTCTTGCAACAGCATGACCTGGATGTGAGACATGGAATCAAAGGACATCATTTTGGAGCTGTAAGATTTGACTGCCCTGCTGGATTTTGGGCTTGCATGGGGCCTGTAGCCCCTCTCTTTTGGTCAATTTCTCCCATTTGGAATGGCTGTATTTACCCAATGCCTGTACCTCCATTGTATCTAGCAAGTAACTAGCTTGTTTTTGATTTTACAGGCTCATAGGTGGAAGGGACTTGCCTTGTCTTAGATGAGACTTGGGACTGTGGACTTTTGTGTTAATGCTGAAATGAGTTAAGACTTTGGGGGACTTTTGGGAAGGCATGATTGATTTTGAAATGTGAGAACATGAGATTAGGGAGGGGCCAGGGGAATGATTATGGTTTCACTATGTCCCCACCCAAATTTTATCTTGAATTCCCACGTGTTGTGGGAGGGACACGGTGGGAGGTAATTGAATCATGGGGGCCGGTCTTTCCCGTGCTGTTCTTGTGATAGTGAATAAGTCTCACAAGATCTGATGATTTTTAAAACAGGAGTTTCCCTGCACATGCTCTTTCTCTTTGCCTGCCACCATCCATGTAAGATGTGACTTGCTCCTCTTTCCCTCTGCCATGATTGTGAGGCCTCCCCAGTCATGTGGAACTGTAAGTCCATAAAACCTTTTTCCTGTATAAATTACCCAGTCTCGGGTATGTCTTTATCAGCGGCGTGAAAATAGGGTAATACACCCCTCATTCCTTTTTCCAGAAACAAGTACTTTCATTTGTTTAGCTATTTCTTATGATTTTAACATTTATATTTCTAAAGGAACATTTGTAACTTCTCAGTGTTTTGTTATCCATTTTACATACTGACCTTCTACTACGGAGATGAGGACTAAACTCTCCTTCTTATATGTATATACACACATATACATTCTTCCTCTCTCTCCAGATATCTAATGCAATTCAAGCACAATTTAAGTAAATATTTGGCATTTACAACATTATAACTAATAACTAATACATTTTTATTTAAAGCTGAGCCATATAGTGCATTTGAATTAAATTTCCTTCCTGGTGTACCTTTTTCTATTTCTTAGAGTTAATAACTGGCTTGTATAAAAAAGGCTTATCTTTTGTAGATGTACACAAATATTTATGGATGAAATTATAAGGTATCTGGGATTGACTTCAAAATACCCTGGAAGGGCTCCTGGCTATGATAGAGTCGCAGAGGCTGAATCTACACTCCCAACTTAAACAACTAGAGAGCTGGCCAAGTTATAGGGAACAGCTATTCACAGACAGGCAACAGATGGCACAGGACCATGAATAAATGAAGCACAACCACAGTTGCCTTTGATTGGTGCCTGGAGGCAATTTTAAGGCTGCAGATCAAGCAGGGGAAACCCAAACAGAGTCCGCAGGTCTAGATGAGCTGAGGAGACAGACAATGAACTGAGACAACTAGAATTTATGAGACAGAATACTGAAGAGGAAGCCGAGGTAGAGAGACAAAGAACACTAGATAGCAACAGAAGGGCTTCCATAAGTCTTTGAGTGATGATCTGTGCATACAGAGAGGAAACTATCAGAGCAGGAAAAGAGGCACGATACAGTAGTTCCAAGCAATTCCCAAAGTTCACAAACAGCCAGGAATATTTCATCTTCCCTCTGGTGTGTGATAGATCAGCTAGAGTCCTGTGATGGATATTGCCGGTATTGGTCCTTTCTCACATTGCTATAAAGAAATACCCGAGACTGGGTAATTTATAAAGGAAAGAGGCTTAATTAGCTCATGGTTCCACAGGCTATACAGGAAGCATGATGCTGGCATCTGCTCAGCTTCTGTGGAGGCCTCAGGAAACCAAATCATGGCAGAAGGAGAAGGGGAAGCAGGCATGTCTCACATGCCAGGAGCAGGAGCAAGTGGAGTTGGTGGGGGGTGGGTGGTTTTAAACAAACAGATCTTGCGAGCACTCACTCGCTATTGTGAGGACAGTACCAAAGGGGATGGTGCTGAACCATTTATGAGAAATATCCCCCATGATCCAATCACTTCCCACCAGGCCCCACCTCCAACATTGAGGATGACAATTCAACATGAGATTTGGTGCACATGGACCCAAACCATATCACTGCCTTAATAGTGGGAATACATGAACTCTGGACTTAACCATGACAAGGGCTAAAAACCAAGTCTCAACAAATCTGTAGAGACAGAAAGTCTCTATGGCTGGGGTGGAGGTAGGCAGGAACATGAAGTTTTGGGGCAGTGACTATAAGCAGATACAAGATTTTTGGAGGAGTAATAAAATTTTTCAAAAATTAGATTATAGTTATGATTGCACAACTCTGTCAATATACTAAAGTGTTCACTTTAAATGGGTGAACTCTAGAATATGTAAATTATATCTCAAGCTGTTAAAAGAAAAAATAAAGCCTTACACAATTCAACTGATCCCAACTGACCTCACAGCGTGCCAGAACAAAATCCAAAACTATTTACAAGTATCTAACAAAATCCAGCACCCAATAATGTAAAACTGCAATGTATGCATGCAATAAAAAATCCCCAGGCATGCAAAGAAGCAGGAAAAGATGACCCATATGCATAACAAAAGTTCATCAACAGTAACTGACCCGGAAATGACAGAAATGAAAGAATTCACAAGTGACGACATTGCAACAACACATATGCATTGCCATATACCAAAACTGGAGGAAAAAATAGGAACATGACAGTGAGAGAAACGGAAGACAGAAAAAGGAAACACGCCACTTCCAGTTTCAGTCCCAACATGTTAAGAGCTGGGAAGTTGGTGCTCTCACTCATAGGACAAGGAAAAAGTTGAGAAAACTGAAAATCAGTGTCTTTTCTTGGACCCATCCGAGAACTGAGACCACAAAGCCAACCACTACCTCCAAATCTGGAAAGACAAGCTCATCTATAGCGTCACAGCTGTGACCTGCTTATCTGGAGTTAGAAGCTGCTGGAACCATAACCAGTAAGAAACCTTCATGGTCATTTTGATGAATTGCTGAGGGCTGAAAGTAGACTCGCATAACTTGCCCTGTAAGAAATGTTAGAAGTTCAGGAAGAAACTAAGGGCCTATAGTCTTAGGGAGTCCCTCACACTTTGTTTGGTTTTACCTATAGCAACCTCACCAGATGATCATGATAGAGAGATAAGAAAGATCCCCTAGTGGCTCTGGGAGAAAGAGTAGAAAAGCAAGCATTGTGTAAGTCTGAAGCATCTGCATGACCTTATCCCCTTCCCCAGCACACCACCAGAGGGAAGACATTTTCCTGGCTCCAGCCCCCTCAGTCTTTCCTGTCTCACTTGAGGGAAGTGAGGAGAAGCTAAGAAACACTTGTGAAGGTCACAGCCTGGAGACAGAGAAGACTGGGAATACATTAAGTCTATCATAGCCAGAAGCCCTTCCAGAGTATTTTGAAGCCAATCCCAGATAACATATAATTTCATCCATAAATATTTGTGTGCATCTCCAAAAGATGAGTCCTTTTTATACAAGCCAACTATTAACTCTAAGAAAAACAAAAAGTTACACAAAGAAGGAAATGTATTTAATTCAAATGCACTATATGGCTCAGCTAAATATAAAAATTATTAGTTATTAATGTTGTAAATGCCAAATATTTACTTAAAATTGTGCTTTAATTGCATTAGATAACTAGAGAGAGGAAGCGTGTGTGTGTGTGTGTGTGTGTGTGTCTCTGCACATGCATGTGTGTAAGGAGAGTTGGGTCATCATCTCCATAGTAGAAGGTCAATATATAAAAGGGGATAAAAGGGAAATAAGTATAGCCACCAAAGTCATTTTAAGTATAATTGATATGTTAAGAGAGGAGATAAAATAGAGTAAGAGAAAATGATTAATCAAAACCAGAGAAAGGAGAAAAAGGGAAGGGAGGGAAACAAGCAATTCAGCAGTGAATGGAAAACACTTGCAAACATGGCTGATATTAATCCAACTATACTAATAAGCACTTAAAATGTGAATGGACTAAAAACATCTATTAGAGATTGTCAGATGGATTTTTTAAAAGGATCCAAATATATGTTGTCTACCGGAAACCCACTCTAATTATAAAAACAGAGACAAGTTAGTTAAAAGTAAGTGAATGGAGAAAGATATACCTTGCTAACACTAACTAAAAGAGAGCTGGGATAGCTGTATTGCTTTGAGACAAACCAGACTTCAGAACAAGGAAATTTAACAAGGAAAAAGAAGGGAATACATATGGTAAAGGGATCAATTCATCACCATATATAAGCATAATATGAAAGAACTGCAAGGAAAAATATACACAATATTTTTTACAATATATGCAAATTCAATATAAACAAATCCACTACTATAGTTGGAAACTCCAACAGCCCTCCTTCAGTAATTCATAGATCAAGCAGGCAAGAAATCAGTAAGAACATAGTTGGCCTGAATAGCACTCTCAATCAACTTGATCTAACAGTTACAGAATAATCTCTTCTACAAGTACAGAATATAAAATCATCTCAACTTTGGTTGAAACATTCACCAAGATAGGCCACATAACGACAAACTTAATAGCCGGGTGTGGTGGCTCATTCCTGTAATCCCAGCACTTTGGGAGGCTGAGGCAGGCGGATCACGAGGTCAGGAGTTCAAGACCAGCCTGGCCAACATAGTGAAATCCCATCTCTACTAAAAATACAAAAAATTAGCCGGGCATGGTGGCAGGCATCTGTAATACCAGCTGCTTGGGAGGCTGAGACAGGAGAATTGCTTGAAGCCAGGAGCCAGAGGTTGCAGTGAGCCAAGATCGTGCCATTGCACTCTAACCCCAGGTGACAGTGTGAGACTCCGTCTCAAAAAAAAAAAAAAAAAAAAAAAAAAAAGACAAACTTAAAATAATAGCAATTATAGAAAATATGCTCTCAGATCACCATAGAATTAAACTAGAAATCAATAAAGGGAAATAAACAGAATATAGCGTAATATATTCAGATTAAATAACACATTTCTAAACAACACATGGGACAATGAAGTCTCAAGAGAATGGTAAAAATATTCTGAACCACATGAAAATGAAAATACAACTTATCCCAATTTGTATAATGCAGTTAAAGTAGTGCCTAAAGGGAAATTTATACTATTAAATGCATATATTAAAAAAGGAATAAAGACCTAAAATTAATAATCTAAACTTCCACCTTAGGATACTAAAGAAAAATGAGTAACTTAAGGCCAAAGCAATCAGAAAAAAATGATAATAAAAAATAGAGCAAAAGTCAGCAAAAATGAAAACAATAGAAAACATTTTATGAAACCAGAAGCTGGTTCTCTGAAAACATCAATCTAATTGACAAACAGCTAACCAGACTAACCAAGAAAAAAAAGAAAACATGAAAATTACCAATATCAGAAATGAAAGAGCAGTCTCACTACTGATCCCATGGACAGTAAAAGCATCATAAAAGAATGCTGTGAACAACTCTATGCCCATAATTTTGGTAACTTAGGTGAAATGAATGAATCCCTTGAAAGACAAACTACAAAAATTCACACAACGTGAAGGAGATAACCTAAATAAACCATATCTATTAAATAAACAATCTATAATTGGTACCCTTCCAAGAAAAGAAAGCCCCAGACTCAGATCATTTTACTGGTGAATTTTAGTAAACGTTTAAGGAAGAAATAATACCAATTTTCCATAATCTCTTCTAGAAAATAAACGCAGAAAGAATACTTCCTAACTCACAGGACCAGTATAACTGTAATATAAAAAACAGATAAAGAAAATACAAGAAAGGAAAACTAGAGACCTATATCTCACATGAACATAGATGAACAAATCCTGAAAAATATATTTACAAATTAAATCCAATAATTTATAAAAAGAATGATACACCATGACCAAGTGGGATTTATCCCAGGTATGCAAGGCTGGTTCAACATTCTGAAATCATTTAATGGAATACATCACATCAACGGGCTAAAGAAAAAATCCTATCAATTGATACAGAAATGTATTTGATGGAATTCAATATACACATACGATAAAATCTCTCAGCACACTATAGAGAGGCACTTCCTCAACTTTATAAAAAATACATAAAAAACCTATAGCTAATCTCATACTTAAATAATGAGAAATTGGATGCTTCCTCTTCAGATCAAGAATAAGGCAAAGATGTCCTCTTACAACTTCTATTCAATATCATATGGGAATCCTAGCTAGTGTAATAACACAAGAAAAGGAAATAAAATGTATACAAATTGGAAAGGAATAAATAAAACTGTCTTTGTTCTCAGATGACATAATTGTCTATATAGAACATCTCAGAACTGACCAAAAACAAACAAACAAAAAACCCCCAAAACTAATTGGTGAGGATAGTAAGGTTGCAGGATACAAGGTTAATATTCAAAAATTGATTGCTTTCCTATATAACAGAAATAAATGACTGGAATTCGAAATGTTAAAAATACCATTTAAAATACCACCAAATTAATATAATTTAGGTTTAAATCTAAAAATATGTACAGGATCTGTATGCAGAAAGCTATAAAACTCTGATGAAGGTAATCAAAAGATCTAGACAAATGGAGGAGTAATATTTCCTATTCATGATTTGGAAGATTCAATATTGTGGAGATGTCAATTCTTCCCAACCTGACCTATAGAATCTATAGGTCTATAGAATATCAATCAAAATTCTAGCAAGTTATTTTTCAGATATTGACAAACTGATCCTGAAGTTTATATGGAATGCCAAAAGATCTACAGAGTCAACACAGTACTAAAGAAAAACAAAGTTGGAGAACTCATACTAATTTCAAGACTTACTATATAGCTACAGTAATCAAGATAGTGTGGTATTGGTGAAGGAACAGGTGCATAGATCATTGGAACAGAACAGAGAGCCCAGAAATAGACCCACACAAATATAGTTAACTGACCTTTGACAAATTCCAATTATAAGGACATTCTAGAAAAGGCAAAACTATAGAGATAGTAAAATGATCAGTGACTGCCAGGGGTCCAGGTGGAGGAGGTAAAAGATTGAACGTGTGGAGCACAGGAAGTTGTTTAGGGTAGTAAAACTACTTTGTATGATAGTGTAATTGTGGATACATGGCACTATATGCTTATCAAAATGATTGTGTATCATTTTATACAAATTTGTATCATATTATACAATCATTTTAACAAATACATAATGCCATGTCAATGCAAAATTGACTTTATCATATGCAGATTAAAAACATCATTTAAGAAATCCAGAGAATTCCAGGAAGCAATGCAGAATGTGTCAAAATAATCTAACTGCATTTCAAATGTAAGAAACAACTTTACTGAAAAGGCTGGAAGAAAAAGATGCTGACCTAAGTAACTTTGGAAATGAGTGAAGTCTTTAAATGCAAAAGAAACTGCACATAAGTACTCTACTCTACTGAGAAAGTTGTTTCCCACATGGGTCCAGGTTATCAAAACCCTGATAATGCTCCACATATGTACTGGAACTGACCACATAAGTAAATGGCTGGGAAATGATGGGAGCCACGATTTTCACTGTTGGAATGGAGAGGAGAAGGGCCAGGTGTGGTGGCTTACACCTGTAATCCAAGCACTTTGCAAGACCAAGGCGGGAGGATCATTTGAGTCTTGGAGTTTGAGACCAGCCTGGACAACATAGTGGGAACCCATCCCTGCAAAACCAAACAAACAAACAAACAAACAAAAACTAGCTGGGTGCAGTGGCATGCACCTGTAGTCCCAGCTACTTGGGAGGTTGAGGTATGAGGATCACTTAACTTGGAAAGTCAAGGCTGCAGTAAACTGTGATTGTACACTGCACTCCAGCCTGGGTGACAGAAATAAGACCATGTCTCAAAAAAATAATAAAAAAGAAAACGGGAGAAAGCCAGAATGATCCATGGGGCAATGGATTCATGTTGGAGACATCAGTAAATTCATATTTAGCATAATATAGACACAGATTATTACATTGAAAATATTAACGGACATGTGTATATAAACAGGTTAGTATGTACATGTATATTTTCTTGCTCTGTCAGCTTAGAGGCCTAGAAGTAACAATACTCCAGTAGCAATAAGCACAACTAGGGCTCAGAGTTTAGTTTCTAATACCATTCTCCAACAAAAGGAATCAGACTCCTTGGAGAAATGTCTGATTCTAGGACTGGGACAGGGAATATAAACGATGCGAATCTTTTCTAGTGCTCATCTTTTATAATGCTCACCTTTTAGACCACCTTCTAGTGCCAGAAAATAAGGAAGTACTCGGAAAAACATAAAAATCTGCACTGACGGGGTTATGTTAAAGGGATATGGGAGACAACAGAAAGAGCTCCCAATGTTGAAAGCTGGAACAATTAGAGCAACAAATTATTATTGGATTATAACTCAAAGTATAAAATAAATATCCATGAGTCTATACCGATAGAAATAAATAATTGAAAAAATAAATGGAAAAGAGATCATCTCCCATGCAGAATTCCAAATAATCTATGTAGACACTTTGCCCTCAAGGAGGTAGACTTATGTCCCCATTCCTTAAATGTGTGCTGCTCATAGTGACTTCCTTACAAAGACTGCAGTGTGGAAATCTGGGGGAGTCGTAAGCACAAAGCTGTCCCCAACTGACCCCTGCCAGGTTTGACCTCACTCCCAAATTCCCACGGCAGGATTTTCGTATGTGCGTCTCACACCTTGCATTTACCAATTATTTATTTTTGTGTTAGTCAACGCAACTAGATCGAACTCCTTAAAGACAGAATACACAGGGAGCCGAGCCCCTGCTTGTAAGTAACAAACCCCAAACTTGAGCTCAAGTCCTCTCAAGCCAAGTTCCTTGGAGCTTCTCTCTCATGAGTAGGCTTCTGTGTGAAGATACAGCCCTTCAAGAAAACAGCCTTCACCTAGAATGGCAAAAGGAATGAAAGAACACTTCATTCTCACATTGCTGTAAGGAAATACATGAGACTGGGTAATTTATAAAGAAAAGAGGTTAAATTGACTCACAGTTCCACATGACTGGGAAGGCCTCAGGAAGCTTACGATCATGGCAGAAGGCGAAGCGGAAGAACAGCACCTTCTTCACAGGGCAGTGGGAAGGAGAAGGACTGCCAGCAGGGGAAATGCCAGATACTTATAAAACATCAGATCTCGTGAGACTCACTCACGAGAACAGTACAGGGGAAACCGCCCCCATGATCCAATTACCACCACCTGGTCCTGCCCTTGACACGTGGGGATTATAAGGATTACAATTCAAGGCAAGATTTGGGTGGGGACACAGAGCCAAACCATATCAGATGGATTTTTGTAAAGATGTTAAAATATAATAAAATAAATAAGCTACCTTATTGCACACCAACATTTCATCAGACATTACAGACATAATATCTAGTATCTTCACTCTTTACAACGTCCCTACTGTAAAGTACGACATTAGGATCTTTGTTTTACAGATAAAGAGACTGAAGTTTAGAGTGGTAAAATGACTGCTAAAAAGTTGTAGAGCCACAGTTTAAACCTGGTCTATCTGATTCCAGAAACACAGGCTTTCCCCAACACATCTTGGCATTTTTTTGTGCAGTGAGTTTACAAAAGGTAAATCAGCAGTTAGTCTTTCTCTGTCTATTAACATAAGGAGTTATTATTAGGTTCAAATGCTAGATTTTGAGCAGCTTGGGCACCTCCTGCTGTTGCTAACAGCCTCTTCAATCAGGCTTCAGCCTATAATTTTAAGCCATTTTTTGAAATTTTTGCATGCAATCTACTTTCAACTATGCATAATTCTATCAGAGCCCCTGTAGAAGCAGGAAATTATCAGAAATGCAGACAATTACCTTAAAAAGGTAGAGAAGAACATAGATGTGGTGGACTTTACAGATTCAATTATATCTACTTGCCCAAGAACTTATGGCCCTTAAGTAGTGGAGCAGGATTTGAACTCCAGTCTGCTTATTCCCAAGACCATGCATGCTCCACTCTGCTGTCCTGTGTGTAAAAATCACTCCACTTTCTCTGTTCTCACTCGAGGCCCACTGGACCTTCTGATGGATGGGAAAACTGGCGCCATCATCTCTTCTCTCCTGCATTCAAACTGCTTACCTGCACCTTTCTACCAATGCAGTCATGCAGTCAAGTGGCAGCTGAAAACGGTGCACAGCTGCTGTCCCCTGGGAGAAGTGCAACCCCAGCGAAGGTACTTGTTGGGGTGCTGCATGCATGCTGATGGGAAACTGCAAATAAGACTTGGTCTTCTGGTTGCCCATGGAAAAGGGACATCCATGGCAGATAAGCATTTTAGTTAGAAGACTCAGGTTCAAATTGAGGATTCCTCCCATATAGGTGGTTTCATCATAGGCAAATTATTTAAACTCTGAGTCTCAGCTTCCTTGGCAGTAAAATGGGAATAGGGATACTCACCTTGCTGGGGTACTAGTGATCATTAAAAAGTAGGTTAAAGTTGTTGGAAGGGTCTAGCAGCAACTCTCATATGACAGATGTTTGATTTTTTATCAGTCATCGCTTTTTTCCCTTGCTGGTGAGAGGACTCTCATCCTAATCATCCCCTACTGTCAGAGAATACCCATTGTAATTGTATTATTTGCCCGGCTGACACCATGATGTGGCCCAGCCCCAGTGAGATATTACTGGCCTCAGGCACTGCTGTGTGGATGGGAAGGGTCAGCATTTACACAAGCTCTTGGTAAAACACAAGCACTTGTATGGAGTCTGTTTATAGGTAACTGTGTGAGGGCTGTTATGTGTCCATGGATCAAGGCCAGGAGAAAGGATAAGGTTTGTGGGCCATGAAGTGTGAATCCTGATTTTGCCATTTATGAGCTTTATGATCTTGTAAAAATCACTTCAGTTTTCCATACCATTGAATTTCCTCATTTGTAAAATGGGAAGATAACCCTGATTTGAACTGGTGACGGTAGACCCCAGGGGCTGACACATGTTTTGGCAACTGGAGCGATAGAGGGCGAATCTCTCTATTGAACACCACACAGGGAACAAAACGTAAGACGTAATTTCAAATAAATGCTTCCTACATAAAGCAAACATGGGTTTTGTAATAAACAGCTTTGTGCAAAACACATTTATTTTTTAAAATTCCCTTTATAAAAATAGAATATGTAACAAATACAAAACATAAGAGTAGAGAATCTGGCTGTCACCACACAGACCATAGCTTCTGCAGCAGAGGATGGGGTGTGGATTGCAGGGTGGGGGTCTCCTCCAGGGCCCTGGGGAGGTGGGGCTGAAAGAAGGAGTGTTTATGTCCTTGTGATATGGAAGAGAGTGGGCCATCTGGAAATTCATGAGACAAGATTAAACCGAGTCCCTGCAAGTTGGCATGCGCTACGGGGTCTGTGCCTTCTGCATGTGCAATTTATATTTGCGAGTTGTGCATTATAAACACACAAACACCGGCGGGCAGGAGAAAATCATCCCTTCTCTCTTCAGATGCTCCCGCAGGTCTTTCCCTTGGGCTAGTCCATGCCCAAGGCCCTCATGGCCTTTTTGGCATTCAAAAAGTTCTTCTTTTTCCTGGGAGGAACGTGCAGTGAGATCTCTGGCTCCTTTGGATTTCTGAATATAAAGAGCTTCTCTCCTGTGTTTAATAGATCAATGGTTTCTGCCCCTACAATGGGTACAGGGGCCAGTTCGCCAATGGGCTCCAGTGACAGGTGTGGCCAACTTCCTTTTCCAGAGAATATCATCCTCTCTCTGAGAGGGAGACATGTCTTCTTTAATATGCTAAAGAAATAGCAAAAGATCAAATTCAATATTTTTGGCAATGAACCCTCTGGAGTGTTCTGAGTTCTCCAAGAGAATCCCTCCTTGGGTCCTGAATTCCCCAACCCAGTGCCATTTTAACAAAAGGTTATTTTCCCCCTTGGTCACCAGATTGCTGTAAAATTAGCTGAAGCCTGTAACAGTGGTGTGCTGTAGTCAACTCTTCCTGGCTCATGACCATTCCATTTTCAGGAGTTTTTTGTTTTGTTTGAGATGGAGTTTCGCTCTTGTTGCCCAGATGCAGTGCAATGGCACAACCTCGGCTCACTGCAACCTCCACCTCCCAGGTTCAAGTGATTCTCCTGCCTTAGCCTCCTGAGTAACTGGGACGACAGGCGCGTGCAACCATGCCCAGCTAATTTCTTTTAATAGAGACGGGGTTTCACCATGTTGGCCAGGATGGTCTTGGTCTCTTGACTTCATGATCCGCCCACATCGGCCTCTCAAAGTGCTGGGATTACAGGCATAAGCCACCAAACCCGGCCCATTTTCAGGAGTTTTGCGAGCCCACTGTCATCATGTTGTTAGTGTGACATCAGATCAGCCATGGTGGGAATATTTACACCATGGAAACTGGCAAATGCTACAAATCAGAAACCACTGCCCCCCTCCCCACAAGCCAATTGTTAAACATTTATGAGTACACCTATGAGCCTCACTCTAAAAGCAGGCTAATGAAACCTGGTTACAAGGCAACAGTTAGAAGTCAGGCAAAATGCGTTTGCCATAGAAGAGTGTGGCACACTTTGAGAATGTCCCATAAAAAAGCTGCTGGAATCCTGGCCATGGGCAGTCCAACCCCTGACTCCCAGGCTGCTCTTGATAATGATCGTGACGACCACCAAGAGCCCTATACATCCTGAAAGCCACAGCGCTCTCTCTCTGCCCAAGCAGGGCAGGACAAGGCCATGTCACTGGGGATGCACCTGCTGCATGTCAACGGCAGGCTTGCTGACCCTCCCAGAAGGCATGTGGTAGATTCCACTCCATTGCCATCACCACTAATTACTGCCCTTGGAGCTACTAAGTCTGCACAAGGATTCAAACCCAGCTCTGTGTCTCCACCATGGTGCCTCTAGGCAGAGCAAAGGCCCGCAGAGTGAGCCAGGACAGTGGGACCATCATGTCTCTTGATCTGTATCCACTCCACTTCTATTAGTGCAGCCTAGGAATGTTCCTAATGGAATATTTTAGAGTTCTATAGAATGAATTTAATTTTCTTTTTCTAGGATTGCATGTACTTCTCTTGGCCAATATCCTGATCTAACTTATCTGAGACTATATTGTGATAACCAGGCTACTAATGGTTCCAAGCGCTTTATCATGAGTAATCTATGAAGCTCGGTCTCAGCACCTTCAACTGAGCTCTGAGAAATTGTGGAAGGGGCAGGACTGAGGTAGACATGTCCGTTGAACAGCCACTGTTTCTGGACTACACACTGATATCACTGTTTAACCCCTTATGAATCTACCTGATGTTGCTTTTTGTTTCCACATCTTCTCTAGCTGGAATCACAGAAGACATTGGACAATGGTTTGCAGCAATTTGAGACCACTCTGCCCCTCACTTCCCTCTGTCTGTAGGTGTGTGATAGCCACAGCCAAGGAAAAAGGCATTGGGGTGAAGGTAAAGAGCGCAAGCCTGGAAGTTTAAGAAAATAAAGGGGGCAGTGAGGCAGCCCCAAATCTCATGACCACTGTTTACCAGCTGTTGGCCTGGGGCCTCTTCTGACCTCCCTGAGCTTCCATTTTATCATCCCCACTTTCTGGAAGGCTCAATGCAGCAAGACATGAAAGGGCTTTGTGAACAGTAGCTATAAGGAATTCTTCTAATTACATTCCATTAAAAATAGCCATTAGCTAAAATAAATACAGAATGTAAATGTTAATAAATGTTGAGAACATTCTCTCACTGCTAGCCACAAGCTCATCTTCAGCTTCTAAACTCAGCCCACTGAATAAAGATTTGTGGTCTTCAGGGTCACAAATCTTTGTCTGTTTGCAGCAACCTCCTTTCCTTGTCACCTCCTGCCTCCCCAGCCTGGCCCACAGGCAGCTTAGCTCACCCCCTCCCCAGCCACATGAGCAGGTGCCCATCATTACCTCTGCTTTCTCTTGCGGGCCCACAGCATCTTTTCTAATCCTCTGCTTATCAGATCTCCTCGCAGTTTGCCATCTAAGGCTTGCCACCAGCTCTGGTGTTTCCTGCAGGCAAGAAGGGAGTCTTATAGTTTCAAAAATACGCCTGTAATCCCACTGTAATCCCAGCACTTTGGAAGGCAGAGGCGGGCAGATCACCTGAGGTCAGGAGTTCAAGACCAGCCTGGCCAACATGGTGAAACCCAGTCTCTACTAAAAAATACAAAAATTAGCAGGGCGTGGTAGTGGGCACCTGTAATCCCAGCTACTCCGGAGGCTGAGGCAGAAAGAATCGCTTGAACCCAGGAGGCGGAGGTTGCAGTGAGCTGAGATCACGCCATTGTACTCCAGCCTGGGCGACAGAGTGAGACTCCATCTCAAAAAAAAAAAAAAAAAGAATAGAATCTTTAAGTGATGAGTAATCCTACCCATCTCTCAATGCCACCTTTGGTTGCCACTAGGAACCCCCATCCCCAGAGTGTTCACCATTTATTCTTTCACTCATTCACTGCACATCCATCAAACGCCTTCTGCAGCCTCATCAAGATGCAACCTCTGCCCTCAAGGGGCCAAGTCTATGGGATCACAGACAGAAGAAGGCTGACGGGTTGGGGGAGTCATTTGAGCAAAGGGAGCCCTTGGGGCACTCACGAAGGAATGGGATCTGTGCACTGACTTATATACTGGCTGCCTCCCCCACTGGGATGAATGCTCTACGCAAGCAGGGCTTTGTCTCTTACCCTCCACGTAGCCCTAGTACCTAAGAGAGAGGACACAGTGGGAGCTCCACAACTGCTTTATGCATATACAAATACAGAAGTTGGGAAAGTACAGGCGAAGCCTGGAAGGTGGGCTAGGCAGGGAGCCCTAAAGCCATGAAGGTGCGTGGTCCTAGACTGAAGGAGAGGGCGTTGGAGAGTGTTGCCCGGGACAGTGGGAGGTGTCAAGTCAAGCCAATAAAGGATGTGCTAGATTCATTCCCCCTGCCTTGGCGGCTCACACCTGCCCAGGTGGTGGTGGAGATGGAGCCTCTTCCACACTGGGCCAGGCAGGCTCTCTCCCAGGAGTCTAACTCCTGGAGCAGAGAAGGGCGGTCTTCTGAAGGCAGCACCCGAGAGGATGCCCAGAGTGCTTCCCTGGCCCTGCCCTTCCTGAGGCCTGAACACTGGCTCTTTCCTGGATTTTGACATGGCCCTCAATACACCCCATTCTTGCTTGGATTAATTATTCAGTTCCCATTGCTTGAAACCCAAGACTCATAACTGATGTAATGGCCGGATGCTAGCTGCTGGGGACACAAGAATAGTGCATGCCCTGCCCTCAGAGATTGGGTTAGTGGCCTGGGACTCCAGAGTCATCCAGGCTGCCTGGCCATGAGGCTGGGCAAAGAAAGGCCATGCTCATGCCCATGGTGACATTGACCTGAAGCCCTCTTGCCTCGTCCCAGCTTGGCCTGTCCATCTCTCCCCACTGGCCTCCCAAACTAAGCTGGCTGAAGGGGAAGCACCAAAAACAAGGTCCACAGGGGTGGTAGGCAGGCAGAAGTGGCCTCCCCGCAGCCACACACGTTCCTACTCCAGAGTCACCTTGAATACTTGCCACCTGCATGTCCGTGCACGCAGGCAGGCAGCACACTGGGAAAACCAGGCTGTGAAACCTGGTTTTATTTTTAATATTATTAATAATAGTAATATGATTGGCTCCTAATATTCCATGGAGGAGCGTAGCATAGAGCATGTAACTGTCATCCTGTCACTGGACATTCCGTTTGGCAGAGGTGGCCTCCTTCTGGCTCCCTCTTGTTCCTCTGACCAGCCCACACCCAGCCCTCTGACCACGCCAACAACCAGACCTCTGACCCCCTAACATGCAGCCAGCCCTCTGACTGCGGTCCACAACCCACTTCCTGACTATACTGGGCCCCAAGGCCACTAGGAAGGCTCTTCGACACTGTGGCCTCCTGCCCACACCCGCAGATGTTCCCTCTTCCCCACCCTCCCCCTCACCCTGGTCAGACTCTATTCACCCTCAGCAGCGCTTCTTGGATTTTGGGGTCAGATACTCTGATAAAAAGTATCTCTGATAAGGAAAACATTACCCCTTTTCTCAGGACAAATGCTATCTACACAGTCATGATGGTTCAGCAGGCTCTCGGGCTCCCAGATGCCCTCCTGGCCTCCTCTGCATCCTTGCTGAGGCTGTGAGCTCTGCATCCTGGTGCAATGTTTTCATCCTGGCCATGGCTTTCCTTGCAGCCTCATTCCCCACCTACTCCATCCTCAAGGGGTACTGCTGGCTGCCCCCCAAACCCGCCTTACTCCACACCCCTTCCTGCCTTTCCCCATAAAAAGCCTTTAATGACCAAATTCACACCTGGGGCCCCATCCTAAAGGAGACTGTCTATGCAGAGTTACCCATAATTTAAAAAAAAATGGGCCCAAACTGAATGTCAAGTGACGGGATGACAGTTACATGCTCTATGCTACACCCCTTAGCATGAGGAGCCAGTAAAAATAATATCCACCTGTGCCACGTGTCAATAACATTGAAAGAATAAAATTTAAATGAATAACACTAGCAGGAAATAGAATCTAAGTAATGGGATAAGAATTACATAGGGGGATGTTTGCATGAGCGTTAAAAGGTAAGGAGCAAAATCGCTTCTGCTGTAAGATTCTGAAATGCAGAATGTAGCAAGGCTGTATCCACAGCGTGCTCACTCCACACTCGACACACAAATACACATATTTACATGCACAACACACTCACACATTTACATACCAACACACAAACACATGCTCCCACACTTGCAGACACACACTTGTAAAACCCAGCAGAGAAACACATTCTGGAGGAAGAAATGTAACAGGATGCTAGCAGTCATTTTTCTAGGTCATAAAACCATGGATATTTCTTTCTCTTCTTCCTCTTTTTATGCATTTTTTTTTTTACGTTTTCTTTAATGGGCATGCATGAAATATTTATGGCTCTGGGTGAACTTATTTTCTTAAGATTCTATTTAAAAAATAAATTGGTAACAAAATTAAAAAGTATGGACAAAATACATGGGCCTCCCATGACCTTGAGGACTCATGGGGACCCTTGTGGACAGGGACGTGCCCCGGGAGGCAGCCCCTCCACGGCACTCACCTCCGCCTGCCCACGTCGGCCTGCTCCGCTCCGCCATCGCTCTCAGCTGCGTGGTCCACATGTCTCTCGGTGGCCGAATCCAGCAGGGCCAGCAGCTGAGGCTGTGAGGCTGTGGGCAGTACCACACTCAGGAGCCGGCGAAGCGTGGCCCCGGGCACCATGGCCATCCTCGCCAGGTACGATGCCAGTCTCAGCTCCTACAGGAAACAACAGAGGGAGTTCAGACCCTCGCCGCCTCTCAACTTGAACCATCATTTTTAATTTATCACATTCTGAGGACATTCTGTCCTGGAGTGATAAATATTTCAGTAGCTTAGTCTGGAAAACATGTTCCCGAACTTTCAGAGCTGTCAAAAAAAACCTATTTGGTCAGCAACCTTGGCTCCCCAGGACGCTTCTAAAGCCTCCATCCATCCCGTCCAACTGCTCTCAAGTCACTGGGGCAGTACCCAAATCCCCACAGCAAAAGCCCTGCAGCAGGGTGATTCAAAATGAATGTACTTTCTCCTCCTCCTCACATTCTGTGAGGCCATTAGGCACCAGGCGAGCAGTGCAGGCTCTGGAAACAACAGAAGTGTCCCTAAACCAGTGGACAATTGAAGACACTGTGCTATACCCATGCCACAGGATACCACTCTGCAGTCAGAAGAAAGAACTGGAAGGATCCCAGGGGCATTATGCCGAGTGGAAACAGCCAGTCTCCAAAGGTCACGTGCTGCGTGATTCCATGCATGTAACCACCTGGGCGTGATGAGACTTGGAACTGGAGAGCGGCAGTGGATGCCAGGTGTGGGGCAGGGGAGGTGGGTGTGGCCTTAAAGGGGCAGCCCAGGGTGGCCTTTGTGGTGGTTGACAGCTCTGTGTCTTGATGGTGCTGCTGGTTACATGAATGTGCATAGGATAAAATGACAGAGAACTATACGTACATTTTATATCGATGTCAACTTCCTGGTTCTGATGCTGTCTGACAGGAACCATTGGGGAAAATTGAGTGAAACTCTCTGAAACTCTATACTAGCTTTGTAACTTCTTGTGAATCTAAAATAACTTCAAAATTAAAAATTTTGGCCAGGCATGGGGGCTCACATCTGTAATCCCAGCACTTTGGACAGCTGGAGAGGAAAAGAGGCCCCAGGACAGAGCTATTGGGTGCCCAAAGGCCATGAGAAGGAGCAGTGTCCAGCCAGGGGCCTGTGCAGGGGCAGGCAGGGGTGGGAGGGAACAAGTCCAGGTGCCGGAAGCCAAGGAGAGAACGTGTTCAGAAGGGTGGGCTGGGGGTTCAGAGACCACAGAGAGGTCAGGAGACACAAACACAGGGACTCGACCCCTTGGAAACATGGGGTCGCTGTGACCTTGGTAAGTGCTTTCAGTGAAGGCACGAGGAAAGGTGCTGTTCCAAATACCAAAGCTCCTTCCACGTCCTGACGCTCCCCATCCATGGCCTCCCTCCACTGTCACACTGAAATACTTGTTCTTCCCTGACCGTCCTGCTCGCCCAGGCCACTGAGCCCTTACCCATGAGCTTCCTTCAGCCTAGAGTACATTTCTCCTAAGCTACTCTCTGTCTCTCTCCAGCGCATTCTTTTGGACTCTACATGAGTCTTCCCTGACCCCATCTTCTGGGTCAGGTGTCCCTCCTCTGATCTCACATTGGTTTTAACCAACTCTGCTGTAACTGTCCCATTTCTAGTGTGCCTCTGGAACTAGGCTCTTAGGATGAAGTCAGTGACACACGCTTCTCTGTCCCCAGCACTTAACCCCATTCCTGGAACAGAGAGGGTGACCAACAGACATTTGTTGGATAAACAGTGACTTCATAAACACCCTGCAGATTCACCTCTTCCTGAGGCAGGGTCTAAACCTTTATAGCTGGGATCCCACCAGTCAATATGGGGACAGGCCAGCTCATTATCACAGCCCTTCCAGCTCCAGTGGTCCCTGATCAGTAATCCTCCAGACAAGTCAATTCACCAGGTCAAGTCTTACTAAAATTGGTGACACAAAAAGCATTCACATGGGTCAAGAGCTTTGAATCTGATGCCACATCTACAGACAGAAATGGACCACAAAGTGTGAAAAGGGAACACTTTTACACTGCTGGCAGGAATGTAAACTAGTTCAACCACTATGGAAAACAGTATGGAGGTTCCTTAAAGAACTAAAAGTAGAATTACCATTCGATCCAGCAGTCCCACTGCTGGGTATATATGCAAGGAAAATAAGTTATTATATGAAAAAGACACATGGACATGCATGTTTATAGCAGCACGATTCACAACTACAAAAATATGGAACCAACCAAAGTGCCCATCAACCAACAAGTGAATAAAGAAAATGTGGTATATATACACCATAGAATACTACTCAGCCATAATATGGAATGAAATAATGGCCTTTGCAGCAACTTGGATGGAGCTGGAGGCCATTATTCTAAGTGAAGAAACTCAGGAATGGAAAACCATATATTGTATGTTCTCACTTATGAGGAGGAGCTGAGCTATGAGGATGCAAAGGCATAAGAATGATAAAATGGACTTTGGGGACTCAGGGGGAAGAATGAGGGGGATGAAGGATAAAAGACTACACATTGGGCCGGGCGTCGTGGCTCACACCTGTAATCCCAGCACTTTGGGAGGCTGAGGCGGGTGGACTGCCTGAGGTCAGGAGTTTGAGACCAGTCTGGCCAACGTGGTGAAACCCCGTCTCTACTGAAAATACAAAAAAATTAGCCGGGCGTGGTGGCGTGTGCCTGTAATCCCAGCTACTCAGGAGGCCGAGGCAGGGGAATCGCTTGAACCAGGGAGGTGGAGGTTGCAGTGAGCCAAGATCGCGCCACTGCACTCCAGCCTGGGTGACAGAGTGAGACTCCATCTCAAAAAAAAAAAAAAAAAAAAGACTATACATTGATACAATGTACACTGTTCAGGTGGTGGGTGCACCAAAATCTCAGAAATCACCAATGAAGAACTTATCCATGTAACCAAAAACCACCTGTCCCCAATTAAAATATAAAAAAAAAATTAAAGAAATGGAACATAAAGCAACACAGGGACACAGCTCTCTAGGCAAAGGAGAGTGACAGAGAGGCCCAGAGTGGCCAGTGGACAGCCTCTCTCCCCACTTCCTCCCTGCTCCTCTCCACAGGATGAAGGAGCAGCAAGAGGAGTAAGGACAAAGAGAGAAATGGAGGACTGAGCTTCCCTGATGATTCTTTTCTCTAGTACAAAAAGAAAACGGCAAAATATGGGGCTTCCTCCAGTCTGGATGTGCTGGTTCATTTTATGTGTCCATTTGGCTGGGCCACTGTGCCCAGATGTTCAGTTGAGCATTCCTCTTGTTGTTTCTGTGGGGGTGTTTTGGGATGAGATTAACATGTAAATTGGTGGACTCTGAGGGAAGTCGATGGCCTGTCATAATGTGGCTGGCCTCAGCCATCAGCTGAAGGCCTGGAGAGAACAAGAAGGCTGACCAGTCCTGAGCAGAAGATAATCCTTTCAGCAGATGGCCTTGGGATTCGAACTGCAACTCCTTCCTGAGTCTCCAGCCTGCAGGCCAACCCTGCAGAATTTGGACTCATCGGCCTCCACAATCACGGCAGCCAATTCCTTCAATAAATCTCTTTCTCTACAGAGATGCATCCTATCAGTTCTGTTTCTCTGGAGGACTCTTATTAATACACAGGAGTTGGGAAGAAAGAAATTCAGCTGAGTAGATATTATTGGGCAGACTATACAAAGCACCAAGTTGGGGACAGAGAAAAAAAACAATCCTACCTGGTGCCTGCTGCCCAGAGCTTCCGGTCTGGCAGTATTTATTCTGCATAGAGCCAATTCTTCAGCAGAGTGCTATTGTTTGAACATTTGTGTCTCTTCCAAAACTCATGTTGAAACTTAACCACAAATGCCACTATTAGGAAGGGGGGCCTGCTGAAGGTGATGAGGTCATAAGGGCTCTGCCTTCAAGAATGGGATTAGTGTCTTATAAAAGGGCTCCAGGGAACTAGCTTAGCCCTTTTTGCCTTCCCATCCCCTCTGCCACATAAGGACCCGGCTTTCCTGTCCTCCAAAGGATGCAGCAACAATGCACCATCTTGGAAGCAGAGAGCAGTTCTCACCAGACACTGCATCTGCAGGTACCTTGATTTCGGACTTCCCAGCCTCCAGAATTATGAGAAAATTGATAAAGAATTTCTATTCTTTATAAATTATCCAGTCTAGGAATTTTGTGTAGTAGCAGAAACAGACTGAGATGCATACAGAGTTCACAATTTAAAAGGGCCCAGAATCTAGAAATGAACCTGGTGAAATTCTGCTGGTGACACTGGCTTTCTGTGAAGTCTCAAAGTGACAAAGATAAAGGTGGGGGAATCAAAGTTGAGAGTGGGAGATGGCTCAGTTACGCAGAGACATAGGCCGGGGTGGTCATCTGCTTCAGATCCTTTACAGTCGGTCAGGAAGAGCAGAGTATGTGCATCACCAAGCTGGGCTGAATCCCAAGCCCCCCACGAGCAGTGGCGGGCCCTCATGCCCTCACCACCTCTCTTTGCCTCAGTCCCTTTATTCATAAAACAGGATAATACTGCCTGTTTCCCATCTTTCTGCAAGGATTAAATGAATAACAGGCATGGCAGGTGTTCAGGAAGTACCAGCTCCTCCCCTGCCCTGTTTGGACACTGTCACTCCAGTGCTAACACTGGCACCTTGTTTGGCACAGTCAACAGAATAATGATCCCTCCCCAAAATGTCCCATCCTGGGACCTGCGAAGATGTCACCTTATAAGGCGAAGGGTACTTTGCAAGTGGGAGTAAGGTCAGGGGCCTTGAGATAGGGTGGGAAAGTGGTTATCTTAGATTATCCAGGTGGTTCCAATATAATTACCATGTGGGTCCTTAAAAGTAGAGACCTTTCCTGCTGTGTTAGGTCAGAGAGAGATGTGAGGAGGATGGAAGAAGGGCCAGAGAGATGCAATTTTGCTGGCTTTGAAGATGAAGAAAGGAGGCCATGAGCCAAGGAATGTAGGTGCCACTGGAAGCCAGCAAAGAAACAAGGACCTCAGTCCTACAACCACAATGGGCTGAACCCTGCCAATTACTTAAGTGAGCAGGAAACAGATTCTCCCCCTAAAGCTTCCGAAAGGCAGGCAAATCCGCCAACACCTTGATTTTTGCCTGGAGAAACCGATGTTGGATTTCTGACCTCCAGAACTTTAAGGTAAGTTTGTAGCTGTGATAAGCTGCTGTTTGTGGTCATTTGTGACAGCAGTGATAGGAAACGAATTCATTCAGGAAGCTCGGTGTGCCTGTGGATGCAGCCAGCTGGACGCCTAAAAGCGCCCTAACCCCTCCTTCCTGCTGACTCCCTTCTTAGAGGCTGGGGGGCAAAGTGACTCGCACCTCCCCTGCAGCTAGCAAGGCCCACGGGTCAGCTCTCAGGTTGCGAGGGAAACCTGCTGCAGGGACTTGGAGGCATTTGCTTCCTTGATGAGAAAGAACGGGCATGGTGGCAGTTCTTTGACCTCTTCCCTCCTTGCTCTGAAAGTTATTGCAGCTGGAACTGTGAGAAGGAACTGTGGAAAGAATCACAGAACATGACCCTGATGTCACTGCATCAGCGAGCACCTCTCTGGAGTCGTGTGGCTCGCATTCACCACTGTCTGAAGTTGTATTTCCTGCTACTTACAGACACCAGAAGCACAGGAAGCCCATCGCAGGATGCGTATAAAACCCGATCGGTAGCAGACAGTCAGGTACATGACTGCATAAGGCTCCGTGCACAGCCTCAGGGCTCTGTATCAGGAAGGGAGGTGAGTCTGCAACTCTGGCCAAGGATGAGAAAGGTTGGCTGATCTCCACTCAGAGAGGTGTAGTGTGGGGTGCAGTATCACTGATTGATGGCTCTGGCCCAGTTTTCTCTTACCCACTTTCTTCCCGGTAGAACCTACTTTTTGTATATTAAACTTAGTTAAAGATTGAGAAGAAGGACAATATTTGGGTGCCTGCCAAATCACAGAAAAGACATCGACTGGGGCACATGTGATTATGGTTGCGGTTGCTGCCATTAGCACTGATTGAGCACCCTCTGTGTGCTGGGCCCATGCTAGAGCTTCGCACACATCTGCTCTGCAGGTTCCAAGGCTGGCTTTTCATCACCATCCTGGAGGTGAGGAAATGTGGATTCTGAGAAAAAGATGAAGTGACGTGCTGGCAAGGGGTGGCCTCAGACCCTGCCAGTACCTTCTCACCTGGCTGCACAGGGTTGCAAAGGTGTCTGCCTCCATGTTTTCCAACAAGTCTTCTAGCACGACACTGTTCTGTTGTTCCTCTCTCAAACTGGAGTGAAAATAAAATATACGTAAGTTCAGTTTTGTTATAAAGTGATACTATGAGATCATCTAGTTATTTAAATAACAAAGAAGCACACATCTCAGCCATATGATTTTAAAAATATGTCCATAGAAAGAGATGGCCAGAAAGACTGCCTTCCTTTTCTTGCCTAGGCTACTTTGCACATAACATGTCAAGGAGGGTTTCCTCAGAAGGAGGCTCCTCGAAGTGAAAAGTTTCATGGGAGCTATAAGGAGACTTTCCTATGGCTTTACAGGGTGATCTCTGTGATGCTGCTTTGAAAACTCTGCATCAGTCCTCATGGTGATGACCAAGAAGACCAAGATCTGGGGTCTACACCCACCATGTGCCCTTGGATTGATGCAGACCCAGAACAAAAGGATGACACCTTTTCACATGAGGCTTCCTGACGCCCACACGAGGGGGTCTGCTTAACACATGCCTTAGCTAATGCAAGTCAGCTTTGTGGATCTGCCTCGTGCTCTTCCTGGCTAATACACCCCAGACCTTCTGCAAGTGCAACTCAAATCAAAAGTTTGAACACAAGCCATCTCCTCCAGGAGCATATGAATACTATATGCCCTAAAATCCCAGGCTAAATCAAGCCAATGCCTTTGAGCATTTCCCTCCAACCACGCAGATGGGGCCCCCTCACAATTATTTCGATGGGACAGAACTGCACTTTGATGCATTTACACAGAAGAGCGTGATAGGATGAATGAAAATCATCTGTAATTTCACTGCCCAGAAATCACATCCACTGAAATTTGGTCTATTTCCTTCCAATTAGCGTGTGCGTGTGTTTGCAAAAATTAACCACGCTGTGTATAGACTTTGCCTCCAGTCCTTTCCATGTCCATTTTTTATTCACAGTGGAAAAGTATGAAGCTGTTAAAAATTGTGTTTTTCCAAGGATTCTTAATGCCACAGCCAAGGCTAAGTGCCTAATGTGAATTGAAAAACAACGCAAAGAACAACAACAACAAAAAGACTGGGGGTCTGTCTGTTTTATAATTTTACAAAAGCAGGATATAAAATACTATGCTTATGGTGAAATTGCAATAAGGCCTGTAGTCTAGTTCACTGTCTTGTGACAATGTCAATTCACATACCATGATTATGTCAGATGTTTCCAAGAAGGAAAGCTGGGGGAAGGGTACATGGCACTCTCCCTACTACCTTTGCAACTTCTTGTGAGTCTATATTTCAAAATAAAAAGTTTAAAAATATTACGTTTGGTAAAACTTCAATGATATTAAATTTAAAAAAGAAGGGCATCAGGGAAGAAAGAGTATGCTACAAAGCCAGCAGCTCGTGTTGGAGCAATGGGATGACACCTTAGGCAAGAGGGTGAGAGCCCAGGTGGGTATGGGTGGGCTGAGTTGGAGATGCCAGGTTCTCCAGGACTGCTGGGGACTAATATCTTTGAGTGCTACGGGGCACACGGCATACCACTGCTGATGTTGCTCCAGTAATGTCTGGCTCTTGCTCAGGGCTTGGTGCAGGACAGTAGAGACCTGCCTTTCAGAATCCACCTCCCCAGGTTCGTTCAGAATCCCGGGCCCATCGGCCACCCACTGCTGCCAGCTCGCCAGGGCCTGCTGCTGCTGGGCTGCCTCCTGCTGCACCAGCTGGTCCTCCAGCTTCCTCTCCAACTCCTGGAGCTCCTACACAAGGAAGGGGCAGAGGGTAAGCACCACTGCACAAGGCGGGTGGGGTGGAGGACAAAATCTGACCTCCTGGGTGTCTTGCTACAAGTCTGGCATGACTCTGTCTTGCCTGGTTCCCCATCCAGCTGTGCCACATGGTGCAATGTGAGTGCACCACGATCTCTCACCCCTGTGTCACCTCCATGCCTCCACATAGGCCGTTCCCTCCACCTGCAGTGCCTTTCTCTGTCTGCCTGACCAATCCCCAGTCTTCTTTCACCCCTCCGCTTAAGAAGAAACTCCTTGGTGAAGGGCTCCTCAGCGAAAGGATCCCTGAGTTCCTTGGGAGACACAGATGCCCTCTCCTCATGTGCCCACTCACTACCCCTTGCATGCACTCTGTTTCCTGTCACCTGAAATCACTGTCCTGTGCCTTTCTGCTACAGTGTGAGCTCTTTGAGGGCAGGGCTGTGTCTCCTTCTCCCTGCCTGCAAAGTGCCTGGTGGCTGGCACCTGTCACTGCATATGGTGGGGTATCTGCATGCACCCGGCATGGACGAAAGCCAGGCTGGAACACAGCAACTATGGCTAACACCACCAGTACCATCAGGGTGCCGAGCACTGCTCTGTGTACTTTCCATACGTGAATCTCACTGAACACTTACAACAATCCTTCAGAATACATACTCTAAGTTCTCTTGCTTTATAGGTAAAGGAACTGAGGCAGACAGAGTTAAATTAATTTGTCAGATGATGTAACTATTGAGTGGCAGATCCTGAATTTCAAGCCAGGCTAGCTGGCTCTGAAATTGCAGTCTTAACCACTAAGCTACATTGTCTCTCCTTGGCCAAACAGAAGTAATCTGCATTCTTAGGCCACCAGGATTAGATAATCTCACACAAGAAACTGTCCACAGCCTGCTTAGGTGGGTTGTGGGCGGAGGCAGGAGGGCCCCAGGCCTTGGAGAATGCAGGCACATTTAACCCAGTATTTACCAGATTGGTCAGTACTATAATTAGGACTGGAAGGTGGACAGGGTGTTAAATCCTAAGAGGCCTTGGTTGGACTTCACCATGAGAGGGTGGTCCTTGATCCTCCTAAATAGGTACAAAATGGTCTAATTTTCTGCAGAAAGGCCAAAGCTTGCATCAAACACTCAAAAGGGTCTCAAAGCCCCCTAAAGACTCTGAAACACTATTCAAGAACCATGACAGAAGAAAATCCGCCAGAGATAGACTGCATCTCTCTATAGCATGGACACCATCGCACGGAGAACCTTCTATCCCCCCCAAGCATTTGGGTGCTGGGCCTTCGAGAACTCCTGAGCAGGGCTCCTAGCATGCTGAGATGTGGAACTATGACCATCCCTCTCGCTGCAGCATCCCACAAGGAAACACAGCCCAGTGGAGTTCCAGCAGTGTATGCTGTCATGCTGTCAGCATGGCCAGGAGCTGGAGACAGAGACCCCACGTCTACCCAGATGCCAGCCCCAGCCCACCTCAAGAAGGGAGGGTCACACCTGAGCCTGTCTGTGTCATCAGAGGAACGGTGGAACACACAGAGCTTTTCAAGCACCAGGAGAGCCCTGGTTAGGAATGGAATAGAGGTGGAAATGTGTCCCACGTTTATAATCTGCTGATGGTGTCCCCAAACCCCTGCACCCTTACACCTGCCTGCCACCTGGAACAACTTGAATCCAAAACTTGGTTCTGGAATTGTCTTCCCTAATAGCTGATTTCCTCACCAGATTTTAAATGCTGAGGTCAGGGACTCAGGAGCATCGTTGACATGTTCTCCTTTCTCCCAGCAGTCAGCACAGTGCATAGCTCATCAAAGAAGAAACAGCAACAATAACAACAATGATGATGATGATGGGGATGACAGCAGCTGGCATTTACTGAATGCCAATATGGTGCCAGATTGTATCAGCAGATTATAAAAGTTACATGAATTAGTTGGTTTAATCTTCACAAAATAACACAAGATAGGAATTTTTCATCATCTAATTTTATGTATAAGGTAACTGAGGCAAGAGAGTATAACGAAATCTCCTGAAATCACAGAGCTGGGCAAGAGGCAGAGTCAGGGGTGATTTCAGGTGTCTCTGACTCTGGGTCCCATCACTCAGCTCTAACGCCCCTAGTAATCACTCCACAGGTATCTGCTGAATGAATGAATACATACATAGATGTTGATGATGGATGGATGGAAGTGTGGATGGAGGGAGGGAAAAGGGAAGGAGGGGAAGAAAGACACACACAGAAACGGGGAGAGAGAGAGAGATAATAGATTGGGGGATTCAGGGGTGAATGAGACATGAAAACTCACTGTCTAGTGAGGGAGAGACTCATGTCAACAGTTGCAGAGATGGGAAATGCCATCATCTGCTTCGGGATGGAGGGTTACGGGAGCTGGAAGAGACCACCTCTGCCAGAGGGAATCATGGATGGCTTCACAGAGGAAGTAACATTTGGGTTTGTCTTAGAATATAGATAGGAGTTTGCAAGGAGGTAGAGCAGAAGCATTCTAGGCAGAGATCCTTCAAAGGGACCCATGCCTGAATGTGTCTCCAATGCTCAGGGGGCAGCAAGAAGGTCCAGGGGCTAAAATGCAGGATCTGAGAGAGGGAGTGGTGAAAGGTGGGATTTTTAAATGTAGAGCTGGGGATGGGGCTGTGAATCATCACTTTTATTTTTCAGAAACATCCCCTTGGCCACCGTGCAGGGGGGTAACTAGAGTAGGGAGAAAGGGAGGTAGGCAGAAATTGAGTTTAGGACAGGAACATGGGCTTTGGAGGCAGGTTTAAAGTCTGCTTTTCAGCTGTGGGACCTTGGTGAAATGATTTAACCTTCCTAAGCCTCAGCTCTTTCATCTGTAGAATGGGTATGAAAATGTCATGGGATGGACATGAGGTTTAAACACTTAGCCCACTGCTTTGGACATAATGAGAGCTCCATTGATGCTGGTTAATATCAAGGTTATTTCTGTTCTTCCGGTCTAGATACATCAGACTAGTGAAGCTGGGCAGCGAAAGGTGGAAAGCAGAAAGCTCAGGTAGAATCAACAGATGGTGGCCAGTGGTCCATAGGGAGAAAGGCAGAGGGAAGATCAGAAGATGCCGAGGCTGGGCGTGGTAGCTCACACCTGTAATCCCAGCACTTTGGGAGGCCAAGGTGGGAGGATCACTTGAGGTCAGGAGTTCGAGACCAGCCTGGCCAACATGGTGAAGCCTTGTCTCTACTAAAAATACAAAATTAGCTGGGCATGATAGTGCATGCCTATAGTCCCAGCTACTCGGGAGGCTGGGGGAGGACAATCAATTGAACCCAGGAGGTGGAGGTTGCAGTCAGCTAAGATCACACCACTGCACACCAGCCTGGGTGACAGTGACTGTCTCAAAACAATAAACAAAGAAGAAGAAGAGGAAGATGCCAGGTGAGGCTTGGGAAAGTAAACACACAGCAATTTAAACTGAAATGCAAATACAGTGGGTACCATTTGTTTGGGGTCACATTATCTGTTAGGAGTAAGTCCACCCCATTTAAATTTGCCTATCATTGTCACTTGGCCTTCTGATCCAACTGAGCCTTGCATATGTTCCAATTTTGCAAAATGAGTCTAAATCTTTCATCAGATGAGGTGCACTTGATATAGTTTTCTTAGGAGTAATTTCTTCCAAAGCATTCTATTTCATGCTTTTTTAATTCTCCTGAATGTTTAACAGCCTAAAAGCCCATTCCCAATAGGAAAGTGGTTTACACAGAATGAGCAAATTGCAGAATGCAAGTCTAATATCTGGAACAAAACAACAGGCTTGTCTTCATTTCAAATGCAAACTCAAATAAGAGTGTATCATATGCATTGCCTTAACACTCATTTAAGAATACGGCATCATCTGATTTATCAGCTGTTCCCCACTCAGGACACATTAACTCTCTGTTCTAAACAAACTAGAGGTAGGAGTTACTCAAAAGAGTTTTAGGATAAAATCGAAAATGTAAGTGTTGTACTCTCCAATTATTATACTAATAGAAATCAGTGTGGTCTCAAGTAAACAGCACAACTATGTGTTTTAGGGCTGTACTGAGGGTGTTTCTTGGGCACTTAGGATGAGCAGATGAATCATGCACTGGAGGCTAAATGTTCCTGGTGTCTCACTCTGCCCCTAACTCACTAAATGACCTTGGACCTGCTCTTCCCTCTGCAGGCTCTATTAGGGCAGTGATCCGCCTCCACGCTAATCACCTCCAGTGTAACACTTGCTGTGGGCTTTGGCTAAGTACTCTGTGGAGGTTTCCTCCTGTTATTAATTTGCTACGGAGTTTTATCTTGAATGGGTGTTAAATTCAATTAAAGACTGAATTTGTCATGTTGAATTGTAATCCCCAGTGTTGGAGGTGAGGCCTGCTGGAAGGTGACTGGATCATGGGGGTGGATCCTTCATGAATGGTTTAGTGCCATCCCTTTGGTGTTGATCTTATGATAGTGAGTGAGTTGTAGTGAGATCTGGTTGTTTAAAACTGTGTAGCACCTCCTCCATTCTCTCTTCCTTTTGCTCCAGCCAAGTAAGATGTGCCTCTTTTCCCTCTGCCTTCTGCCATAATTGTAAGTTTCCTGAGGTTTCCACAGAAGCTGAGCAGATGCATCATGCTTCCTGTACAGCCTGCAGAATCATGAGCCAATTAAACCTCCTTTCCTTACAAATTAGCTAGTCTCAGGTATTTCTTTATAGCAATGTGAGAACAGACTAATACAGAAAATTGGTACTGAGGAGTGGACATTTCTACAACAATACTTGAAAATGTGAAAGCAGCCTTGGAATTCGGTAACCAAAGGAGATTGGAAGAGTGTGGAGGGCTCAGAAGAAGACACAAAGATGAGGGAAAGTTTGGAACTTCCTAGAGACTTGTTACATTGTTGTGACCAAAATGCTGATTGTGATATGGACAATGAATTCTAGGCTGAGGAGGTCTCAGATGGAGATGAGGAACTCATTGGGAACTGCAGTAAAGGTCACTTTTGCCATGCTTTAGCAAACAGACTGGTGGCATTGTGCCCCTACTCTAGAGATCTGTGGAATTTTTAATTTGAGAGTGATGATTTAGGGTATCTGCTGGAAGAAATATCTAAGCAGCAAAGCATTCAAGATGTAACCTGGCTGCTTCTAACAACCTATGTTCATATGTGTGAGCAAAGAAATGACCTGAAACTGGACCTTATATTTAAAAGGGAAGCTGAGTGTAAAAGTGTGGAAAATTTGCAGCCCACCATAGCCAAGAGAATGGGAAACAGAAGGGTTTTCAGAGAACTTCACGGCAGCCCTTTAATCACAGTCCCAGAGGCCTAGGAGGGAAGAATGGTTTCCTGGGCCAGGCCCAGTGCCCCACTGCCCTGTGCAGCCTTGGGACCCTGCTCCCTGCATCCAGCCTCAGCTCAAAGGACCCCAGGTGCAGCTTGGACCACTGCTCAGAAGATGCAAACTGTAAGCCTTGGCAGCTTCCATGTGGTGTTAAGCCTGCAGGTGCACAGAATGAAAGAGTTGGGTCTTGGGAGCCTCCGCCTAGATTTCAGAGGATATATGGAAAAGTCACAATGTCCAGGCAGAAGCCTTCTGCTGGGGCAGAGCCCTCATGGAGAACCTCTGCTAGGGCAGTGTGGAGGGGAAATGTGGGGTTGGAGCCCCCACACAGAGTCCCCATTGAGACACTGCCTAGTGGAGCTGTGATAAGGGGGCTGCTATCCTCTAGATTCTGGAATGATAGATCCACTGACAGCTTGTATCCTGTGCCTAGAAATATTGCAGGCACTCAACACCAGCCCTTGAGAGCAGCTGTTGGGGCTAAATCCTCCAAAGTCACAGGGGCTGAGCTGCCCAAGGCTTTGGGAGCCCATCCCTTGGACCAGCATGTTCTGAATATGAGACATGGAGTCAAAGGAGATTGTTTTGGAGCTTTAAGATTTGATGACTACCATCCTGCATTTCAGACTTGCCTGGGGCCTATAGCCCCTTTCTTTTGGCCAATTTCTCCTTTTTGGAACAGGAATATTTACCCAGTGCCTATAACTCCATTGCATCACTGGAAGTAACTAACTTGTTTTTTAATTTATAGGCTCATAGGTGGAATGGACTTATAATTGTCTCAGATGAGACTTTGGACTTTGGACTTTTGAGTTAATGCTGGAATGAGTTAAGACTCTAGGGGACTGTTGGGAAGGCATGATTATATTTTGAAATGTGAGAAGAACATGGTATTTGGGTGGGACTACATCTCATGTTGAATTGTAATCCCCAATGTTGCAGGTGGAGCTTGGTGGGAGGTGACTGGATCACGGGGGTCCTTCATGAATTGTTCAGCACGATCCCTTCGGTGCTGTTCTCGTGATGGAGTTATTATGAGATCTGGTTGTTTAAAAGTGTGTGGCACCTCCCCCTACTTCTCTTCCTCCTGCTCTGGCTATGTAAGACATGCCTGCTTCCCCTTCACCTTCTACCATGATTGTAAGTTTCCTGAGTCCTCCCCAGAAGCTGGGCAGATGCATCAGGCTTCCTGTATAGCCTGTGGAACCATGAGCCAATTAAACCTCTTTCCTTTATAAATTACCCAGTCTCAGGGTATTTCTTATAGCAATGCAAGAACAGACTAATATAAAGACATATTCTCTATATACTAAAATGATCACATGAGTCACTCCCCTTTAATTTGTTAATCAGGTGAATTTTGTAAATGGATGTTTTAATGTTAAACCAACCTTATATTTCTAGAATAAACCCAACCTGTCCATAATGTATTAATTTTTTATAGATGGCTGTATTCTGCTATTTTGTTTTCAAATGGTACATCTATGTTCACATGCAAGATTGAAGTATAATTGTTCTTTCTGGTACTGTTCATGTCTGGTTTTGGTGTTAAAGTTATCTAGCATGATAAAATGAGTTGAGGAATATTGCCTATTTTTCTAATACAAGGAATAATTCATATATGAGACTGGCAAAATACCTTAAACTTTGGCAATGCTCATCTACGAAACTACTGGAGTTGGGTGTCTTTTGTGTGGTTTGGAAGATTTTAAAGTACTGAATCAATTTCTTTCATGGCAAGAGGGTTATCAGACTTTTTTTTTCTACTTGAGCCAATTTTGGTGATTTGCATTTTTCTAGTTTTTGAATTCATTTCAGTTTTTGAATTCATCTGTATAAAGTTGTTCATAACATTCTCTTATTTTAAAAAACTCTACTGCATCTATAGTCGTGTTGCTTTTTATACTCTTAATATTATTGTCTTTTATATTTTTTAATGGTTGCTCTTGCCAAGGGTTTGTATATTTTATTAGACTTTTTTCAAAAAAAAATCTCTTCACTTTATCAATTCTATGGTAGTTTTGTTTTTTATTTTGTTTATGCTGTACTTCAGAAGAAACACAGTTTTTTTTTTTTTGAGACGGAGTCTTGCTCTGTCTCACCCAGGCTGGAGTGTAGTGGCATGATCTCAGCTCCCTGCAGCCTCCATCTCCTGGGTTCAAGCGATTCTCCTGCCTTAATAAGTATAACTAAGTAAAGAATTATTAACACTGAAGTGAGAGCATGTCTATTTACAACTTAGTAGCGCTTCCCTCCCCATACTAGGGTTTCAATAAATGTGAGGGGTTTTTTCCTTATTATAAGTAATTATGATAATAATAGATAACAAATGAAATTCTAAAATCTACACATAAAAGACCTAAAATTAGTCACCAAAACAGTTATTACCATAGCTTTTGTTTTACGGATATACCTCTCACATTTTGGAAAGAATGTAGCATGTTGCGATAATGCTAATAATTAGAATTTTTTAAATAATAAATAACCCAGTACACTGTTGCATTTAGGATGCTGCTAATAGGAAGATACACTGTTGTCCTCCCTAGCACAATGAAAGAAACAATACTGCCAATGAACCCATGGCACCTGCCAAGTTTCAGAGATGTTAAAATCCAAAAGGGTTGCTTCTCAGAGCAATGAAATAGAGCCATCTTTGGTTGAGAGAGTGCCAAGTACTCTCCAATATGTCACTTCGTTTAATCCTCACCACAACCCCACAGCACAGACAGGACGGGGGTTGCAGCCTGTTTCATAGAGGAAGATGCAGAGGTAGGTACCAGAAAGACCCAGCTCTGTCCCCCTCTCCTTCCCAGCGCCTGCACTCACCCGGCTGTGCGACTCCAGGATCTGTGTGCAGGCCGACTTGGTCAGCATCTCAGATGCACTCAGCTCTTCCAGGAGCAAGTCCTGGATGCTGAGGAGGGCGGTGTAGGCCGACAGAGTCTCGGTCACCCGGGACGCCTTCTGGAACTGCAGAGCAACAAGCGACTGTGCAAAGCCTCCCTCCTGTGCCTCCATCCGCTGCACTCTCTCCCGCAGCAATTCACCTCGAACCTGGGAGGGGACAGGGATGGACCCAAACCCAGAGAGCAGTGAGTAGAGGAGGGTGGAGGAGAACAAACAGCCTTTCAGAGTTCACAGACCTGGGATTCTGAGGACCACCAAAAGTTTACAATGGAGACGCACTGGGAACCTGCAGGGAGCAACATCAGAAAAGGCTGTCCCTGCGTATGAAGACGCCAGGGGCTTGGGGAGCCCAGCCATCCTTCATTCCATATGTATCATCCTCAAGAGTCACCTGAGCCCATTGCTCTCCTTCTGAAAACACTTCTAAGTCTCTCCATGTCCTAGAGGATGGAAGTTCAACTCCTGAGCATGGGATCCAAGGAGCTCCCCACCCCAATCCCAGCCAAGGTTCCCCTGGACAGGTCTGGTCTGTTCTTCTGCCCCTACCCCACTCACACATGCACAACTGGGAATGCCCTTCCCAGCTGTGCGCTGTGCTCTACACACCATGCGCTTTGTGTCTGTGGTTTGTGCTCTTTGCAGTGATTGAAATGTCCTCCCATTCTCCCTTCCTGAAATTCTACTATTTGTCTTTTGGGTCTATAGTTTCCACGGAAGCGGTCTCACTTCTCTATGTTTGTTTTGTTCCATGTAGGCTTCAAACCAGGTGCCCAGGGTTTACTTGACCTCAGGCAAATCATTAAGCTCTGCATGCCTACGCTTCTTCATCTATAAAGTGGAGAAAATAATTCCATCCAACACACAGAGTTTAGTTTGTTTTTTTAACAAAACAGCTTAATTGAGGTATAACTTCTTTATAATAACCTGCACATATTTACAGTACACAATGTGATAAACTTTGACATGTTTCTACCCCTATGAAACCATCGCCACAACCAGGGTAGTGAACACATCCATGTTCTTGGTAATCCCACCCCCTGCCCCCCACTTAGCAACCACTGATGTGCTTTCAGCTACAATTGACAAGTCTGCATTTTCTAGAGTTTTTTTTTATAAGTGGAGTCATACGGTACATATTTTTTTATCTAGCTGTTGTATTTTATTTTATTTTATTTTTAGACACAGTCTCGCTCTGTCACCCAAGCTGGAGTGCAGTGGTGCAATCTTGGCTCACTGCAACCTCCACCTCCTGGGTTCAAGTGATTTTCCTGCCTCAGCCTTCTGAGTAGCTGGGATTACAGGCATGCACCACCACACCCAGCTAATTTTTGTAATTTTAGTAGAGATGGGGTTTCACCATGTTGCCCAGGCTGGTCTCGAACGCCTGGCCTCAAGTGATCTACCCACCTCAGCCTCCCAAAGTGCTGGGATTACAGGCGTGAACCACCATGCCCGACCTGTCTAGCTGTTTTGACTGAAAATACTTATTTTGAGATTTACCTTTTACCATCTTCTTCTGGGTTGAGGATCTCTTATGCTTCCCCCTTCCCTCCCTTTGTTGCTTTATTAGCTATAGCTCTGTTTTGTTATTTTAGTGGCTGCTTTAGGGTTTATAGTACACATCTTTGACTTATCCCAGGGTACCTTCAATTGATATTATATCACTTCACATGGAGTACAAGAACCAAAAATAAAATTCTAAGCCCCCCCTCAACCATCTGAATGGACCACTCCTCTCAGCAAGGGGATTCCAAAGTCAACCTGAAAAACCAGTTCAGGCCATGAAGGGAAGGGGGAGCTGAACATGCCTCCTTATACCCTCCTTCCTTTTGGAATTTCAGATAGAACAGACTCTTTAAGTCTCATAAGAAACATTTACAATCGATTCTCTCTGAAGCCTGCTACCTGGAGGCTTCATCTGCATCATAAAACCTTGGTCTCCACAACCCCCTTAGTGTAACCCAGATGTTCCTTTCTATTGACAATAACTCTTTCAACCAACTGCCAATCAGAAAATCTTTTCATCGAATTATGATCTGGAAGCCCCCACTTCAAGTTGTCCCACTTTTCTGGACCAAACCAATGTACATCTTACATGTATTGATTGATGTCTCATGCCTCCCGAAAATGTATAAAATCAAGCTGTGCCCCAACCACCTTGGGCACATGTCATCAAGACCTCCTCAGGCTGTGTCATGGGTGTGTCCTTAACCTTGGCAAAATAAATTTTCTAAACTGATTGAGATCTGTCTCAGATACTTTTGGCTTACACACATTATGCTAATTTACTCCCATTTCTTGCTTCCTGGTCTTTGTGCTTTTTCTGTCACACATTTAATTGTACATACGTTAAAAACGTCACACTCCTTTGTTACTATTTTCATTGAAATAAGTCAATCTTTAAAATTTTCTATTGAAGTGAAATGCACATAACATAAAATTCACTAAAGTCAACAATTAAGTGACATTTAGGATTCAGTAGCCCCCACCTCTATTTAGTCTGAGAACATTTTCACCACCCCTAAAGCAAAAGCAAACCCCACACCTCTTAAGCAATTATTCCCCAGTCCTCCCACCCCCAAGTCCTTGGCAACTACCAATCTTCTGTTTCTATGATTTTCCTTATTCCGGATATTTCATACAAATGGAACTACAGAAGAACAACCTTTTGTGTCTGGCTTCTTTTACTTCGCATAATGTTTTCAAAGTTCATCTACTTGTTGTATCAAAACTTCATTTCCTTTTTATGGCTGCATCATATTCCATTGGATGGACAATCAGTCAATTTTTGGAAGATTTTTAAAATTAAAAGAGAATCTAACGTAAGTACCCATGTAGTTACCATTCCCATTGCTCATTTTTTTGTGTGGTTCTGTAGCGGGAAGAGCCGCAGACAAAACCCCTCAGACACCGAGTTAAAGAAGGAAGGGGTTTATTTGGCCAGGAGCATAGACAAGACTCCTGTCTCAAGAGCTGAGCTCCCCGAGTGAGCAATTCCTGTCCCTTTTAAGGGCTCACAACTCTAAGGGGGTCCATGTGAGAGGGTCGTGATTGAGCAAGCAGGGGTACGTGACTGGGGGCTGCATACACTGGTAATTAGAAAGGAACCGAACAGGACAGGGATCTTCACAGTGCCTTTTTTATGCAAATAACCAATTAGATCAGGGGTCAATCTTTAACTACCAGGCCCAGGGTGTGGCGCCGGGCTGTCTGCTTGTGGATTTCATTTCTGCCTTTTAGTTTTTACTTCTTCTTTCTTTGGAGGCAGAAATTGGGCATAAGACAATATGAGGGGTGGTCTCCTCCCTGAGTTCTAGATTTCTATCTGTTATGAAAATCCTTCTGCCTGATTTCCTATAACATTTCTTGGAGTATGAATCTCCTAGTAAGGAAAACTTTCAGCATTGTAAGTCTAAAAAAATTTATTTCACCTTCATTCTTGAAAGATATACTTTCTGAATAAAGAATTTTAGGTGGCAGTTTTCCTCATTGTTTTGAAGACATTGCTCCATGTTCTTCTCACTTGCATTATTTGAAATGAGAAATCGGCTGTCAACCTGCTCTTTGCTTTGTAGGGTACATAATGTATCTTCTTCCTTCAGTTGCTTTGAAGATTTTCTCTTTATCAATGGTTTGGAGCAATTTGATTATGATGCACCTTAGAAAAATTTTCCTCAAGTTTCTTATGCTTGGGATACACTGAGCTTCTTAAATCTGTGAGTTTATAGTTGTCATCAAATTAGGCAAAATTTTAGCCGTTAATTCTTCCAATATGTTTTCATCCTTCTTTTTCTCTCTCCTCTTCTCCAGGAATTCCAATTACCCACACATTAGGCCGCCTGAAGTTGTCTCATGGCTCACTTTTCTCTGTTTTCATTTTAGATAGTTTCTATTGCTATATCTTCAAGCTAACTAATTTTTTTCTGCAATGTCTAATCTGCTGTTAATTCTCACACACATGTGTATGTGTGTGTGTGTATATTCAAATCAAACTTCTAGAGAACAAAAATATGTGTGGTATAGATGTAAATATAGACATATAGATATATCTTTTTACATCTTCCATATCTATACTTAACCTTTTTTGAACATATTAAACAAAATTATAATGACTGTTTTACCCCATTTATGCTGGAGGTTGCCATTTTTTGTGTGTGAAAAATCAGAACTTGGTGATGCCCTTGAGCAGTACAATATAAATAACTCCCACAAGCTTAGCATTCCAATAATGGAACACTAGGCATAAATGCCATTCTCTGTCAATTCTAACATCTGTGTCAGTTCTGGATTGGTTTCAATTGATTGATTTTTCTCCTCATGAGGAGTTATATTTTCCTATTTGTCTCATGCCTGGTACTTTTTAACTGAACTACAGACAATGTAAATTCTACCTTGTTGGGTCCTAGATATTTTTGTGTTTCTATAATTATTGAGCTTTGTTCTGAGATGCAGTTAAGCTACTTGGAAACAGGCTAACCTTTTGGGTTATGTTTTTAAGCTCTTTTATGTGGGACTAGCATAGGGCTCATTATTTCCATTGCCGAGGCAAGACCTTTTTGAGTACTATATTTGATGTCCTCTGAATTGAGGCTTTCTAGTTTGGGTGGAAGGAACTGTCACTATCCCCAACCTGGTGTAAATGCTGAGTATTCTTCTAAGTATTTTGGGTGGTCTTTCCCCTAGCTTTGAGCAATTTTCTTCCATGGAAGTGCTGCGCAGGTCTCAGCAGAATACTCAAGAGGACCCAGTAGACACCTCTGGAGTTTTCTCTGTGCAGCTCTTTCTTTTCTGGGATTCTGTCCTGTGAAATCTATCTGACTTGGCTTCCCCAAATTCTTAGCTTTGTCTCTTTTACTCAAAGGGTCTACCCTAGTAGACCTGCTGGGTTCCTTCTTGCTGTGCCTCAGCCTGGAAACCCTTTTAGGGCAGTAACCTGGGACAATGACGGGGTGAATTCCTTTATTTTTTATTTCTTAGGGATCAGTTTTGTCTGCTGTCCAGTGTCCTGAAAATCACTGTTCCATAGATTTTGTTTGTTTTGTTTTAGGTAAGGAGTAATTCTGATACTTTTTATTCTGTCTTGGTCACAAGCAGAAGTCCCTCATAGGGTTATTCTGATTATTAATAATCTAATACTGTTAAGTGCTCAGAACAGTGCCTGACACATTGGAGTGTTTAACAAATATTGCCGTTGTTAATACTCTTATTACCTAAGGTGGAATATGGTGGGTTCCATAAGGGAGGTCTGTATATGGTGCTATGTGGTTTAGAGAAAAGAGAAGGTGGAGGGGTCAGGGAAAGTCATGACAATATTGGCATTTGAAGCAGATACTGAAGGATCCAGGCATTCAGGAAGAGGAACAGCATGACCAGAGGCACTGAGGCAGGGGGCCCTACAGAGACTTGTGAGGCTGAATTAGATAAAAGCTAAGAGGGAAAGTGGGAGATGAAGCCGTAAAGGTGTGGGGGAGAAGAACCCATACTGCAGAGGCCCTGAACTGTCAGGGACAAGAAGGCAGAGCTTCCCCTCAGACAATGAGAAGGGCAAGAGAGCTGGATGTCCCTGAACAGGAAAAAGTTGAGTGATGGGCAAGGCATGGCAAGAATTGGTAAGAGGTGATCAATAAAAATAAAATTCTAAGCCCCTAACTGACTGAATGGGCCTCCTGTTGGCCAAGGAGACCCCAGAAAAACCTTGGAAGTTGAGTTCCCAGCCATAATGGGATGGGAGGTTAGACACACCTTGCTACACTCCCTCCCTCACTAACCATCATTAGGTTTTCTTCCCTGAGCGCTAAACAGAAACCAGCTCTTCCAAAAGACTCCACCCCAATATCAACCAACTGCCTGACACTGCCCCTCCTTTTTGCTGTTTTGACAAAGCAACCAACCAGCATTCCTTCCGGATAATACACACTGACCACAGAGTGGTTCAGGACAGTCTATGGAGGATGCTCAGTGAGGGTTTTAGTGTCCTCTTCTTCACATTCTGATGTCAGAAGGTAGAAAACACCACCCTTAGATCATGCTAGCACCACCATTTTTTTGTACATGAGACCTGTATTAGTCCATATTTATGCTGCTATAAAGAACTGCCTAAGAGTGAGTAATTTATAAAGAAAAGAAATTTAATTGCCTCCCCAGCCCTCAGGAAACTTATAGTCATGGCAGAAGGGGAAGCAAACACATCCTTCTTCACATGGCAGCAGCAAGAAGTGCCAAGCAAAAGGGGGAAAAGCCCCTTACAAAACCATCAGATCTCATGAGAACTCACTCACTATCACGAGAACAGCATGAGGGTAACTGCCCCCATGATTAAGTTACCTCTCACTAGGTCCTTCCAATGACACACATGGGGATTATGTAAACTACAATTCAAGATGAGATTGGGTGGAGACACAGGACCCATGAAGGGGCATGAAGCTCAATGACACTTGTGCATGTTTCTCGTTTCATAAATATTCATGACTCCTCCTATAGCTTATTAAATATATATATTAAGCCACCCTATTTAGCATAAATTCCTGTTTCCTTTGCCCCTTTCTCTAAGTGCCTGTTTTCAGCTTCTAACCAGAGGCTATGCTTCCTAGCCCGTCAGAAGGGCCACCCTGCAGGCTACAACCCATTATGAGAAATAAAGGTCTCCTTCCCAAATTTATGAACATCATCATGCTTCAGCTGACAGAAGTCTTCCTTATTACATGCCTGCCATGCGCTAGGGTTTTCACGTTATCCTTGTGTGGTCTCCATCTTCCCCTCTTGGGTGGGTGGGTGGTGGTCCAAGTGTCCCATAAGACCCAGACCCCTGCAGAGGTGCAGAGCAGAGGGCAGAATGAGAAGGCCGTAAGGAAAAGCTAAAGATTTATTTATGTAAATGCATGAATAAATGTGGGTGAAGTGTAAAGCCTTTTGTATATACTGTATGAACAACATGGACAGTGAAATTAAAAAGAAAAAAAAACCTTCTCCAAAATTCTTTTTTCTTCTTTGGAAAGCTTAGTTTGTTAGTTCCAGCACCATGAGAATGTGTCTCTAGAGAGGGTTTTAATCCTTTGTCTAGAAGAAATCCTGGGAAACAACACAGATTTGCATTTCTATGAGGTATTAATGACAGGCTTCATTAAATATTCAAGCCACTGAGAATAATACAAATTCATTTGCAAAATGATATGCTGCTAAATACTCTTTAAACGAGAAGTTCAAACAACTTCTTACTACTTTTCCCTGACAACATGTGGATTTCAAACAAAAAGTTTTTTCTATGCATTATAATGTCCTTTAAACATATAATAAAGTCTACCTGTGTCAACCAGCAGAGAGTTATTGGGATTCTAAAGGGTTTAATAAATCACACCTCTCCTTGCCCAAGTTTGGAAACAAATACAACTAGATGCAAGGGTGAGCTAGCTAGGTGCCTAATGTCAGCTTTCATATTGATGAAAACTAGACTGGAGAATGTGGCTCACATCTGTATCCAAACAAATTCACAATCCCCCAAGAGCAGGCCTCCTTACCAAATTCATCACTTAAAAAACAGATAAGAGGGGCTTCCTACAGGAATGCTGGCTCCCAGAGAGAAGGGGGCTGAGCTGAACCTGTCCCATTCCTTCTTTAATCACAAATGCCCTCCTTGGAGAAAAGTGGGCCAAGGGATGGAGAATCTAGCGGTGCCACTAGCAACAACCTCCAGTGGCAAAAGAGGCATTGAGAGAGGTCTTATTGTTACAGTAGGTAACTAGTCAGATGTGAGCAGGGCAGGAGAGAGCCCCGCCAAATACCAGGAATGTCAGGTGGCCATCAGGTGATGGTCAAGTGGTTGTTAACTGCCTCTTTAAAATAATAATTGGTTGCAGCTGGTGCCAGGGAACAGCAGTCTCCCAACAGATAGTAAAGACTTGAAATTGGTGATCAGCAGCTTCCCGATAAGAACTCAGGAGTTGGGCAAGTGGGCTCGCACATGTGCATTAAGAGGCAAAATGGCAGAGTATAACTAGTATATCATCTTCTAGGAACATTCTACTGGTAAGGAAGAAAGCCTCAAGTGAGCATGTGCACAACTTCTGTAAAAACACTGCATATGTGGCTCCTCCCAAGTGCTGGCAGGTCACTGTGCATGTGAACAGCCCGCCCCAAGGGAAGAAACACGGGAGAAGGGATGTGATATGGTTTGGCTGTGTCCCCACCCAAATCACATCTTGAATTGTAGTTCTCATAATCCCCACCTGTCATAGGAGGTAACTGAATCATGGGGGTGATTACCTCCATGCTGTTCTCCTGAGAGTGAGTTCTCATGAGATCTGATGGTTTTTTAAGGGATTTTTCTCCCTCTTTGCTCTGCAATTCTCCTTGCTGCTGCCATGTGAAGAAGTATATGTTTGCTTCCCACTTCTGCCATGATTGTAAGTTTCTTGAGGTCTCCCCAGCCCTGCAGAACCGTGAATCAATTAAACCTCTTTCCATTATAAATCACCCAGTCTCGGGTATGTCCTTATAGTAGTGTGAGAATGGACTAATACAGGATGCAACCTTCCAGAAGTACGCCACTGTATAAAAGCTCAAGTCAAAAGTTAAGCTGTGCAGTTGGTCTCTCCAGTCACCTGCCTGCCCTTCTTTCAAGTGTGCGTTACTTCCTTTTCTTCCTGCTCTAAAGCTTTTCAATAAACATTTACTCCTGTTTGAAAACTTGCCTCAGTTTCTTTGTCTTATGCTCCTTGGTTAAATTCTTTCTTCTTAGGAGGTGAGAATTAAAGGTGCCACAGATTCGTACAGATTTGCTGCTGGTAACATTATCAAGAAACTTGCACCCAAACATTGGGAGAATAAGGCTAAAGAAACGCTGCTGAAATATAAATGTGCATTTGAAGATTCCCATTCTAGGGGGTGGAGCAAAGATGGCCGAATAGGAACAGCTCCGGTCTACAGCTCCCAGCGTGAGCGACGCACAAGATGGGTGATTTCTGCATTTCCATCTGAGGTACCGGGATCATCTCACTAGGGAGTGCCAGACACTGGGCGCAGGACAGTGGGTACAGTGCACCGTGCGTGAGCCAAAGCAGGGAGAGGCATTGCCTCACTCGGGAAGCACAAGGGGTCAGGGAGTTCCCTTTCCTAGTCAAAGAAAGGGGTGACAGATGGCACCTGGAAAATTGGGTCACTCCCACCCTAACACTGCGCTTTTCCGAAGGGCTTAAAAAACGACGCACCAGGAGATTATATCCCCCACCTGGCTTGGAGGGTCCTACACCCATGGAGTCTCGCTGATTGCTAGCACGGCAGTCTGACATTGAACTGCAAGGCGGCAGCGAGGCTGGGGGAGGGGTGCCCGCCATTGCCCAGGCTTGCTTAGGTAAACAAAGCAGCCCGGAAGCTCAAACTGGGTGGAGCCCACCACAGCTCAAGCAGGCCTGCCTGCCTCTGTAGGCTCCACCTCTGGGGGCAGGGCACAGACAAACAAAAAGACAGCAGTAACCTCTGCAGACTTAAATGTCCCTGTCTGACAGCTTTGAAGAGACCAGTGGTTCTCCCAGCACGCAGCTGGAGATCTGAGAACGGGCAGACTGCTTCCTCAAGTGGGTGCCTGACCCCTGACCCCCGAGCAGCCTAACTGGGAGGCACCTCCCAGTAGGGGCAGACTGACACCTCACACGGCCGGGTACTCCTCTGAGACAAAACTTCCAGAGGAACGATCAGACAGCAGCATTCGCGGTTCATGAAAATCCGCTGTTCTGCAGCCACCGCTGCTGGTACCCAGGTAAACAGCGTCTGGAGTGGACCTCTAGCAAACTCCAACAGACCTGCAGCTGAGGGTCTTGTCTGTTAGAAGGAAAACTAACAAACAGAAAGGACACCCACACCAAAAACCCATCTGTACATCACCATCATCAAAGACCAAAAGTAAATAAAACCACAAAGATGGGGAAAAAACAGAGCAGAAAAACGAAACTCTAAAAGCAGAGCGCCTCTCCTCCTCCAAAGGAACGCAGCTCCTCACCAGCAACGGAACAAAGCTGGAGGGAGAATGACTTGGACGAGTTGAGAGAAGAAGGCTTCAGACGATCAAACTACTCCAAGCTACGGGAGGAAATTCAAACTGAAGGCAAAGAAGTTGAAAACTTTGAAAAAAATTTAGGCGAATGTATAACTAGAATAACCAATAGAGAAGTGCTCAAAGGAGCTGATGGAGCTGAAAACCAAGGCTAGAGAACTACGAGAAGAATGCAGAAGCCTCCGGAGCCGATGCGATCAACTGGAAGAAAGGCTATCAGTGACGGAAGATGAAATGAATGAAATAAAGCAAGAAGGGAAGTTTAGAGAAAAAAGAATAAAAAGAAACGAACAAAGCCTCCAAGAAATATGGGACTATGTGAAAAGACCAAATGTACGTCTGATTGGTGTACGTGAACATGACGGGGAGAATGGAAACAAGTTGGAAAACACTCTGAAGGATATTATCCAGGAGAACTTCCCCAATCTAGCAAGGCAGGCCAACATTCAGATTCAGGAAATACAGAGAATGCCACAAAGATACTCCTCGAGAAGAGCAACTCCAAGACACATAATTGTCAGATTCACCAAAGTTGAAATGAAGGAAAAAATGTTAAGGGCAGCCAGAGAGAAAGGTCGGGTTACCCTCAAAGGGAAGCCCATCAGACTAACAGCTGATCGCTAGGCAGAAACTCTACAAGCCAGAAGAGAGTGGGGGCCAATATTCAACATTCTTAAAGAAAAGAATTTTCAACCCAGAATTTCATATCCCGCCAAACTAAGCTTCATAAGTGAAGGACAAATAAAATACTTTACAGACAAGCAAATGCTGAGAGATTTTGTCACCACCAGGCCTGCCCTAAAAGAGCTCCTGAAGGAAGCGCTAAACATGGAAAGGAACAACTGGTACCAGCCACTGCAAAATCAAGCCAAATTGTAAAGACCATTGAGGCTAGGAAGAAACTGCATCAACTAACGAGCAAAATAACCAGCTAACATCATCATGACAGGATCAAATTCACACATAACAATATTAACTTTAAATGTAAATGGACTAAATACTCCAATTAAAAGACACAGACTGGCAAATTGGATAAAGAGTCAAGACCCATCTGTGTGCTGTATTCAGGAAACCCATCTCACATGCAGAGACACACATAGGCTCAAAATAAAAGGATGGAGAAAGAGCTACCAAGCAAATGGAAAACAAAAAAAGGCAGGGGTTGCAATCCTAGTCTCTGATAAAACAGAATTTAAACCAACAAAGATCAAAAGAGACAAAGAAGGCCATCACATAATGGTAAAGGGATCAACTCGACAAGAAGAGCTAACTATCCTAAATATATATGCACCCAATACTGGAGCACCCAGATTCATAAAGCAAGTCCTCAGTGACCTACAAAGAGACTTAGACTCCCACACAATAACAATGGGAGACTTTAACACCCCACTGTCAACATTAGACATATCAACAAGACAGAAAGTTAACAAGGATACCCAGGAACTGAACTCAGCTCTGCACCAAGCGGACCTAACAGACATCTACAGAACTCTCCACCCCAAATCAACAGAATATACATTTTTCTCAGCACCACACCACACCTGTTCCAAAATTGACCACATAGTTGGAAGTAAAGCTCTCCTCAGCAAATATAAAAGATCAGACATTATAACAAACTGTCTCTGAGACCACGGTGCAATCAAACTAGAACTCAGGATTAAGAAATTCACTCAAAACCGCTCAACTACAGGGAAACTGAACAACCTGCTCCTGAATGACTACTGGGTACATAACAAAATGAAGGCAGAAATAAAGATGTTCTTTGAAACCAACGAGAACAAAGACACAACATACCAGAATCTCTGGGATGCATTCAAAGCAGTGTGTAGAGGGAAACTTATAGCACTAAACGCCCACAAGAGAAAGCAGGAAAGATCCAAAATTGACACCCTAACATCACAATTAAAAGAACTACAGAAGTAAGAGCAAACACATTCAAAAGCTAGCAGAAGGCAAGAAGTAACTAAAATCAGAGCAGAACTGAAGGAAATAGAGACACAAAAAACCCTTCAAAAAATCAATGAATCCAAGGTTTTCTGAAAGGATCAACAAAACTGATAGACCGCTAGCAAGACTAATAAAGAAGAAAAGAGAGAAGAATCAAATACACGCAATAAAAAATGATAAAGGGGATATCACCACCGATCCCATAGAAATACAAACTACCATCAGAGAATACTACAAACACCTCTACGCAAATAAACTAGAAAATCTAGAAGAAATGGATAAATTCCTCAACACATTCACCCTCCCAAGACTAAACCAGGAAGAAGCTGAAATCTCGGAATAGACTAATAACAGGCTCTGAAACTGTGGCAATAATCAATAGCTTACCAACCAAAAAGAGTCCAGGACCAGACGGATTCACAGCCGAATTCTACCAGAGGTAGAAGGAGGAACTGGTACCATTCCTTTCTGAAACTATTCCAATCAATAGAAAAAGAGGGAATCCTCCCTAACTCATTTTATGAGGCCAGCATCATCCTGATACCAAAGCCGGGCAGAGACACAACCAAAAAAGAGAATTTTAGACCAATATCCTTGATGAACATTGATGCAAAAATCCTCAGTAAAATACAGGCAAACCAAAGCCAGCAGCACATCAAAAAGCTTATCCACCATGATCAAGTGGGCTTCATCCCTGGGATGGAAGGCTGGTTCAATATATGCAAATCAATAAATGTAATCCAGCATATAAACAGAACCAAAGACAAAAACCACATGATTATCTCAATAGATGCAGAAAAGGCCTTTGACAAAATTCAACAACCCTTCATGCTAAAAACTCTCAATAAATTAGGTATTGATGGGACATATCTCAAAATAATAAGAGCTATCTATGACAAACCCACAGCCAATATCACACTGAATGGGCAAAAACTGGAAACATTCCCTTTGAAAACTGGCACAAGACAGGGATGCCCTCTCTCACCACTCCTATTCAACATACTGTTGGAAGTTCTGGCCAGGGCAATTAGGCAGGAGAAGGAAATAAAGGGTATTCAATTAGGAAAAGAGGAAGTCAAATTGTCCCTGTTTGCAGACGACATGATTGTATATCTAGAAAACCCCACTGTCTCAGCCCAAAATCTCCTTAAGCTGATAAGCAACTTCAGCAAAGTCTCAGGATACAAAATCAATGTACAAAAATCACAAGCATTCTTATACACCAACAACAGACAAACAGAGAGCCAAATCATGAGTGAACTCCCATTCACTATTGCTTCAAAGAGAATAAAATACCTAGGAATCCAACTTACAAGGGATGTGAAGGACCTCTTCAAGGAGAACTACAAACCACTGCTCAAGGAAATAAAAGAGGATACAAAGAAATGGAAGAACATTCCATGCTCATGGGTAGGAAGAATCAATATCATGAAAATGGCCATACTGCCCAAGGTAATTTATAGATTCAATGCCATCCCCATCCAGCTACCAATGACTTTCTTCACAGAATTGGAAAAAACTAATTTAAAGTTCATATGGAACCAAAAAAGAGCCCGCATCGCCAAGTCAATCCTAAGCCAAAAGAACAAAGCTGGAGGCATCATGCTACCTGACTTCAAACTATACTACAAGGCTACAGTAACCAAAACAGCATGGTACTGGTACCAAAACAGAGATATAGATCAATGGAACAGAACAGAGCCCTCAGAAATAATGCCGCATATCTACAACTATCTGATCTTTGACAAACCTGAGAAAAACAAGCAATGGGGAAAGGATTCCCTATTTAATAAATGGTGCTGGGAAAACTGGCTAGTCATATGGAAAAAGCTGAAACTGGATCCCTTTCTTACACCTTATACAAAAATCAATTCAAGATGGATTAAAGACTTAAACGTTAGACCTAAAATCATAAAAACCCTAGAAGAAAACCTAGGCATTACCATTCAGGACATAGGCATGGGCAAGGACTTCATGTCTAAAACACCAAAAGCAATGGCAACAAAAGCCAAAATTGACAAATGGGATCTCATTAAACTAAAGAGCTTCTGCACAACAAAAGAAACTACCACCAGAGTGAACAGGCAACCTACAAAATGGGAGAAAATTTTTGCAACCTACTCATCAGACAAAAGGCTAATATCCAGAATCTACAATGAACTCAAACAAATTTACAAGAAAAAAAACAAACAACCCCATCAAAAAGTGGGCGAAGGACATGAACAGACATTTCTCAAAAGAAGACATTTATGCAGCCAAAAGACACATGAAAAAATGCTCACCATCACTGGCCATCAGAGAAATGCAAATCAAAACCAAAATGAGATACCATCTCACACCAGTTAGAATGGCAATCATTAAAAAGTCAGGAAACAATAGGTGCTGGAGAGGATGTGGAGAAATAGGAACACTTTTACACTGTTGGTGGGACTGTAAACTAGTTCAACCATTGTGCAAGTCAGTGTGGCGATTCCTCAGGGATCTAGAACTAGAAATACCATTTGACCAGGCCATCCCATTACTGGGTATATACCCAAAGGTCTATAAATCATGCTGCTATAAAGACACATGCACACGTATGTTGATTGTGGCACTATTCACAATAGCAAAGACTTGGAACCAACCCAAATGGCCAACAATGATAGACTGGATTAAGAAAATGTGGCACATATACACCATGGAATACTATGCAGCCATAAAAAATGATGAGTTCATGTCATTTGTAGGGACATGGATGAAATTGGAAATCATCATTCTCAGTAAACTATCGCAAGAACAAAAAACCAAACACCGTATATTCTCACTCACAGGTGGGAATTGAACAATGAGAACACATGGACACAGGAAGGGGAACATCACACTCTGGGGACTGATGTGGGGTGGGCAGAGGGGGGAGGGATAGCTTTAGGAGATATACCTAATGCGAAATGACGAGTTAATGGGTGCAGCACACCAGCATGGCACATGTATACATATGTAACTAACCTGCACATTGTGCACATGTACCCTAAAACTTAAAGCATAATAAAATAAAATAAAAGAAGATTCCCATTCTAGCGGCTGGTCCTGTTAAAAATCAGGTTAGTCTAATCCATGTTCTGCTGAATGGGTTCAAGATACCCAGAGCAGGTAAAAAGATGGGAAATGTTTAAAACTCCCTGTGGCATATTGTATCAGGAGGAAAGTAGATTCACTGATGGTCCATTGGGTTAATATTTGTCAAATGAAATACTATTTTGCTAAATAAGCTTCATTAGTGCTTAAATTTTAGACACAGACAAATTAATTTATATGCCTAGAAAGATACTTCTACCACCCCTATCATCTACATTATCAAAGTGCAAATTCCCCAAAGAAATGAGGGGCATCCCTTCACATCACTTGGCATAGTTTTGCTTTGTTGTATTTTAAGGTTGATCTATTATCTCTTACATACAAACTTACCACTTAACTAGCTGTGTGACCAAGGCAAGTTGCTTAACCTGTCTGAGTCTCAGTTTTTCCAGTGAAAAGGAAATAGTACCTGGTGCCTACGGAGTACCTACTGAACAGTAGCTGTCATCATCATTACCACTTTATTATTTTCACTATTTCACATCATTATTAAATAGGATTAAATCCTATTTCACATCATTATTACATAGGATTTCTTTCAAGTTGCACAAAACAGATAAAAATAATGGTTTGCCATATTGAGCGTTTCCCCCTATTTTAAAGAGGTTTCTTCATTTCTAATGATAAAGTACATGCACAATATAAAAAAAATCTTTACAGTGGAGATGCCTAGTGAAGAATAGTGAATTTTTAAGATGCAGCCAGTGCTTTCTTTAAGGCAGTGGGTAAATATGGGGGAAATGAGAGAGGAAACAACAGTGATACAATTTTGAAAGTTAGAAACTGGATGACTGATTGGGAAAGAACTATATAGATCCCAAAAAACTGAATCCTAAGTAAGCCATGGAGTAAGCAAGAAGCAACATAATTTAAACTGCAGATCTACCTTCCCAAGTCACAGAAAATGTAGTCATCAGACACATCTAGAAGTGGGAGGTAAAAGATGGAGCTAAAACAGAAGAAAAGGATAAACATCTCATTAGGAAACAGGCTCCCAGAATTCCCCCCACCCATCCTTTGCTCAGCAGGCCACTCTCTTCCCTACAACCAGCAGATGACTGGAGATTTAGTCTCAGGAAAAGTCTCTGAATTTAGGGAAGGAAACTCAGGCACATCTGAAAACACAGGGTCCTAGTGAAAGTTTACATACTGACTACTAAAACCCCAGCTCTCTTCCTGCATTTGGCTTCCCAAATGTTGGGCAGCCATGCCTTTACCATCTAGACAAAAGACTTGGAGCGGTCTTTTTTGGGGGATTCAACTAGCCTTGATGAAAGATCTAAAGATACTCACACTGGGGATTCCCCTACAGAGTGCGCAGCCCAGCCACCAGACTGAAGGCCACAGTCTACGGGCCCTGGCTATAGGCTCAGAGCCTTATTATCCCACTCTTAAATATCATCAGACCACCAAAGATGACCACATACCTGGGAAAGCCTGTAATGAACATGGAGGTAAGAGTGAACATGCAGGAATTTAAAAAAAAAATCTTTAATATTCTTAGAAAGATATAACAAGTTATAGCAGCCTCAAAACAATAAGAGAATGTTTTTTCTTTAGGAAGACAGCATTGGGATGGTGGAGGAAGATGCTCTTGAAGAATTAGAAATTGATTGAAAACATAAATGAAAAACTCAATTAAAGGCTTATAAGATAAAACTTAGGCTATCTCCCAGCAAGTGAAGCAAAAAGACAAATAGTAAAAAAAAGGAAAAAAAAAAAAACAATGGACGAGAGGTCAACACTGGAATCCCGAGAGTTCTAGAAAGACAAATTAGAGAATAGGAGATGTAATCATTAATAAAATTCAGGAAAATTTCCCAGACTTCTAGATTGGTCAAACTATCAGTTGAGTATGAGGGCAGAATAGAAACATTTTCAGTCTTAGAAAAATCTGAAAAATTCCAAAATATTCAGTTTCCTATGTGCCCTTTCCCAGGAAACTAATAAAAGATGTGTTTCACTAACAACAACGATAAAACCAGGAAAGAGAGGAGTGAAGGGAATTCACAGTGTGACCCCAAGATGGCAGCTGTGCATGAGGCACAGAGGTCAGTTTCCAACTGGAGCACATCAGAGGCAGAGAGTGAGATGTACCCTGAAAGATGGGATTAACAGAAGATGTGACATGTGTGATGGTCCTGATAGTGTATTTGGTCTACCATCAAGAAGAGGATTAATAAAGCTGGGCATGGTGGCTCATGCCTATAATCCCTGCACTTTGGGAGGGCAAGGCAGAAGAAATGCTTGAGGCCAAGAGTTCAAGACCAGCCTGGGCAATGTAGTGAGAAACCTGTCCCTATAAAAAATTTTAAAATAAAAAATTTTAAAAATTAGTAGGGTAGTGCATGCCTGTAATCCCAGCTACCTTGGAGGCTGACGCAGAAGAATCACTTGTACCACCCTGGAGTTCAAGGTTACAGTGAGCTATGACTGTGCCACTGCACTCAACCCTGAGCTACAGAGCAAGACATTGCCTCTTAAAAAAAAAAAAAAAAAAAAAAAGTAAAAAGAAGTGGATTAAATTGATGATAAATACATAGAAAAGTAACTAAAAAGGAAACTAAAGAACAATATTAACTCCAGGAAAACCAAAAAGTTATAAAGTAGAGAAAAAGGATTCCAGTTTTCTACAAGATTCAACTGTGAATAATAATTAAGTGCTTATAATCATAGAAACCATAAATACTGATCTAACTATGGTGGGGGATGAGGAAAGAGCTGATAAGTGGTCCAGGTTTAGAGAAGAAAGAGAGTAAAATAGTTTCCTAAGGAAACTAAAGAACAATATTAACTCCAGGAAAAACAAAAAGTTATACAGTAAAGAAAAAGGATTCTAGTTTCCCACAAGATTCAACTGTAGGTAACATTTACATGCTTATAATCATAGAAGCCATAAATACTGACCTAAATATGGTGGGGGATAATGAAAGGGCTGATTTGTGGTACAGGTTGAGTGAAGAGAGTAAAATAGAGTAAATCCTCATCTTTTATAAAGGAAATAGATAGGAAAAGGAAATAGATAATCCCAAATTACAGAAATCAAGAAGTAGCAAAGCAAGCATGCTATTTAGAGTTATGGAGGTAAGCACCAAAAGACCAAGCTAAACAGTTAGAAGCTGTTAACTCTGGGGAGCTGAAAATGTGTGTGTGTGTGCATGGCTGGGGGAAGCTGCTCTTCTTTCAGCAGAAGCCTTGTAGAATTATTTGACTGTTTAAAAGAAGGCATGCGTATGTTTGATAAAAATGAAAAGTAAAATTTAAAAATAGACAATCTAGAAAAGTGGGAGAAAAGTTACTAAATTAAAACCATCCAAAGATAGCCAGGGTAACCTTTTGGCATGTGAAAGGTCCAAACTGGATAGATTAGAAAGGTAAGATGAAGTCTGACCATGAGGCCTTGAATGCCAAGCTCAGGAATCTGAATTTTATTGGGGTCAGTGGGAAGCTATGGAATGTCTCTCAAAATGGTGCTTCAGGGAGATGAATTTGACAGAGGCTGCCTCAAGGGATAAGACGGGGCAAGGGGAGATGTGAGGATAACTGTCTGCAGACTTTCCCAATCTTTATGGATGGATGGATTTTTCTCTTCCCTTCCTAAATGGATTCCCTTTCAACATGCCTTCTTTTCTGAGCTCTTTAAGGACTATCAGGGTTCTCTCTTGTCAGGTCACTGAAAAGCAGCACATTATTCTGATGCTTAAACTCTAGTCCCTTCTGAAGTCAGAGAGAGTGAAGGACCATTCCTGACAAGAACCAACTACCCCTGCATAATTGCCAAGGCAGCTGCAGAAACAGAATAGGATGCACCGTCGCTGGCAATCAGGAGTTCCACTTCTGAATGAAGGCATTTCTAGTGAATGGTGCATGCACGACACATCATGAAATCTGGAAACAGTGAATGAATAGTGGATGGGTGAAGAGATACATGGTAGATGTGCCATGCAGACAGAGAGCAAGATCATTATAATAAGACCAGAAATAACGGGTGAAGAGGAAATATGGTTATGTCATTTTCATTTATAATTAAGTGTTCCTAAAGACTATTTGTGAGAAATTTGTGTATACGCTGTTCAAAAACAGCACAAGAATCACACCAAAGAGGAACTGAAATGTCCTTTCATTTCTGCATCCATCAAATGGATCTGCTAGCCGAATGCAGGGATGGACATGGAGAGGCCTGTGCTTTAGGCTCTGTTCTACCATGTACCAGCTTTGTGACCTTGGATAAGCCTCTCACTCTTTCTGAGACTCAGTATTCTCATCTGTGAAATGGAGATAGTAATAGTTGCTCTGCCTGCTTCACTACAGAGGGGTGTAGGATACATGCAGAGGGTCTAGGATTGTTTAAAATATCAAGGGGTTGAAAACAACCTAAATATCCAGTAGTTGAGGGCGGATGAAATCACTTAAGGCTCACATATACAGTGAAATGCTATGCCGCTGTGAAAAGTAACAAGGGAACTCTCATATATTGATATCAAAAATCTTCAAGTTTCAGATAAAGCAAAAAGCAGAAATAGATAAGTAGATAAGCAGTTGACTCTTGAATAACACGGGTTTGAATTGCCTGTTTCCACTCACACGTGGATTTGCTTTCAATTAAAGTTACGTCAGTGTTAAGTGAAATAAGGCAGCCACAGAAAGACAAACATCACATGTTCATACTCATATACGTGAGCAAAAAGAACGGATCTCATGGAGGTAGAGGGTGGAAGGATAGTTACCACAGGTGGGGAAGGTTGTGGGGGAGACAAAAGAGGCTGGTTAATGAGGACAAACATACAGTTAGATAGAAGAAATAAGACATAGTGTTCAACAGCAGATTAGGGTGACTATAGTTAATAACAAAGTATTTTCTATTTCAAAATAACAAGAAGGGAGGACTTAAATGTTCCCAACACACAGAAATGATAAATACATGGAGTGATAGATATCCTAAATACCCTGACTTGACCATTATACATCCTATGTATGTAACAAAATATTACCATGCATCCCATAAATATGTACCAATATTGTATCAGTTAAAATATTTTAAGTTACACTGAGGGTGCCTGCGTTTCCTGCCTCCCCTTCCACCTCCTTCAACTCTTCCACCTCTGCTACCCCCGAGACAGCAAGACCAATCCTTCCTCTTACTCCTCCTCCTCCTCAGCCTATTCAATGTGAAGATGATGAGGATGAAGACCTTTATGATGATCCACTTCCACTTAATGAACAGTAAATATACTTTCTCTTCCTCATGATTTTCTTAAAAACATTTTCTTTTCCCTAGCTTACTTTCTTACACATATTTAATAACATACAAAATATTACTCAACTGTTTATGTTATTTGTAAGGCTTCTGTCAACAGTAGGCTATTAGGATAATGGCATATTTGGGGGGAGTCAGATGTTACACACGAGTTCTACTCATGCACATCACGCGCAGGACTTAGCCGAAGACTTGAGGATGCCCTGCAGATCTCTGGAGTGTGCTCTGTCTCTTTCTGTTGGAGCTACCTTGTCTTTGGGAACTCTGCTCTACAAATCATAGACACAGTAGCCTCTGAAATCTTGATTTTTGTTTGTTTAATGTGGTGAGCCTGCTGGGCTCCACCCGTGATGTGTGAGGGGTCAGCACCCCAACCCCCATGTTGTTCAAGGGTCAGATAGACAGATGACAGATAGATAGATGGATGGATGGATGGATAGATAAGATAGATAGATAGATGTGGACAGACAGATCTATTTCCAATCATTGGTAAGTAAAACATGAACCACATAATTTGTGCTGTGTCTCCAATCTACTTTGTGGAATCGCTCAGATGTTGAAGCAAGAGAAAGAAGGCACATTATCTGTCCTGCCCAGGAACTCAGCAAAGAAGGGCTTGGCCAGGAGGCATTTTGAGTGACAGCCTTACAGTCCAACAGATCTGACAAACTTGCCCCAAGCTGAGGAGACTGGCTTGAGGCCAGTGCAGGTGGCCAGAATGTCCCTGCACCGAGTGGACACTGCACTGGGGAGGGTGGCGGGACTGACCCAACTGAGCATCACTTACAGCAACTTTGACATCTCCCCCTCAGGTCAACCGTATCCTTGCTGTGGCATGAGACCTTCCTGTGCCACGGGGACCTGTAGGTTCACAGAAGCCAATCCCCTTCCTGACGGGACTGCTGTAACTTTCAGCACAGGCTGACATGCAGAAGGAAAGGACTAGGTCAAACTAAGATGAGGCCCAAACCCCCTAAGCCAACCACAGCAGAGGTTAGGAGAGGAGGACGGACCAATAGAGACCTCCTCACTGGTACTCCCCACCAAATATTCTCTACAAAATGCCTAAATCTTGTTGATTTTACTTCAAAACATCTGAGCTGCTAAGTGCAGCCTTGCAGACCTCATGACCCGGCTCCCACCCACCTCTTAATACTCCCTTTTCCATACTCAGCGGAAAACACCCAGCCTTTTTGAGAACAAATCTTTTAAAGCAGACCTACTGTAAAGCCACAAGGTAAGCCTCAATACATTCCAAAGAATCTTCATACATACTTTGATCTCTAAGATGCAATGAAATTAGAAATCAATAATAAATCAATAACACTTTTGGCGGAATCCACAGAAGGGCATCACCTTGGTAGTGGGAGTAAATTAGTCTTGATTAAACGCAGCTGTTAACCCAAGCCAACAGAGCTTAAAAGCAAGTCTTCAAAGGATAAAACTGATTCCAGGTAATTCAACTACTTGTCAGAGCTCTAACCCTATTAAAGAGAACACAATGAAATCCAGTACCCAACACATGAAATTTACAATGCCCAGCATCCAATCTAAAATTACCAAGCATGCAAAAAAGCAGGAATATAAGATCCATAAACCAGAGAAAACCCAATCAATAGAAATGAGAGAGACGGTGGAACAAGCAGATAAGGACATTGAAACAGCAATTAGAAAAAGAAACGAGGTGTAAGAATTGGGAGGCTACAAAGTTGTAATCATTTGTTGACATTATGACTGCATAAAACATTAATGGAATCAACAGATAAATCCTAGGAGGTAGGCGCTTCTATTATCCACACTTGAATGATGAGTACGTTAAGGTGGAGAAAGGTTAAATAACTTGCTCAAGGTCACACAGCTAGAACATGGCAGAGCTCAGACTCTGGAGCCAGCAGTCTGGCTCCCAGGATAGCATACAGAAGTCCGGAAAGGCTTATAAAAATTAGTTACATGTTTTATGCCAGCATTGAATAATCTAAAACATATAATCAAATCATTCACAATTACAGCCAAACCTATATTGTGTCTGGGAATCACCATAAAGAATACACAAGACCTTATGTATAAGGTCACCATATGATTTCTCTCCTAAGCTGAGAGAGAAAGGGAGGGCTCATGGGAAGGGACATGAGGATGATAAGGAAACTGGGACCGTCTCAAGCAAATTGAGATGTACGATCTCTCTACTCATGAAAACAATTGTAAAATTTCACTAGAGCTCCTAAAAGAAGCTCCAAATAAGAAATATTCTACATTTTTTGATAGGATAGGCAACTACTAAATGAATCTGTAAGTTTAATGCAATCATAATAGAAATTTATTCAGAAACTTGATTAACTTATTCTAAAATATATATGCCCTCCAATGTCTTCCAGGCTGCAAATTCTGTGTCTGTGCATTTGTAATCAGTCCATCAGAAGGACCAGACATCTGTAGCTGACTTTCCCATTTCTCATCTGGTCACTTTGGCCCCACAGGATAGCTACCTGTGACCAGAGCTGACACCTTCCTCCCTTAATCCACCAGCTGTACAGAAAAAGTGGCAGCCAGAGGCTCATATTTGTCGGTCTCTCCTTTCCTCCAAGAATCAGTCATACAAGTCTTTCTGAATTAGTTGCACAGCCACTCATTCGAGGTAGAGTTACAGAGTAGTCAGGTGGATTTTCTATCTGAAAGCAGAATGCAAACTTCCAAATGCTTGATGGAAGAACTGGCTGCTTACCTGAAACTGTGAACATCTCAAAAGCAGAAACTTAAAACTGCGTCACACAGAGGAATCACCACACAAAACATTCCCTAAAGAAGGAAGCAGAAGGAACAGGGATGGGGGAGAACAGAGAAGGGCAAGGAGAAGACAGAAAATGAGAGAAAGGGGAGGAGACAGGGGAGGCAGTGGGAAGAACACAAAGAGTCATCTTGGGAGGTGAAGGCCTTCTCATCCTAACAGCTCCCTGCAGTCCCAGCCACAGTCCCGGGCTATGGAGGCAGACACACCAACTCCACCACTCGATGCTGGTGTGGCTGCGGACAATTTTCCCAATGCCTCCTGGCCTCTCTTTCCCCTTCTGTTGGATGGAAGAGTCCAGACAAGGGCCATATCAATTTGGGACTGAGGGTTGGCATGGATATCTGCAGAAGATTTCAGTAAAGGAAGGGGTCACCCAGCAGGTACTCCCAGTCCCAGCATACTCTGCAGCCCAACGGTGAATTCAAAGTCCCTCTGGGGACACCACATGGCCTGCCAGACTTGGGCTCCACAGTGGGCCTCTTGGGCAGTGTCAGCAAGATGCAGCTCCATCTTTCCAGCTTCATGAACTCCAAGGGACCTCCCACTCTCAAGACATGATTGTGATGGTTAATTTTATGTGTCACTGAACTGGGCTAAGAGGTGCCCAGGTGGCTGGTAAAACATTATTTTGGGGTGTGTCTGTGTGGATGTTTCTGAAAGAGATTAGCATCTTGTTATTTTATTATTTTATTTTAATGAGACAGAGTCTCGGTCGGTCGTCCAGGCTGGAGTGCAATGGCGCAATTTTGGCTCATTGAAACCTCTGCCTCCCAGCTTCAAGCAATTCTCCTGCCTCAGTCTCCCAAGTAGCTGGGATTACAAGTGTGCACCACCACACCCAGCTAATTTTTTTGTATTTTTAGTAGAGACTGGGTTTTAACATGTTGGCCAGCTGATCTTGAATTTGACCTCAAGTGATTCACCCGCCTCGGCATCCCAAAGTGCTGGGATTACAGGCATGAGCCACGGTGCCAGCCTGGAAGAGATGAGTATCTGAATCAGCAGATAGTAGAGATTACCCTCCCCAATGTTGGTGGCTGTCATCGAATCCCCAGGGCCTGAATAGAACAGAAAGTTGGGAAAAGGGTGAATTCTCTTTCTCTTCCGGAGCTGGGATATCCATCTTCTCCTTGCCCTTGGACATCTAAAGTGCTCCTGGTTCTCTGGCCTTGGGTCTCTCAGACTTACACCAGCAGCTCCCCTAGTTCTGAGGCCTTGAGACTGAATTATACCACCAGGTTTGCGGGTTCTGTAGCCTCCAGATGGCAGACAGTGGACCTTCTCAGCCTCTATAACTGCATGTTCCAATTCCCTGAATAAATCTGAAAAAATCTCCTCCTATCTATCTACCCTCTTACCTCCCTATCTATGTATCTATCTGCTATGGGTTCTGTTTCTCTGGAAAACCATGATTAATATCATGATCAAGCAACTCTTAGTTGTGGGCATTCACAGAACGAGAGCTGTCATTTTTCCCTCTGCAATTATCCTGCAAATAAAACATCTGAACAACCGCCATGCAAGTGCTAAGAGATGTAATCGATCAAATTCAGGAGGAACATTAAAGCTGTCAACTCAAGAGTGTCTATTCTCTTGGCACCTGCCACAATGAAATGGCCGACTGTGAAGATGGACTGTCATGAAAAGGTCACAGATGACAAATGCCTCGTGTCTGCCTTTCTTTGTGAGGCCTGGATCACGTAGCATGTGGAGCTGCTCCATTAGTGGGAAAGAAGACGAGCACTACAGCCCACTCCAAAGTTAAAAGGCACCTCACAAAAGCCCTGTAACTAGTGGGCTATCACTGTCACAAGCCACATTTCACAGATGCAGGAGCCAAGGCACGCTCACCCTGCATTGTGAAACCATGGGAAATAACCGCCATTGTTTGGTGAAAACATTCTTTGACAGTTCTGATCAGGGCATGTGGTCAGGAGGTGGTGTGACAGTGACACAGAACAGAGAGCTTCTGCTTCCCGTGCTGGGTCTGCCACTGCCTGGCTACATAAAGGAACCTGGGCGAAGTCACTAACATCTCTGAGACTCAGTTTCCACATCCATAAAACAGGGACGTTGATGGTTCTTACTTGTGGTGGAAGTTGGGAAGGGTAAAGCATGTAATGAACAAGGCACAGGTCAGTATAGCAGCAAGAATGCAGAGTCTGAAGACCAGTCGTGACCCTGGAGTCACTTCACCTCCCTGTACCTCAAAGCCCTTATCTCTCATAGAGCAATGACAGTGGCACTTCTGTTACAGGCTGTGTGAGGATTAGAGTGGATAGATGGAAAGCACTTAGCTCTCAGTACACCTCACTAGCATATATATGGACTATGGACATACATATAGGTACTCATATGTAGAACTCACATGTGGATGGCTCATATGTACACACACACATACATACATATACCTCTATCGTATGCATATATTAATATATATACATACAGTGTCTACCAAGGTGCCTGGCACTAAAACGCAAACAAAGGAAGTAGGCACCATTCTTATTAAAATGCCATCACATTTTAGGAAGGGAGGTAAGTTCTTCAATCAGTGCATAAGACAAAAACGAAATCTAAATCACCCTTGGAAACACCTTGGAGAGCAACAACTGGCCAGTTCTTCCTCCAGTGCTGGAGCAGATGGCTGTGTCTTCAGCCCAGGACCAGGTGAAGGGTCTAGCTTGTGCATGTGGGCTGGGAGGTAGGACAAAGGTCTGCCCCAAATGTAAACCATAGACATGAGCTCAGGGCAGGGGAGGGTGCCAAGACAGGCTCAGGGCATTGCAGACCTCCAGCTCCCTTCACCTCCCCATCCCTTGAAGGCCTCTGCTCACCTCCCAGGCTCACCTGCCGGGCTCACCTGCCTGGTTCAGCTGGTCTTTACTCTTGCAGCGTGTTCTTCTTGGTCAGTGTCTTATGTCTTGCTCCTTTTTCCTTTTCTTTTTTTTTTTTTTTTTGCCAAATGCCTCCTGTGGAACTTCCTTAAGTATCTATGAATGTGTGGCAAGTAGACTAGGATGGGTAAGCTGGAAAGACCCAGGTTTCCTATCCAAATGGACGTGGCTTTGAGTTGCAAGAGTCACAACCCATTAGTTGGATGGTCCTGAACAAGTCACACAGCCCCCAGTGATGCTGTCCCTCATGTGTCAACTGGATAAGGTGGCCCAGTACACAAGGATTCCCAAGGCAGGCTGTCATTGTGTGTGCCCTCTGCATCATGGAGATCCTCAGATGTCTCTTCCCCATCTGCCTTGGATCCCTTGTTCATGTTATGGAAGAAGTGATAACTAGTATGTTACATGGGACCAGGATGCCAGTGTGAACTAGGAGACACTGCACAGAGGGCTGAGGCAGACCAGGTCCCATCACATGCCTGGTGGTGGACCCTGGGCTGGGCACTAACCTTTTTGAGCTTAGAATGGACTTCAAGATGCCATTCTTGCAGCAATGTGATGAGTATGGAGATTCACGCTCATGAAGAGCATCAGCTGTAAGACTGGTATCTGACAGGAATTTGATAGAGACTAGACACAGTTTTTCTTTTAGTATCACTGTGTCATATTAGTACAGTGTACTAAGCCTATTTAATTATACAAAGAGCCCTCTTTTATACACTATGATGAAAGCAGAGGCCTGGGAGAGTAATAAACTTCTAAAGGACCATGGGTGACAAAGAAAATGAATGAGGTTAAGATATTTTCAGTAATAATGCTGAGTACTGGAATTAAAAACTAAAGAATAATTGAAAGAAACTAAGAAAGAAAAGTGGTAATGTGAGATATAAAGCACTGAAAATGTCTAAATAAAACAAAAATCCTGAACAGGGCAAAAACAAAGAGAAAAAAACTAAAAGGCAAAGAAAACAATATTCTGTACTTGCCACCAAGAGAAAATGTAAATGGTTGTGAAGATAAGTAATCTGAAACTTAAGTTACAGAAACTTTAAATTATTAGGTGCCTTAAAGGAATATGATTATAGGGCCTGAGTCATGTGACAGGCAGCTGTAACCTAAGCGGCTGAACTTTTGTTTCTCTGATTACAGATTAGCCTTCTTCCCAGACTACATTATTTTGTAAAATGCTGTAAATGACTAGAGGGCGCCAGAAAAGACCCCTTCCCTCTGCACTGTTGATCTTCCTTACAGATTAACTTCCCTCTTCTCTCACACACAGACTTCATGGCTATCACATTTGCCAAGACGGAATGTTAAATATACTCTTTTAAATTGGAAAGGAAACGAAAACAAGCCATACAGAAAAGAAAACAAACCGTAACTAATTAAACTGTTGTAACTTATAAACTAGCCTTGTGTAGAAAATGTTGTAATCCTGTTAAATCTCTTTATTTTATTCTTATACAAGCAAGACCTTAACTTTTAGCTTTAGCGTGCTGACCCCATTTCTCTGCGGTCTGTATTTCCCAAACGGCAATTCCCAGTTTTTCTCTTGGATAAACTCTTGAAAACTGGGTTCTGATTCTTTCAATTATTTCAGGATGACATGGTTTTAAAAAAAGAAAAAGAAAAAACTACAGGAAGGAATGTGCTTAGTTCCTTCTATTAAAATGACTAGTTTTGGCCAAAAAGGAGATGGGTCTGCTGGTTCAGGATCCGTAAGGGATTGGAGCTGGGCTTTAGGAAGAGGTTGCTCCCTGCTGCAAGGAGAATTAATTGGAAGGAAGAGGGAACAAACAGGAAAGAGTAGGGAGCCTGCTGCATGTATCTATGCAAAAATGGTGCTAGGCAAGGCTGGAAACAGAGGAGATGGATTAGAAATAATTATGAGAGGCCGGGCATGGTGGCTCACGCCTATAATCCCAGCACTTTGGGAGGCCGAGGCGGGCGGATCACGAGGTCAGGAGATCCAGACCATCCTGGCTAATGCGGTGAAACCCTGTCTCTACTAAAAATACAAAAAATTAGCCGGGAGTAGTAGCGGGCGCCTGTAGTCCCAGCTACTTGGGAGGCTGAGGCAGGAGAATGGCGTGAACCCGGGAGGCAGAGCTTGCAGTGAGCCAGGATTGTGCCACTGCACTCCAGCCTGGGTGACAGAGCGAGACTCTGTCTCCAAAAAAAAAAAAAAAAAAAAAAAAAAAGAAATAATTATGAGACAGAGCAGGAGGAGACGAGGTAGGGGCCAGGGAGGGGTTATGGAGGGTGTTGAGGTCCAGCCTTGAGCCACTGGGTGGGAGCGGTGCGGTCTGCACCTGATGTCCCCATGGGTTACCATCTCTGCATCACCTTCTCACTCAGACATTCATCCTGTGACTCTGCTCCAAGGGTGCTGGTGAGATGGCCCTTAGCTTTCTCAGCCTGGCCTTTGAGCAGGTTCCTCCACGGGGCTGCTCCCCCATCCACTGGCCATGACCCAGCACTCCAGTAAGGCAGCCTTGTCACAGGGCTTCAACCCTCTGGGTTCCCTCTGTGCACTGTGGCCTCCAGCACAGTCCAGGATACCCATTCCCTCTGCCAAACCAAACCCCAGCTTTCCCTTCACAAGCAGCTCTTCTCCGACAACAGTCACCTTCACTCTGGCGGGTTTCACCTCTTACAGAGGATCACAAAGCAGCCGGTACTCAGGGAAATGCTCCCTCTACCCCCGAGTATGGCTACTTCCTCCCTGTGCCAGGAGCTCAATGTGCACAGGACCCGACCTCTCTCCAGCTCTCTCCTCTTCTTGCTGTAAACTGGGAATAAACTGGGACAGCTTGGCTTACCTCTCTCGCTTCTCTTTGGGACCCCAACTTCTGCTCTGCTTCCCTAGGGGTAGGCTGCCCCCCACAAGGAACCCCCTAGTGACACTGTGATTGCTTGATGGAGTTTGTTTAATACTCAGGTAGTTTAGGAAGCCCAGTGGCTCTCACATTGATGTATATCTCTTGAATTAGCCTTTAACAATAGGTAAGATGACATTTTGCCTCTATCTGCCTAATCTTTGTCTTGCTGTTCAATTTCATATAGAACCTGGGTGAGAATAGGGTTGCCACTTCCTGGATCCCTTAAGACATCAACAACCTGGACACACCTGATGGGAGACACTGAGCCCAGAGCAGTTTCTATGGCTCTTGGCGAGATCGTGCATTCGTGTTCTGAGAAATACACCGGCACTAAAATAAAAACAAGCAAAAAAGCTAGAAAAAGGAGACAGGTGGAAGGTAAGAACAAAAACAGCAGCTCTAAAGCATGGCTTCATACATTCATTCACTGAACATACTCCTGTTGGGAATCCACCCTTTGCAGGGTGCTGGGGAAGGCAGACAGACACTCAGGCTGCGGTCACACAGCGTCTACTCTTAAGCAGCACCTTTGCAGAGGAGACCCTGCCTCCTCTCCTACCTACAGTCCACCCTGCTGCCAGCCTACTTCACCTGTAAGGTCACATTATCTAATTTCTTTCCTTAATAGCACTGATGACAGTCTATCATTTTAAGTGTTTATGATCCATTTCCCCCAACTAGAACGGGCTCGCCTCTACTGGAGAGCAGGGACCAGGGCTGCCTCAGTCACTGCTGCAACCCCAGAGTTAACTGACACAGCGCCTGGGACACTGTTGCCTCCCCAAAATACTTGTGGAACAAATTAACCATGTGATAGGTGCTATGGTAAGGAAGAGTTGGAAGTGGGGTGGAATGAGTGGGAGAATCTACGGTGTTCGGGTAAGGCTTCTTGGAAGGGGAGACATCCAAGAGCTGAGGGAACACCTCAGGACAGCAAGGACACAAGTTATTTATCCAGGTAAATAGAGGTGGAAAAGTAATTCCACAAAGACAGAAGAATACAGATTAAAGCATCCTAGGAGACTGTGTGGTGTGTGCTAGAACATCACGTATGAAATGGGGCTGGGCCAGGCACAGTGCCTCACGCCTGTAATCCCAGCACTTTGGGAAGCTGAGGTGGGCGGATCACCTGAAGTCAGGAGTTTGAGACCAATCTGGCCAACATGGTGAAACCACATGTCTACTAAAAATACAAAAATTAGCAGGTGTGATGGTGGGTGCCTGTAATCCCAGCTACTCGGAAGGGTGAGGCAGAAGAATCACTTGAACCCAGGAGGCGGAGGTTGCAGTGAGCCGAGATCACACCACTGCACTCCAGCCTGGGTGACAGAGTAAGACTCCATTTCAAAAAAACCAAAACCAAACAAACAAAAAAAAATGGGGCTGAAGGGAGAGCCTGGTGAGTTTGTGGGAACATGGAGGAGAGTGTGAGAGAGAAAAAGAATGTGATGGAGGTGAAATGGCAGGTGCACACGCCCCAGGATAGAGCCAGGCACAAATACAGCAAGTGACTCAGCCAGTGGAGGCAGCACCCGAGGTGAAGCCTGAAGGATCCGGTGAGATCCCCAGACTGAGAAGTGGAGGGAGAGGGTTCCAAACAGAATGCACAGGGGAAAGGCCCAGGGGGAGGGTCTTCCAACTCTTTCTTACCTTAGCACCTGAGTGAGTGAGCGGTTGGGTGGAGATGGATGGCACAGCCCCAAGGGCTCTGTGTGCCTGCAAATGTGTCAGCTATCAGAGCAGCCCCGCCATGTGCAGAGAGAAACAGCTGGGTGAAGCAGATGTACTGACCTTTTCCACCAGGTCTTCAGAGGCCTGTTCCTCACAGAGGTGAATTTTGTCTTCGATGCACTTCTTCAGAAGCTCTCCCTTGCTTTTACTCTTGGACCGTGACTTTCTCACCTTGGACTGTTGCTGGAGAGGGGTTGGGGAAGACGTGGGTAAGAAGGCAATCACCAGCAAGTCCATGCAGCTCCCCCGAGGGCTTTGCAGGTCAAGAGAAGTTTCTGCAGCTCCCAGAACTGCAAAACTCTGCCTTAGGCCAGAGAGGGGAGGAGAGAGGTATGTTCTTCTGGAAGGAGCTCAGTTTCAGAGCCTTTGATCTTCACACAATCTGGTGGGCTCCTCCCACCAAAGGGAGCAGAGGGAGCCTGCTGGGCAGAACCTCAGCTCTGCAGTCAGAGAGCAGACCCAAGGCGTGTCCACCTCCTAACTAGCCACGGGACCTCAGACCTGTCAGCCTCTCTGAGAAGGGGACGCTATGAATGAGGTCCCTGTTCTGTTCTTGCAATGCTTCCATGACAGCGGAGAAAACAGTCTGAAAACATGGAAACTAAATAAGGACACTAGGAGCAGAGCCACGTTGGCGGACAGGACCTGGAAGCCCGGGGTATAGGCTGGGGCTGGGAGGGGATAGCCCTAGAGAGGGCCAGGCAGGGAGCCCATCAGGCACATCTCTGCCCAACTCCCAGGCAGTGATGTCAAGCCGGTAGCCTGAAACTGGCCTTGGGAGGATTTACACCATGGAAATGGGCAAATCCTACAAGTCAGGATTCCCCTCCCCACCTTCCCTCTCCCCTGAGAACTTTCCCAGCACAGGTCTGGTCAGGGCCCAGGCCACAGGGAGCCTTGAGGTCATGTTGGAACTTGGATCCCAGCTCAGAGGGCCACAGAAAGGGCTGAAGGAAGAGGGTGGTGAATCTGACTTGCACATCTCTTTAGAGTTTGCAAGTGCCTTTGAAACTCATGTCCGTGAATGGTCTGGGAGCCCTGGGGGCCACCAGCAGATGAGGTCAAACGTAGACACTACCTGTTTTGTGGGCCTAGATCAAAGAGAAGTATGTGGTGAAGAAATGCAGGGGTTCCCTGGTGGTGACACAACGGTGGGTGAGAACGGCCAAGAGATGGGGAATGCACTAAGCATCCACTAACATTGCTCCACCTGGCCCCGTATACCCTCATTACACCCATTTTACAGATGAAAACATGAAGATTAAAACAACAATTTTATCCCCAGGCCTTGGTGCTTAGGAAACTGAGAGCAGGCTCTCCCACCACCTTCTCTGCCGCTATCTCGGGACTGAGCAAGCGAAGGGAGCTGCGGCTCCATCCGTGCAAAAGCCTGACCGTGCTGGCCCAGCCTTCCCTCTGGAGAATGTGGAGCGAGCACCTTCGCGAAAAGGAAGATGACATCTGCCTCCTCTGAGGCAGTGGCCACAGCCATTTCCATCTGAAAACCAAGCACCTTGGGTGACTCTGAAGGCAGAAACTTCACTCCTGCCGGGACTCACCAGCTTCAAGGCAGGGGAACCAGCGGCTTATGGACTCCCTCCCCTCGCTTCGGTGAAGTGAAAATTATTTTCCCCCATTGTTCAAAAATATTTAAAATTTTTGATAATTTACTCCTTACTCTTATTCTGTATCTCCCACATCCTTGTAAGAACAGAAGTAGGGAAAAAAACAACAGTACTTAAAAAAAAAATTAAAAGAATGTCAAAGATTCCAAGTTGTTTCTGCATCCACTGGTTTACATTCAGAAAGGATATGTCTGAGTTTTTTTCTTTCTCTAAAGGAAAAGAAGTGAGTTTAAAGTCAGGAAACACCAGCTCCCAGCCCAGTTCTCTACCTCCTATAGGGCCACTCACTTTTCCTCTGCTGGGCTGTTTTCTCATCTGTAAAATGGGACACCATATTACCTCTTAGCACTGCTGTGAACTTCAGGTGAGATCATGTAAGCTTCAGTAATTTTAATATGTTTTCAGTCTCAACTATTATTACTTTAAGAGAAGCCCCGATGTTTTGCACACATCTGGTGCTTGGCTGGTGGGATGTTTAAGCCAACAAAATTTACTGTGCACCTACTACGCACTTAGCACCCTTGAGTGGTGAATGGGCCGGGGAGCTTATTTTTAGTGGAAGCCCAGACAAAGGGGAAGTCAAGGAACCAGCACATTTCAGATAATGATAAAGAAAATAATGAAACCCAGCATGTGATAAAGAATGCCTAGGGAGAGGGTAATTTTAGACAGGTGCTCAGGGAAGGCTTCCTAGTGGAGGTGGCATTTGAGCTGAGACCTCAATGGCCTGCAAAGCATATATGTGGCAGAGAAAACAGAAGTTCGAAGGCCTTATCTTATGTTGGGAGCCCCAGAAGCGGAGCCTGAGGCAGGGATTAGGTGCAGGTGGTTTCCTGAAGGAGGTCTCTCTAGGATCAACCTGTTGGGGAACAAGGGAACAGGACAGGAAAGGGAAGAGCCAAGCAAGGCTGTGGTCTCAGGTAAAGTTGAGCCTAAACTGGTCCCTGGGGGCTTTGGAGCAAAAACTGTACCAAAGAGTTGTCTGCCCTCGGGCACATAATAGCTGCTCATTAAAAGGCAGCTACCAGTCATCATCCTTTAAGACCCTGTGCAAGAGCCCCTCTTTCCCTGACCCACCTGAGTTGAGATGAGCATCCCTCCTCTATGCCATATAGAAAGGCCTTTTGTACCCAGAGTCAGTCATTAGCTGTGGCTGGAGGAGGGGGCAGGAGAGACAGAGTAATATCTCAGGCCAGGCAGCTTCCCTCAGGAGATTGTGGCTGCGCAAGGCTGACACAGCTGCTGGTGGATGGTGCAACAGCCCAGGCAACAGGATCAGGGCACAGCACCAGCAGTGTCCACTATAGACTTTAAAGTTGGGACAGCCCTGGAGATTCCTGGAATAGCTGGACACCAATGCAGCCAGAGAGGAGAGGATAGGGGAGCATGAGGTGAGATGGGCTCAGGCTGGGGAAGAGGCCAGACCCTGTAGGGCCAGCAGCTGGGAGACGGCCCTGCTTCTGTAATCGGCCACTGACAGGTCCATCCTACCTGCAGCTCAGGGGCAGCCACGGCCTGGTCCAGCTTCACGAACTCTGCTTCTCGCCACGCAGTCTGAAATTGCTGCAGCAGAACTCGGGCCCGGATCTTGGGGAGGGCCAAGCTCCTGTCCATCTGAGCAAAGCAGCCATGGACCTCCTGCCTCATCCTGAGCAGCTCCTCTTCAGACAGGGAGAAGACTGAGGAGCAGAGCTTCCTGGGAGGAAGAACAGAGACACACTCTTAACACAGAGAAAGCCTGGGGGCTGGGCTGGGGTGAAGAAGCCAGAGATGCAAAGCTCATTCCTCATATCCATGTCTGCAGAAAAAGCACTGGCTCCTTAATCATGCATTCCTGCCACAGGCATTCCTTGAGCACCTAATGCATGTCGTGCTGCATAGGACATTGTATTGGAGCTAGGAATGAGAGCTGAATGAGGCCAGGCTGTGAGGGTGCCTTTGAGGAGGCAACAGGCCTTCCAGTGCCCACGACCTTGCAATTAACCTGGTCTCACTTCAGAAACAGACGTGTAAACAAAGCACTGTCTGTGGAGCCTGGCCAGCAGCATTCTCTATGTAGGACCAATGGACAGAGGAGAGACACACAAAACTCAGCTCAGGGAGGTCAGGGAAATGAGAGTCCCTTATGACTGGTTCCAAAGGGTAATGACTGACAGCTGTCATTCAGTGAAAATCGATTCCATGCTGGGAACCATGCTGAGTGACTTAGTGTTATGGGTTGAATTGTGGCTCCCAAAAAGATATATTCAAGTCCTAACCTGGGACCTGTGAATGTTGGTTTATTTGGAAATAGGGTATTTACAAATGTAATTAAGAAGTGAGCTAAGATGAGGCCATATTGGAGCACAGTGGGCCCTTAATGCAATATAACTGGTGTCCTTATAAGAAAAGAGACAAACACACAGAGAGGCCATCTGACATGGAGGCAGAGATTGGGGTGAGACGTCTACAAGCCAATGAATGCCAAGGATTGCCAGCAACACCAGCAGCTAAGAAAAGGTATGGAACAGATTCTCCCCTGGTGCCTTCAGAGGGAGCATGGTTCTGCCAATGCCTTGATCTTGGACTTCCTACCTTCAGAACAGTGGGAGAATATATTTCTGTTGTTTTAAGCCACCAGTTTGTGGTACTTTGTTATGGTAGTGTTAAAAAACAAATGCAATGACATACATCATTGCTGTTCCTTACACCAAATTACAGACAAGGAAATGGATGAACAGTCCCTCTTCCTTTCCAGCAAGGCCCACAGCCCACTCTAATGGAGAGAATGGCCATACAATTGCTTTCTCATCCTCAAGGGGGCTGGTTCTGGCCCACAAGATGTAAGAGGAAATCTGCTCAGAAAGTCTGGACAGAATTATTCGTTGAACAAAGATTAGCTGTAGATGTGTTTGAATGTTCTGGTAATGTTCTGTCAATGCAGCCAGCATTGACCGATGCTTTAAAATTCAGAGTTATCAGCAGAACACCCAACGTGGTTGGCCAGAGTCAGGTTTACCATACCCAGATCTCAGTGTGGGAATGTGGGGCTGTGGATCTGCTAGAAAGGTCTTTCGTGGAAAGAGAATGAGACCTTCAGAGACCACGGGGGCCCTCTGCTGACAACACTCTGAGGCCTGACCCCCAGGTCATGTGACACCCGTCTTGGGTTCCTCACTTCATGGGGCCCAACGATTTTTAAAGCAACCTTTGGAAACTGCAGCAGCCCCCTTGCACCTTCCCTTGTGCAAGGCCTTTGCCCCGCTGTTTGCTGATTACGCCGAATCCAAAGTGAAAGCAACTCTGAGATGACTCTCAGTCATTATTCCTGCCACTTTCAAACCACATCGGCCCTGAGCACTCTTGTCTTAATCCTCTGTTACGTAAGTGCCAAGAGAATACAGAAATACAGGAGGCGAGATCTTTGCCCTGAAGGAGTTTGAAATCAAGACAGGAACTTCCGAAAGAAGGCTCAAAGACACACTTTCTCTTGCAAAGATATTCCTCATTAATTCCTACTTTAGCCAACCAGTTTTATAGTAACCCTATCTTGGTTGAAATTGGAAAGCTTCTAAAAATGTGTTTCAAATCTATTGTGCAAAACCATTTTTGCATAATGCCTCGGAAATAAAGGCTGCAACCTTTTAGAATCTTAAATAAGCAAAGTATATGAGCAGACTCACATTGCGTACACTGTGAGTCGATCCTCTTTAACCCTTGGAAAAATCATACACTTCTCTGATAGCCAAGTGAGAGTTCTCTTTTTCCCATTAAATGGCTAAATCAGCAGTTGCTTTAGTAACACTCCCTGCAAAACGAATCCAAACGAAGTTGAAGAAAATGACCAGCTGGTAATAGGAATGCCAAAGTTAATTCACTTGCTACGAAGAGTCCAAAGCCAGTTTGAACATGAGAAGAGAATTTTCTGGAATGTAGGCTAAGCTGAATAAATACTGTTGAGGGCAAATCATGGGAATAAGAAATGACATTTAAGGATCTGATTTTTATGGACTAAGAGAAGACAGAATCTTGTTTTCCTTGTCAAGAAAGCAAAAGCTAACAAGGATTAAAAAATAAATGAGGCCAGAATCACAGAAGAGAGAGATGGGAAAGGGCCAAAGGTCACTTAACGCAAACCAAGATAGTATCAATCTTTGCAAACACCTGGGGACCTATTTTCCTGGTAGCAAGGTCGGATCCTGGGGATGAAAACTGTGTAGGAAAGGAAAGGACATTAAATCATGGAGGCCAGCAAGATTCTAGGAGATAACTTCTACAAGGGAGGAGGGAAATTGCAGACAGATCCTATGTCCATTAAAGCATCCAAGATGAGCCCAGGCTCTTACATAAACATTGTCTTCACATTTAAACTACTTGATAGTGCCATGTACTGCCAAAATCACCTAAATGATTTGATTTAGTTTTTGTGGTCTTCATTTTACAAGTGGGAAAGCTGAGGCCCAGAGAGGTTAAACAAGTTGCACAAACTTAAGTGGTGGTCCTGGGTCTTTTGGTCTACATTGCCCATGTCTCATTCTACATTGGCTAGGTTAGAGGCCCCTCCAGTTTCCAATCTGTTGCCAGCCCCAAACAACCACCAAAAGCTCTGTTGGTCTCTATTACAGCACAAAAGGCTCCCTTCCTGGGCTAGGCCAAATCCCAGCAGGCACAAAGAGCTGGCAAATGTTTCAGGGAAGTAAAGAACTGTGGGCACTGGCCCCTCTGGAATATGACTCCGACTTGTCTTCATTGTTTCCACCACTCTCCCATGTCTTTAAAAACTTACTTGTGAAATTTATCTTGGGAGGCTGAGGCGGGAGGATTGCCTAAGCCCAGGAGTTCGAGACCAGCCTGGGCAACAGGGTGAGACCCCGTCTCTACAAAAAATAAATATTAAAAATAAACATATCCATTATTTTCTAGTTACTGCAGCAGGAGTGTTAGGTGTGGTCCACTGCATCCTACTCAGAAGTGGAAGTCATTACATGGCTCTTGAATTAATAATAAAGATACATAGCCCGAGAAATGGACCAGGGATGAAAGGGCCAGGTGAAAAGATGATGCAGTGTGGTGGAAGAACTAACACGAAGGTCAAGATCATGAGCAGCCTTGATGCCTGGTGAAACTAGCAGGGCCTGGAATGGCCTAACCGCAAGCTCCCCTTCCCCCTCTGCTCCTGTGGATCATGTCCCCTCCCCAGGGGACATTTCTTATTAGGGGAACCAGCACATTCCCATTTATCCCTGAGTAGCTCCCTGGAGTTATTAACCCCAGGGAATTATTCAGACAAGGCAATCACATTTTCCCCTGGAAGCCAGGGGCCACCCATCCTCTTGTTACTACAAACCCTATGGCCCTGGTTCTGCACTCTGCTCAATCCTTGTAGGGTCCTGCGTGACATTCGAGGTCCTCCCCCCGGGGCGTTGAGTTTATATGACTAATTAACGCTGGTAATCTCATCTGTCTGGGGCCAGGTGTCTCATGCTTGGCCATCCCCACAACCACAGGGCAGGAATCTCCCTGGCATCAACGGGATGGGGAGGGGTGATTACGACCCGCAAAGGCACTCACATGAAGATCAGGTGCTCCCAGCGTCGCAGCTCTGCCTGCTCCTCTGTCACGGCCTCAGGAGCGTCATCCTTCAGTCTCTGCCTCACGCTCTGGACACCCTCCTGGTCCCTGTCCCTCTCCTCCCCCTCCAGCTGCTCGGCCCGTGCAGCCATCTCCTTGCCGTGCTCCTCCAGGATCTGCTGCAGGAAGAGCCAGGGCACCCCACGCTTGAGCAGCTCCTGGGTCATGGCTGAGTTCTGCAGGCGCCGCAGCTCGTCGGTGGCCTTTTCAAACAGCGAAAGGGTCAGGGTCCTGAGATCGTCCAGGGCGGCCTGGTCCAGACGCTCCTGCAGCTCCTCCAGGGTGGCACCGTGCTCCTCCATCAGGCTCCTCTTCTGGTGCAGGTACTGGCCGGCATCCTCAACCGTTCGGAAGGCCTCGCCGACGGACGCCTGCTCCCTACGCTGCTCCCTGTGCTGGAGTTTCAGAAAAGAAAATTAAGTGGGGGTGGGGCTTGGCGGGTACAGTCCTTTGGCTGAAACACTTTGTTGCAGGAAGCACAGAATGTTTATAGCCTTTTCCCCAACAATCTCACATTTGGAAGTTATTCTGGTTTTTTGTTTGCTTGTTTGTTTTTTGAGATTGAATCTTGCTCTGTTGCCCAGGCTGGAGTGCAATGGTGCGATCTCGGCTCACTGCAATCTCCACCTCCTGGGTTCAAGCGATTCTTGTGCCTCAAGACACCCAAGTAGCTGCAATTACGGGCACGTGCGCCATGATGCCAGGCTAACTTTTTAAAAAACTAATTTATTTTATTTATTTATTTTTTTTATTTTTTTTTTGAGACAGGGTCTCCTTCTGTCGCCCAGGCTGGAGTGCAGTGGCACTATCTTGGCTCATTGCAACCTCCACCTCCCAGGTTCAAGTGATTCTGCTGCCTCTGCCTCCCCAGTAGCTGGGATTACAGGTGTGTACCACCACACCCAGATAATTTTTGTATTTTTTATAGAGTTGGGGTTTCACCATGTTGGCTGAGCTCCTCTTGAACTCCTGACCTCAAGTGATCTACCCACCTCGGCCTCCTAAACTGCTGGTAGTACAGCTGTGAACCATTGTGCCAGGTCTAGAAAGTTACTGTTTAAAAAAAATACGGTAGAATCCCTATGTGTTCACCATTCACTGAACATGTATTTGCCGAGTAGGTAAAGCCCAGGAGACAGACCGCCTGGGTTCCAGTCCTGGCTCCTCTACTCACAAGCTGAGTGACCCAAAGCAGGTATTTTACCCTCTCTGCGCCTCCATTTCCCTATCTGTAAAATGGGGATAATAATAGGACCTCCCTTTCAGAAGAGTTGTGAAGATTATGCGAGTTACTTAATACACATACATCTCTTAGAAAAGTGCCTGACATAGAGTAGTTTACGCCAATGAACATCTGTTAGTGTTATTACTATGTGCTAGGCACACAGGATCTGCAAGTTGTAATATTATAAAGGGGGAATCAAAAAGCTAAGATCATTGAGAGACAACTTAAATGAGGGGGTCAGCAAAGCTTTCAAGGAAGAAGATCTAAGTGAGACCTAAGGAAGGAGGTCTCATCTGAATCAGGTTAAGAAATGGGGAAAGAACCTGCCTGGGAGAAAAAGCAGTTGGTGCAAAGGCCCCGTGGTGGGAAAAAAATTGAGATGCATAAAGATGTCCATTATGGTGTTCTTTATAACAGTGGGTCCACAGATAGTCTCGGTTCTATTTGGAGAGAACATAAGATGCTCTTCCAAATTAAGAACTCAATAAATATTAGCACCAACCATTATCATTAGTCACTCAAACCAGCACTCCTATTCCCTTGCCCAGGCAGACATTACTAGTCTACCATAACCCATGTTCATGGGTCCTGGTAACCAGAGAGAATCAATTCATTCATTCTACAAATATGTATTGAGCACCTACCAGGTGTCAGGCAGTGTTCTCAACAGTGGGGATGCAACGTAAGTTTTTGCCTTCGTGGACCTACATCCTAATTCTGGGCCACTTGTAATGTTTATCAAAAGTAGCTGCAAGAAATAATATTCACAGAAGACTGCCAGAATCTCCTATAGGATGTGGAGTCTATCCTTCTTTCTAGACACTTACCTTGGATCAGGCAAGACAGTAAGGAAATGGAGCCCTGGGCCCCACTGTTTCCATCCCTTAACCAGTGGCTCAGAGATGAATGGGGTGATGCTCAAAGGTGGCAAAGATGGGGTATGCATCAGTGATCAAGGCCAGAATCATGGCTTTCTGTTGGGTCCCAAACTTGGTAGTAAAGAGCAGAGTTTCTATTGATCAAATTTGAAAGTTATTCTTCATCCCCTCCCTGCAAATGGTGTCAACCAACTACTTGCGTGTCACTCTGCATGTCCCATACATTCCCTGAATCTGTCCTTATCCCCTGTACTCAGGGCTCTGTGTCAGTTTAGGCCTGCATCCGCTCGCACCCGGCCAAGTACCAGAGCCTCCCATGGGGTTTGTATTCCCAGGTTCCTCAACTCCATCTGACATGGTGCTCACCTCAGCTTCCTAAATCACAGATCTGATGTCTCTCTCACCTCCGGAAGACCCTTCAACATTCCCCACTATCCTTGGATGGAAGGTAACCCCTTAGCACGGCACACCATGCCCCCATTGACTTGCTGCTGCATTCCCTTCCAGGCCCTACCCTCGTCCCTCTGCACACTCCAGCCTCATCATATTCTTAGAGTCCCCAAATACATGCCATGCGTGCCACTTACTAGATATTTGACCTTGACCATACACACACACACACACACACACACACACACACACACACACAAACCCAGTGGTATCTCCCTCATAGGGTTAATATACAGATTAAACAAGATATCTTATATAACACACTTAGCACAGTGCTAAGTAAGCAGCCAATAAATGTTAGCACCTACCATCATCATTAGTCACTCAAACCAGCACTCCTAATTCCCTTGCCCATGCAGACATTACTAGTCTATTGTGACCCTCTGCTGTGCTTGGGCTGGATAAGAATTGTAGCATCCTGCTGAACACAGCATTCCAAAAAGTCGCTACCAATCAACAGTAGATGGCACATCATGGTGCCTGCCCAGCTGCCCTTCTGATCCTAGTTCACCAATGGCAATGTCTGGCACAGTACCTGGCACTTGATGGGTATCAGAAAGTGCCTATGCAAAGAATAAATAGCATCATGCCTTATATACCTTTTGTAGCAACTCTCGTCTTCTCTTAGTTATTAATTTTTGGTGGAGCTTTTTCTTTTCCTGCTTTAAGTCATTGTCCAACTTCTGCTTGATTGAAAAGACTTCTGTCTGAGCCCGCTCCAATAGCATTTCCATTTGGTCTTCATCCAGGTACCCTGCTCTAGATGGAAAGGATGTAAAGTTAGGAATGTGGTCTCCAAACTCACCTGTAGCTTAACTGCTATTGTGCCTGAACATTCATCTCCATATTAGTTTGGTTTGAATCAGAAAATCTTTACCCTCCAGAAGAATTACAAGAATGGGCAGCTAAGATATTACTAAAGTACTAGCAGAGTAAGGGCAGAGAAAGCTCAGCACAAGAGAGACATCATTAGGGTGGAAGTTGGCAAGAGTTCTGGAAGAAAGTAACATTCGAGAGGACCACTCTGGTGCAGACAGAAGTTTCCAAGGTGAGATGGTAGATTAAAAATCCTGGTGTCAAGAACAGCACAAACAAAGTCAAAGAGGCAAAGGCAGGGAATACTCTGTGTGATGGTTAATTTTATGGACCAACTTGACTGGCCCAGATGAAACGTTCTTCTTGTTTTTTTTTTTTTTTTTTTTGAGATGGAGTCTGGCTCTGTTGCCCAGGCTGGAGTGCAGTGGCACCATCTTGGCTCACTGCAACCTCCGCCCCTCCAACTTTAAGCAATTCTCTGCCTCAGCCTCCGGAGTAGTTGGGATTACAGGCGCGTGCCACCACGCCAGCTAATTTTTTTTGTATTTTTAGTAGAGACGGGGTTTCACCATCTTGGCCAGGCTGGTCTTAAACTCCTGACCTCGTGATCCACCCGCCTCGGCCTTCCAAAGTGCTGGGATTACAGGCGTGAGCTACTGCGCCTGGCCGAAACATTCTTTTTGGGTGTGCCTGTGAGGGTGTTTCCAGTGGAGATCAGCATTTTAATCAGTGGACTCAGTAAAGCAGACGGCCCTCCCCAGCATGAGCGGGCATCATCCAATATGCTGAGGTCCTGAATAGAACACAGAGGCAGAGGAAAGAGGAATTTGTCCCTTTTTTTTCTGCCTTACAGCTAACAGTGGGACCTCTCATCTCATCTTTTCCTGCCCTTGGACTGGGACTTACACCATCAGCTCCCTCTGGTTCTCAGGCCTTCAGATTTGGACTGAATTATACCATTGGCTTTCCTGGGTCTCCAGCTTGCAGGCAGCAGACAATGGGATTTCTCAACCTCCATAATCACTTGAGCTAGTTCCTATTTATATAGGAAGCTATTTGTATTGCAAGCTGGAAACAGCAAACGATGCTGTCTATATGTTTACATATCCTGTTGTTTCTGTTTCCCTGGAGTACCCTGACGAGTACACTCTGCTACCAGCATTACCACTATCATTCCTAGACTGCCTGCATCCCTGGGCTGAGTCCCCAGCTTGGCCCAGGGAAGACTCTCAAGGGAGGTTCCTTGAAGGAAGGAACAGGTGAAGGAATCAGTAGTAGATACATGTTTTAGAAATATAATTATGTCTTTTAAAATAGAATTTGAAAAGAAGAGATGAAGCATCTTTCCCTGGTGACTGCTCACAACCAGCTGGTGGGCCCTTCAATTCAAGGCAAAGAACTGTTTCTTTCACTTGAGTGCAAATTAAAATCAGGAATGCGAAGTAAATTGCAGTGATAAATTCATTAGCATATTTAGGTGGGGAGTGTTTGCATAATTTGCACCTTACGGAATCCTCATTAAACAGAGCAGGAGAGGGTCAAAGTCCCAACAAGGTTACCTAGTAGCGGAACCACAGTAAAACAACAGATTGTCATAAGAAAGCCGCTTTATAGTCATGTCCCTATTCATTTCAGAGCTTTTTGTAACCTAAAAGAATAAATTTTGTTCTTTACAATTAAGTCACCTCAAAGAATAGCTGAGAAGGAATGCTGCAGAGAGGCAAAGGATGGCACTTAGAACTCTGTGACACCACCATACACTTGACCACAGGATCCCAGGTGCTGCTCAGAAAAACCATTTGGAATCCAAGACAACCATCCCTGTATTTATACTTAGTGTCAAAGGTGAATGCGAGAGCCGGCAGTGTGCTAGATCTTAAAGAGAAGTGGGCTCTTCCATCACATGGTCCATGTGAGCCTCATCACTGATTTCTCCAGAATATGTTGTTGGAATTCTGCTTGAAAATAATCTGGGGTGGAGATGTGTAGCTACATCAAAACTGGCCATGAGTGGGGCTCATTATACAGACTATTGCAACTATATGCAACAGTCTATGTCTAGACTATTGCATATGCTTTTAAAATTCTGTAACACAAAGGATTTTTACAAGATAATTCTTCTTCAGAAATAATAAGTGAGGAGCAGTCAGCACATACGCTGAATAAACAGTAGTGGGTCTCCAGTGAGGAAGGTTTGTGTCAGGCAGTTCATTTGTGCCGTGGTGTGAATGTCACCTTCAAAACTTGAAATTTAATTGCCATTGTGACAGTATTAAGAGACGGGACCTTTACGAGATGATTAGGTCATGAGGGATCCACCCTCATGAATGGATTAATGCCATTTCTGTGTTAGTTATCACGGGTTTGACTCCCTTTTTCTGTCTCACACATGCACTTCTTCCCACATGATGCCCTTCCACCATGTTATGATGAAGTAAGAAGGCCCTCACTCGATCTTGAACTTCCCAGCCTCTAGAACTATGAACCAAATATATCTCTTCTATTTATAAATTACCCAGTCTGTGGTATTCTGTCATAGCAGCAGAAAACAGACTAAGACAGTTCGCACTGTTGGGACAGTGTTGAGTGGTACCTCTCGTGCTTCTGAATGAGGTGAGTCAGCTGGGCTGCAGCGGTGCTCAGAAGGCCCTGCACACGGGTCTCTGATGACTGGAGGTTCTGGACCAGATATTCCCTGTGGCCAAATCTTTTACTTAGATGATACCTCTTACTAGCCTGGAAAAAGTCCATTAACTCTTCTACATTCTCCTGTCAATTAAAAAAAAAAACAAGAAAATATGCCTAATTAAAATTTAGAGCATAATCTTTCTAGACATTTAAAATATTATTTTTCCTTTTATAAGAAAATACACAAGAAAAGAAACATGAGAATTAACACCTTTAACCTCCCTGCCTGTAACAAAGGCTTATGAGAAAATTACATACAAATAAGAAATGAGGGCTTTGAAAAGTGCATTCTAGACCCAGATGGTAAAGAGTTATCAGAACAACTTCACTGCCCTACGGAACATAAATTTCACTAATTCAGCCATTTATCCTTCATCCATGCACGCTCCCTTTCCACCTGTGGAGTTCCTACAAGTGCTGAACACCAGGATGAGGTGCTGAAGTTCTGGGAGAAGTCAGCCATCAGCCCAACCCCAAGGAGCTCCCACCACCACAGAGGAGACAAAACCAGGATGGGCACAAAGAAAGCAAGAAGGTTTTTCCTCAGCCTACAAAATGAACAAAACGTAACCAAACACAGGAGAGTAATAACCTAGATAATGTGAGGTGTGTTCTCTGGACCTAACACTGGGCCAAGAGTGTTTCATGTCTCATCTAACTCAACCTAGGGAGACAGTACTATTATTCCCATTTCACAGATGAGGAAACTGAGTCCACATCAGACAAATGGCTGAGCAGGGATTTGAACTCAGCAGTCTAATTCCAGGACCTGTGCTCTAACATCATAATAGCCTGCTTCCAAAAATCCCACTTTAACCAGAGGCATAGTAATTAGACCAGGAACATCAGTAGAACTACTCTATGGACTGGCTTCGTTGTCCTTTTTCTATCTGTGGAAATATCACCCATACAATGGATAACCAAAAGTGTCAACGCTTTGTTCAACAGGGAACATAGGACAGCATGGACGTTCCCCTTCCCACATAAGAGCTGTAACATCTCCACATCTCAACACTTGGGAATTAGCATCATCCAGTCAGTGAAAAGCTGCATGGCCAGTCAGGTGTGGCTTCACACACACTAGCATCTCCCTAAGGGCCACTGGCACCAGAATCCGTGTAACAGGAAGGTTACAGCAATGTTCCTGCTCTCCACCTAGCGGGATCCATGCATGCTGATTGATGGGAGCCCATGTTGTAAGGAAATTCAGAATTGGTATCCTTAAATACTCTCATAGCTCTGGTCAAGAAAGCTTGTAGGGCAGTACTGTTATCACCTGTGGAGTTACTTTCTGGCATAATATCATTCACAATAGCATGCATTCTTTTTAACTTGAGTGCTCTGGCATTGAGAGTCAGCCACTGCTCATCATGAGAGTAAAATGATAACGAATCTGTGAATATCTAAGTAACGCCATGGCGTCTGAATACCAAGCTATGAATATGACAGAATTTGTGCTTTATGTATGCTCACTGAGGATTTAGTGGGAAAAACCTAGATTAAATGGAGGGGGGAGCTCGTTCTCTGTCCTGGGTGCCTTCTGGGAATGGGAGGCTTGTGACGATTACTCGGTCTCCTCCTGGGATGGCCCTGATGTCTCAGCCCTCATGCGCTCGGCCTGGTACTAGCTGCAGGTCCCCAGAGGATGGGCAGGGCCAGCCTTTGTCTTGTCAGTGGTTGGGTGAATGCTGAGGACCTGCTCACAGACGCAGGGAAGGCCGCCTGTGCCCGCACCTCCTCTGGACTTCATCTTTCGCCACTGTCTTAGCAATGGAGTAACAGAGGCTGGTCATAAGCCCTGATTCACCCTAGATGGATGTGGCTCATTCTGCTATGGGTGGAATCTGTCCTTCTAGCACAAGTAGGGAATTTCAAGGTGGGAAAATTAACCAGCAAGCCACTTTCTGGAATGATTTTCATTTATAAAGATAAAAATGAAATAGCAGTGTCCACTACATCAGAAAAAGCACTGCTCAAGAAGCACAGTGATGCACTCATGACCGTGAACACATTACTGCACTGAGGAACAAATCAACCCCTATGGACCTGACTCTGCCAGATGCTGCTCCAAGGCCTCCAGCACCATCCAAAGGTACCCTTGCTGCTTGAGAAACAGAGGTTGGCTCATAACCTGGATGAGGCAGCCTGTCTAAAGAATGACATTTGCATTTCTCAAACATCTTATTGACAGTCGGAATAGAAAATTCCATAAAATAAAATAAGAGTTTGCTCACAATTACCCTTACCATCAGCTAGAGCAAGCTATCAGCACCAGTGACAGCGCTGGAGCCAAACAACAAAGTGCATTCTTGTAAAGCAGTGATGTCACTGTGTGTGCCTGTGTGTGCATGCACTTGTGCATGTAAAATCCCTCACACAGGCCTCCTAAGAATTTCCACAGTGATGCTGACAGTTTCAGATAGACTGTTTTCACTACCGCCTAAGAAATTATTTTGTTGGACTAACAACATTCACACTCAAGCTGACATGCAAAAATACACAAATCCATCCAAGTATATCCAGGCACAGATACTAAACCCTACATATACATCAATACATGCACACATACATGCATATATGTATATTTTATTTGAGACAGGGTCTGGCTTTGTCACCCAGGCTGGAGCGCAGTGGTGCTATCATGGCTCACTGTAGCCTCAACCTCCTGGGCTCAAGCAATCCTCCCATCTTGGCCTCCTAAAGTGCTGGGAGCCACCAAGCCTGGCCTGTATTTCCTTTCCACTGCTATATACATTAAACATATGTTATGCCAAGCACTAACTTTCCACGAGTCAGCTCATCAAATTTCCATCACACCCTCGTGGGTGTGGGCATTCTATCACACTCATCTTATAAGTGACGAAACTAAGGCTCAAAGAAGTGAGGTAACTTGCTCAAGTTCACGCAGTAGACTGGGGGGGGGAACTGAAATTCCAATCCAGGTCAGCCCGAGTTCAAGGCCTGTACTCCAAGCCACCATTTTCCCTGCTTACTGGAAACTCACACACCAAGAGATAGAAGAGAAAGCTCACTAGTGCACAGTACAAAGGAGAGGCAGGACTGAACTCTGAGAGAGGAGACATTTACTGAAACAATTCAGAAAAATTACTTTTCCATCACAGCGAGGCTGATGTATTACCTGTATTTTAGAATAATTTTGCAGCAGCATTTTAGCTGCCTCTGGTTTCAATTCCCCTTTGAAAATAGCACTTTTTATCTGGGTAAAAAAGATACTGTGCAGTTCATTTCTCTGGAAAACAGCCAGCTGTCTGTGAGCTTTGGCAAAGTCTTCTTCTTGTTGCAAAGCGAGAGACTTCCTCAAGTGCTCCTGTTCCAGGCCATGGAGGGTCCGCAGAAGGTTGCTGCACTCTACAGCAGACTGGAGAGAGGAAAGGGAGAGCGTGAGAAACTGACACACTGAACATGCACCTACATGTGCATGCAATGCAATGTGTACAGGCACATGTGCACACACAATGTGTACATGAACACACAGATGCATGCACATATGCATTACAATATATACACACATGCGCATGCAGTGTGTGCATGCACATGTGTGCACAGGCACATACACAATGTGTAAGGCAATGTACACACATGCAATATGTACACGCACACATGGGCACACACAGAACTTGCACACACACAAGGCACAAGTACATGTGCGCACACAGCATATACACACACAGCAAAAACAAGGCACACACATAGACACACACACAGTCCCAAGCTGACAATAATGAGGTTACTAAGCCCTGGAATATGCTGTTCCAACCTGTCCTCCCCTGTTATCTAAATGTTTTCTAGAATAATCTCAAAGCAGAATATTTACAGGGGTGGAAATCTGCAAATCAAACTGCTAGAAAATAGCCTGCAAAAAATGGAAATCTCTTCACTATCAGTGGGTCATGCTGTCAGGCTCACAAGATTATTTCTCCTATCTTTCATTCTCAACTTCACTGAAGAGAAAAATACCAGCAATCAGGCCCAAGTGGAGATCCTTTGGGTAAAGAGAAGCAAAAGAGGTCTTTAGAAATGGCTGCTTGGATGCCTGCATAGTATGAGGTCTTGTGTGAGGAATGAAAGGAAGCTCACCTCTACTGAGCTCCTGATCCATTTGCATACGGCCTCCCCCCAATTATCTCAGTAAGGAGCTGAGATATTATCTCAGAGGGAGCTGTTCTTCACTCCACATGGGTAGGCGGGATTCTGGAATGGCCCCTGATCCCCAGGCCCCAGTATATATGCCACATAAATTCCCTCCCCTTGAGCATGGGAATGAATCTGATTAAGTCACTCCTGTGATTGGTTTACATCATATGGCAAAGCTGAGGGTGTCTTGATGATGTAATTAAGGTCACTAATCAGTTGACTTTGAATTAATCAAAAGGAAGACTCTCCTGGGTGGGCCTGACTCCTTAAAAGAAGCATTGGAGCCTTCCTAAAGAGAGAGACCCTCTCCTGCTGGCTTTGAAGAACCAAACAGCCAGGCTGTAAACTGTCTCCGCAGAAGGGAAACTTCTAGGAGCTGAGGGCCTCAGTCTTGTACCCACAAAGAAGTGAGTTCTGCAAACAGCTTGAATGAGCTTGGACCAGGACCCCAAGCTCCAGAGGAGAATGCAGCTCAGCCAAGACCCTGATTGCCAGCCTGCAACATCCTGAGCATAGGTCACAGTGAAGCTGTGCCCAGACTCCTGACCATGGACACTGAGACAATGTCACTAATGTGTGTGGTTGCTTAGGCAGGAATAGAAAACTGACACCCTCCGTTTTATAAGAGAAGAAACACAAGCTTAGAGAAGGTAAGAGCTTTCCCAAATTCTCACCCATGCTCAGCTAGGGGAGGAAGCGTGTTGAAAGCAAGTGTTCAGGCTCCAAGCTCTGAAACCACTCAAGGCAGTGACAGTGGAGCTTGTTGGTGAAGCGAAGGCAGGGAAAGGCTTACGCGTGCAGGATGCGTGGGTACAGCCATCCCAAATGGCCAATAAAGGCCTGGCCTTGGGAAGCAGGCAGGTGTGGCATCATGCCATGGCTGGGCTGAGTAGAAGCCCGAGGAAGGCAGAAGGGGCTCCGGTGCACAGGGCAAAGGCCAGAGCTCCTTCAGGCTAAACAAGGTTGGAATGCTCTATCACCCACCAGAATTCTCTGGTTTCAGTAAATAGCATCACTTGCTCCCCAATTTCCCAAGTCACAGACCTGCTCACCTCCACTTCCAATAACTCACAGAAGCTCTCAAAGGTGACATGCTGATCTCTAGCTTTCTCCGTCTCTCCAGTCCCTTTTACTTATTGTTTGATTTGTTCAGAATCTGGGCCAGAAAGACAAGCATTATTTAGAGCCTTCTAAAGAGGTCCAAGGGCCAACACATGGCATCCCCTGCCTTGCAGGTGCTCACAGCAAAGCCTAGTGGATGACAGCAGGGGCCATGAGGCTACAAGTCAAAGGCTTTTATGTGCATCCTCTTGGCAACTCTGTCAGGACCCTTGCCCATACTAATAGCTTGCCTTGCCCACCAAATAACAATTCAGTCTTTTTAAAAAGCTGATTTTATAACAAAGGATTAGATTCGACATAATGAGTCACTCTATTACAGAGAAATGGTATTCACAGCTGACTTGATCTAAATCAAAGGATGCAATTCACCAACAACCAGGAGGGTGTCAGGACCCTGAGTCTGGGCACCGCAGGGGCATTCCGCTACGAATGACTAGCTGGTGCCCAGTTATGTCGGTTCATCCATCAAAGCGACCTTCTTTTTTTGACAGTATAGAATTTGACAAGTCCCAAACTTCAATTTATTTTAATTAATAGAAATGAAATACGGGGTAATTTCCATTTAGCTTCTCACAGGCAAGATAAAAAGCAGACACACACACAAATCCTAAAATAAAATATTTGGGCCTTTTTTAGAATCATATCTCTGCCGAAGAATAAAGTATGAGGCAATGATGTATTTGTGCCATAGTGAAACACTCTCTAAAATACATGTGGACAGGACTCCCATGCCCACTTCAAAAGGGAGTTCAGAGCCTTGCAGATGTGAGTTCCACCCCTGACCTAGTTCAACCTCCTATGGCAGAGATGAGAAAACTAAGCCCTAAAGCAGGGGAGGCACACCCCTGGGCCTGCCAAACAGGGGAGGTCATGTTTCCAAATGAGTGAGGCTGCCTGGTGTGACAGGCACTAGGAACTACTGGGGAATGGGGCAAAGTGCAAAGAGCACGCCCTGCCTGTAGGGGCAGCCTCCACCCCGTCCACCAAAGGGCTCTGCAGGAATACGGACTCAACACAGCTCAGTCTTCCCATCCTTTAGCTGGAAATCTGGGTTTTCTTAAATAAAAGTTTATATTTTAAATACTGTCAACAAATGTGCTTTTTTTTTTTTTTTTTTTTTTTTTGAGACAGAGTCTCACTCTTTCGCCCAGGCTGGAGTGAAGTGCTGCTATCTTGGTTCACTGCAAACTCCGCCCTCTGGGTTCAAGTGATTCTCCTGGCTCAGCCTCCCAAGCGGCTGGGATTACAGGTGTCCACCACCATGCCCAGCTAATTTTTGTATTTTTAGTAGAGGCGGGATTTCACCATGTTGGCCAGGCTGGTCTCAAACACCTGACCTCAGGTGATCCACCTGTCTCGGCATCCCAAAGTGTTGGGATTACCACACCTGGCCACAAATGTGCATTATAAAGGAATGTGAAAGTAATGATTACTCACCCCCAACCCACTATTGAACTTCTCAATGAAAAAGACTTCAGGGAGATAAGGCACATGCATCCTATGGCTTCCAACACCTAGAAAAGCAAGTGTCCCCTGGAGGGAGTGTCCCATGGAGGGAGTAGGGGGCATAAACCTTAAGGGAGGATACAGAAGTTCCAGTGTGAGAAGCACAGGCCTGCATCAGGCTGGCTGCAGCAGCTGCTGTGCATGTTGACTCTACAGCATCACAAAGTGAAATCACGCTCGAAAGTGACGACTGTGCTGTCATACTCCCCATACTCAGAAAGACAGGCAAATTGTGAAAATGTTTTATAAAAACAAATCCATCAGAAACGGTGAAAATGTCAGAATTCTTGTGCTGAGGACAAAGACTCACACAGGGGTTAGAAAGCCTCAGGCAGCCCAGGGCAAGACATCTGCTGGGCCTCCTCTTTCAGTGGCAGAAAAGCAGCGGGGAGAGCCTGGGTATAGAAGACGAACCCCAGAGGAAGGACCCAGCTCTGAACTGGATGCAGGAAGCTGGATTGCCAGTCACTTCCCCTCCGGGCTTCGGTTTGCCCACCTTCAAGTAGAAAGAGTTCACATTCTGTGTTCTACACCACAGGCATCTTTAAAAATTACATTCAGTTATGAATCATAATAAACCCTTGTCCAAGGTTGACTCAGCGCCGAGCAATGGCTGAAGTACTATACGAGAATTAACTTACTTATACTCACAACAGCCCTCTAAGACCTCAGGCATCATGATTATCCCTGTCTTAAGGATGGGGAAAGGAGACCCAGGGTGACTGGGTAACGTGCCTACTGGAGGAAAAGAGGGAGGAAATAAACCCCAGCAACCTGCCTTCTGTGCCTATATCCCCCAATACTCTCCCCAAGGTTTCTCAATGGAGAAATGCTTTGAGAACTATAAGGCATTATATACGCATTTAAATATTATAGTATGAACAAATTTCAGCTCTACATTAATTACAGTCAGCTCTCTGTATCTGTGGGTTCTGCATCCATAAATATAACCACCTGCAGGTCAAAAATTTCTGTGTGTATTGAACACATACAGACTATTTTTTTCTTGTTGTTATTCCCTAAACAACATTCCCTAAACTATTTTTTATGCATTTATACAAACTATTTATAACTACATAACATTTACATTGTATTAGGTATTACAAGTAACAGAGGTGATTTAAAGTATACAGGAGCATTTGTGTAGGTTATGTGCAAATACGACACCATTTTATAACAGAGACTTGAGAATTTGTGGATTTTGGTATCCATGGGGGTGGGATGGTGGGGAGGGTCCTGGAACCAATGCTTCCTGGGTATCAAGGGAGGGATGACTGTACTGTACTAAACTTTACTCAGGAAAGCTGATACTGCTCCTTTTGCTTTTCTTTTTTAAAACTAATTCTTGGTGGAATAATACATCCAAAATATTTTTATGTATTTTATTTAAAGATGACTATAACACATGATGGATAATTATAAAGCAGTCTGTGGTTTTGTGAGATGGAATCACTTGCATGGACTGGAAGGAAACTAGTTCTATTAAATGCTGCAGCTCAGATACTATTTCTGGAAACAGATTGGTTCAAATAAGGCGGCTGCTTGTCTTTGAACAGAGTGACCTAGGACATCCGGAGTGATGGTGCCTGCCCAATACACGCTGGCTTGCAAGGTGGTGTGGGTGGGAGAGACAGGCTGCAGAAAAGCCCTGGAGAGAGCAGGGTCAGGAAGCCCTGAGGAGGAGAGGGACTGCGTGACAGATGGGAGTAGGGCACCGACCCAGCATCCTATCCTCATGCTCTCCGCATAAAAAAGCATTGCCCCAGGCAGTCTTTTGATAGCAAAGCCACTAGAAACATTCTAGGTGCCCCACAGGACGGGTTCACATGGGGCGCACAGCAGGGGGACGTAACCTCCACTGCAGGAGGGGGCAGTGTGCGCAGTGGTTGGGGGCATGCTGCTGGACATGAGGCTGACTGTCCTCGGGCAGGTGAACCTTCCCCAGCTCAGTTTCCTCACCTGTCAAAGTGAGATCCTCTCAGTCCCTACCTCACTGAGTTGTTGTGAACGCTAAAGAGAGTCAATGGGATGTGCTTGGAACAATGCCAGACACACCATGCATGCTAAGGAAGGATGAGCTGTTATTGTTACACATCGTATTTTTTAAGAGTATTTAATAAAATCAGCAAATGTGTATACTGTGATGTAAAGTGAAAATAAGACATATATACAACTATACAAACTGCATAATCCTTACTTTATAAAAATAAATGGATAAAGCAAAAGGCTAAAATGTATGCTGGCAACTGAGGGCAGGTGTGAAGGCTGCCTGAGCCATCCCTGTATCTCCAGGGTTAGGTATACAATAGAAACTCAACAATGGGCAGAATGAATGATCCTCTGCCACTGAGTTGTGGGATGGGCTTCTCTCTTTTTTTTTTTTTTCAGGGCTTTTTCTTTTTCAGCTTTGGTTCTGAAATCAGACAGCCTTTCTGTAAGGGGCCATATTTTAGAGTTTGTCACCTGAGGTCTCTGTTATGTATTCTTGTTTGTGTATTTGATTTTTAAAACTCTTTAAAAATGTAAAAAAACATTCTCAACTTGCAGGCCACATAAAAACAAGCTGGGTAAGATTGGGCTCATGGGTCCTTGTTTGCTGACCACTGCCTTAAGGTACTGTCGAAGCCTCCCTTATTGAGCATGTATTACGTTTAAAGGTAAAAAAAAATTGGCCATGCGTGGTGGCTCATGCCTGTAATCCCAGCACTTTGGGAGGCCAAGGTGGGCGGATCACCTGAGGTCAGGAGTTCGAGATCAGTGTGGCCAACATGGCAAAACCCTGTCTCTACTAAAAATATCAAAATTAGCCGGGCGTGGTGGCAAGCGCCTGTAATCCCAGCTACTCGGGAGGCTGAGGCAAGAGAATCACTTGAGCCCAGGAGGTGGAGGTTGCAGTGAGCCAAGACTGCACCACTGCACTGCGATCTGGGTGACAGAGTGAGACTCTATCTCAAAAAACAAAAAAAAAAAAATTGTAACAGATTTAGGAAAGAATCAAAAGAGAGATAATGGGATCATTTAGGAGCTGAATCACCGAACAGTGCATTCAATACATTCTTCCTAAGGGCTCGGCTCAAGGATGTGGGATGTTGAGCAGCACAGTCATAGACTGGGCATTACAGGGCAGTGTCGGTGAGGGAGGCTGCAGTGGACTGAATGGTGACACTCCCACCCCCCAAAAAAGATATGCCTAGATCCTAACCTCAGGACCTTATTTAGAATAAGGGTCTTTCCACATGAAATTAATTTAAGATCTTATGAGATCATCCTGGATTATTTAGGTGGGACCTAAATTCAATGACAAATGTCCTTATAAGAGACAGGAGATGAGAGGGTTACCAGGGAAAAGGCCACAGGAAGACAGAGCAAAGATTTAAGTGACGCAGTTACAACCCCAGGAACACCCGGAGCCACCAGAAGCTGAACCAAACATGGAAGGATCCTACTGACAACTAGATTTTGGACGTCTGGCCTCCAGAACTATTATATAACAGAAAAAAATTCTGTTGTTTTAAGCCACTAAATTTGTGGTGATTTATTATGGCAGCCACAGGAAACTAGGACAGGAGAACCTAAAATGAGATGGTTCTGAAGGCAAGGGAGGCCCCAGGAGCAAGGGAGCAGGTGCAGGCAGGACAGCGAGGACCTTGCCCCTTTTCTTTACTGCTCATCCCCTGTCTGACCACAGATGACCATCTGTGAGTCACGAGTTGTTAACAAGAGAGCTGCTTATTTGCTCCCAGGGGCATCCATAGATGGCCACAGTCTGCGGAAGGGAAGCCGAGTTCAGAAGCTTGTTCTTAAGTAGTTGGAAGCCCTCCCTAGGGGAGTAGATGTTCAGAAGAAGATATGCAGACTCAGGTCACATGAAATGAATAAGCCATTTCTTTCACATAGGAAAACAGAAATCAGGTTTGATTTGGTATATTCAGGAAAAACTCTAGTTCTTTCAAGGCAGCAACTGACACAACTTTTGGAAAAACAAGAGCTGATTTCTGAGCAATCTAGGCCAGCCCTGGCAAGGCTGACCTATGAGAACTCCAACTGAGCACTGTGAGCTGAGAGCCTTCTGCAGCCCATGGGCGCCAGGCAGCTGCTTTTCCTACATTGCTTCTCCCACCCACCCTGAGAGGTGGCTTGCCATTAGACTTGCAGTGCCTAATTAAGGCCTTCAGGAGCAGAGATGGAATGTACTAGACTGTGAGTTCAGGTTTTTCTGACTCTAGAGCCTGTGCTGGAGAGAACTGTAACCTAACAGGCTATATAGTCCAGAGGGGGACACGTGGACTCTGACATCACAACTTTCTGTGAACCATGCCCTCTACAGACGTGCTCTGCTATGAATGAAGCCTTTCTTCTCTACCCATGAATTCTACAGCATTGTGAACATACCTCTATTATAACATGACTGAATAATGTCTCATTTTTTACGTGAACTGATTTTTTTATAAGATTATGAACTTCTTGAATGGAAGAACCATGTCTCATTGTTCCCTATACCTTCACTGCCTAGCCCAGTGCCTGAGAGACAGTAAGTAATCAACACATTTTTGCTAAATGAATTCTGGATGGATGGATGGGTGGATGAGTGATAATGGGCAGATGGGTGGACGGGTAGATGGAGGGGAAGCATGGGTGAATGGGTAAATGGATGAGTGGATGGGTAGAAGGCTAGATGGGGAATAAGTGGATGGGTAAATTGTTGGATGGGTGATGGGTGGCATGGATGGGAGGGTGGATAAATGAGTAGGTGGATGAACAGACAGATGGATGTGTAGATGGACAGATGGGTGAATGAGTGGGTGGATGAATGGATAGGTGCACAGATGATTGGATGAGTGGGTGGATGGATGAGTGGGTGAATGGGTAGATGGGTGGATGGACAGATGATGATGGATGGACGGTGGGAATGGTTGGATGAATGAATGGAAGGATGAATAGATGAATGAGTGGGTGGTTGGATGGATGATGGGTAGACGGATGGAGGAGGCAAATGGACAGATGAGTGGGTAGATGGATAAATGACAAATCCCTGAGAGAAAGGGAAGTGAACGCCTTCCTTTCAGACCTGTCTTACCCTCTCACCAGCACGTTTCAGCAACTCTTCTGCTTCCTCCATTGCCATCATCTCTCTCTGGTACTGGTTTTCCATCTTCTTTCTTGTTTCCAGGTCACATTCAGCTGTCAATGCCACCATCTTCCGATCGTACTCCTCTTGTATTTCATTTTCCAGCAATAGAAACTGCTTTTTGAAAACAGCACTCATTTTTCTCTCTACTTGGGGTGAGAGGTGGCCACTGCTGGTGAGATTTTTCAGCAGAAGGGCAATGATATCCTTGCTGATTTGTGTTCGACAAGCCTCCAGATCTGCATCTGCCCGATTCAGGGTTGCAATCTCCAACCTAGGAAACACAAAAATCAAAAGAATTCCATTACATGAAATTGCAACAGAAACCAAAGGTCTTTCAAAGCTCTGAGGTTTTCATTTATGTGTAGGCAAGGGCTTTCTTCGTCTTCCTTTTCTTCCTTTCCCCGCTCACTTCTGCTTCATCCAGTTATTGAAGGCCATTAGCTGACTCTTACTTAGTAAATTTGTAAGGTACCATGTGATGTACAAAAAAGAATATAATCAATATAAGACATGTTTCTGTCAACAAGTAACAAGTCAGCAACAACAAGGAAACCAAGGGAAAAATGGATAGCTAATATATTTGGAGGATTTAAAAATAAAGTTTATTTTACTTTTCTTCCCATTAAAAATCAATTTATGGACATGACTAGTACATGTAATGTCATATCCTGGACGGAATCCCAGAGCAAAAAAAAGGACATTAGATTAAAAACTATGAAAATCTGAATAAAGCATGGACTTTGATAACAACTGATACATAATCACACTGTATCAACGTTGATTTGTTAATTTTAACAAATGTAACATACTAACAGAAAATGTTAATAATAGGGGAACCTGGGTTCAGGATACATGGGAATTATCTGTATTATCTTCTCAATTTTTTTGTAAATCCGAAACTGCTCTAAAAATAAAGTCTACTTGAAAATGCGAGGTAGTTCGCAGAGTCACGGTGTTCTGAAACCTGACTGGCGGTAGTTGTAAAACTGTATATACTTCCAGTAACACATCAGACTGTACCCTTAAACTGTGTGAATTTTATGATATGTTAATCATACCTCTATAAAGCGAAGGAAAGCTACATAGAAAAAAATTAATTTATGTTATGGTAAAAATACATCTGAAAACAAAGACAAATAAAAAAAGGATTCATTCACTGTGAATCCACCATTCAATCAGAACTAATGAAGGCATTTAGTTATTTTATTATTATTTTTTATTTTACCTTAAGTTCTGGGATACATGTGCTGAACGTGCAGGTTTGTTACACAGGTTTACATGTGCCATGGTGGTTGCTGCACCTATCAACCCGATATCTAGGTTTTAAGCTCCTCAGGCATTAACTATTTGTCTTAATGCTCTTCCTCCCCTTGCCTCTTACCCCCTGACAGGCCCTGGTGTGTGATGTTCCCCTCCCTGTGTCCATATGTTCTCATTGTTCAACTCCCACTTATGAGTGAGAACATGCAGTGTTTGGTTTTCTGTTCCTGTGTTAGTTTGCTAAGAGTTTCCAGCTTCATCCATGTCCCTGCAAAGCATATGAACTCATTATTTTTTATGGCTGCACAGTATTCCATAGTGTACCAATGCCACATTTTCTTTATCCAGTCTATCATCGATGGGCATTTGGGTTGGTTCCAAGTCCTTGCTATTGTAAATAGTGCTGCACGTCTTTATAGTAGAAGGTCATCATTCAATTAGAATTAATGAAGACATTTTGTCATATTTTCTTCCAGCCTTTTTTCTATGCATATTTTTTTCATAAATGTCCACTATTTACACAGATGCATGCAAGTACAATTTTATCCTCTTTTTTTCCCCAATTAACATGGTTATAGGTATCTTCCAGTGGTATTTAACAACTAAATGCTTCTTTATAAGGGTTGCAAAATATTTTATCATGTGATAGACCACCATTCAATGACTATTCTTCTATTGTTGCACATTTGGATTACTTGCAAATTACAAAATCTAAAACAATCCTGAAGTGAATCACTTTTTACAGAGCTCTAGATACTCACAATAATTTCCTCAGTACAGATTCCCATGAGAGGAACTGCTGGGTCAGATGTCAGCGACATCCTTAAGTCTCCTGGCACATCCAGACAAACTGCTTTCCAGAAGAGACCCCCAGCCATACACCAGGATCCTCACATTTAGCCCCACCCTCCACCATGTCAAACATCTTTGATAATTTGATTTGGTGTATGATTGTAAAAATACAAGGGTTTTAAGAAAACTATTATAAAATTTGCAAGGGCTTAAGTATATGACTTCCACATTAACCAGGTTCAAAACTTGTCAATATTGACCAATCTTGTTTTCTCTACTGCCTTTAATGTTTGAGCAATTTAAAGCAAATATCAGATCTGTCATTTTACCCATGAACACCTCACTGAGCATCTTTAACTGTCAAGGAGTCATACGCAGACAGACCGATCAACAGACAGACAGATGTGTGTATGTCTATCTAACGAGTTAACTTGTCTACATGAATATGTACATGCATATCTACTTTACTTAACCTTGTTGCTAAAGGGTGGTAAAATATACTACCCCAAAATGTGGTGTTCTGGCATACTGACTATTTTCAGTTAAAGACACCTCAAAAGACAAACTAGCAAGTATCAGATCACTCTGAGCTTCAACCTGTTTCTTAAAAGCAGAGGGATGAAATTCCCACGTGAAGGATGGCATCCCTGTACTGGAAGGAAAGCAACATTCTTATCATCAAGCATGAAAAGTTGAGACCAAGATAATTCTATAAAAATAGACCTGGTTAAAATAATTCTTATCCTTCTTTAGCCTCACCATGTAATTGTTTTTTTCACAACGTGCTGTTCTTTGTCCAACTCAGCATATTACCATTCACCTCTAACCGCATCTTTGGGTCTTCATTTCCTTACGTGGGCTCCAGTGTCATGTCAAACTTATATTAAATTTGCATGTTGTTTTCCTGTTAATCTATCTCATGTCAATTTAATTCTTGGGCCCAGCTGGGGCCCCTAAGAGGGCAGAGGTAGAGTGCGACTACCTACACTGTCATTATTACATATAAAATATTTAAAACAGGCTGGGTGCAGTGGCTCACACCTGTAATCCCAGCACTTTGGGAGGCCAAGGTGGGTGGATCACTTGAGGCCAGGAGTTCGAGACCAGCCTGGCCAACATGGTGAAATGCCATCTCCACTAAAACTACAAAAATTAGCCAGGTGTGGTGGCAGGCGCCTGTAACCCCAGCTACTCGGGTGGCTGAGGCGGAGGTTGCAGTTGGCCAAGATTGCACCACGGCACTCCAGCCTGGGCAATAGGGCGAGACTGTCTCAAAATAAAAAAAAATTAAAACAATCCCAATAATTAGAAATGTCTAGTTACCTGTCATTATTCAGACTACCTCAAGTGTCTCAAAATGTCTTTTTACAATTGAACATTTAATTCAAGAACCAAACAAAATCCCATAATGCCAGTTAAGTTTCCTTTATTCTAGAACATTCTGGCCTTCTATCTTTCCTTCTACAGCATTGATGTGTTAGGGAAGTCAGGCCACCATCCTGCAGAATGTCCCATGTTCTGGATTTGGCCAGTGGCTTCCATGGGTGTCACCGTACCTCTCTCTATCCTCTGTATTTCCTGTAAACTAACAGATCTAAGATCTTCATTCAATTTGTTTTCCTTCTTTTTTTGAGTGACCTTTAAAAATTGAGACAAAATATACATATATAATTTACCATCTTTTATTTTATTTATTTATTCTTTTAGACGGAGTTTCACTCTGTTGCCAGGCTAGAGTGCAGTGGTGTGATCTCGGCTCACTGCAACCTCCGCCTCCCAGGTTCAAGTGATTCTCCTGCCTCAGCCTCCCGAGTAGCTGGGACTACAGGCACCCGCCACCATGCCCAACTAATTTTTGCATTTTTAGTAGAGACGGGGTTTCACCATGTTGGCCAGGATGGTCTCAATCTCTTGACCTCATGATCTGCCCGCCTCAGCCTCTCAAAGTGCTGGGATTACAGGTGTGAGCCACCGTGTCTGGCCACCATCTTTTCTTTAAGCGTGCAGTTCAGTGGTAATAAATATCTTTTATTTATATTCTTGTTTTCCTTCGTCTAAACCTACCCCTTCCCATACCTGGGCTCCAGTAACCACTATTCTATTCTGTATCTTCACAAGGTCCACTTTTTTAGCTCTCACATATGAGTGAGAACATGTCATATTTGTCTTTCTGTGACTGGCTTATTTCACCTGACATAATGACCACTAGGTCCATCCATGTTGCTTCAAATAATAGGAATTTGATCTTTTTTATGGTTGAAAAACATTCCATTGTGTATTTATACCATATTTTCTTTATTCATCTGTTGATGGGCACTTAGGTTGATTTCACATTTTGGCTACTGTAAATAGTGCTGTGATAAACATGAGAATGCAGATATCTCTTCGATATATTGATTTCCTTTCTTTTGGACATATACCCAGTAGTGGAATGGCTGGATCACATGTTGGTTCTATTTTTAGTTTTTGAGGATTCCCCCATAATGGTACTATATTCATACTGTGTGCTTCCTTTACGGCCATACTATAAGGTAAGGCTAGCGTGAATCCATAGGTTCAAGTGGTGCCAACATGATCCCTGCATTATATTTCCCATCAACCGTGCATCTAATGATTTTAACATCCACCTCTTTTTTTTTTTTTTTTCTTAACTTTTAAGTTCAGGGGTATATGTGTAGGTTTTTTATACAGGTAAACTTGTGTCATGGGGGTTTGTTGTGCATATTATTTTGTCATGCAGGTATTAAGCCTAATACCCATTAGTTATTCTTCCTGATCCTCTCCTTCCTCCCACTCTCCACCCTCTGATAGGCCCTAATGTCTGTTGTTCCCCTCCATGTGTACATGTGTTCTCATCATTTAGCTCCCACTTATAAGTGAGAATACGCGGTGTTTGGTTTTCTCTTACTGAGTTAGTTTGCTAAGGATAATAGCCTTCAGCTCCATCCAAGTTACTGTAAAAGACATGATCTCACTCTTTTTTAACGGCTGCATAGTATTCCATGGTGTATATGTACCACATTTGCTTTATCCAGTCTACCACTGATGAGCATTTAGGTGGATTCCATATCTTTGCTATTGTGAATAGTGCTGCAATAAATATACATGTGTATGTGTCTTTACGACAGAATGATTTATAGTCCTTTGGGTATATACTCAGTAATGGGATTGCTGGGTTGAATAGTAGTTCTGTTTTTAGGTCTTTGAGAAGTTGCCACACTGTTTTCCACAATGATTAAACTAGTTTACAGTCCCATCAACAGTGTATAAGCATTCTTTTTGCTCCACAACCTCACCAACACCTGTTTATTTTTTTATTTTTTCAGACAGAATCTCGCTCTTGTTGCCCAGGCTGGATGGAGTGCAATGGCGTGATCTTGGCTCACTGCAACCTCCACCTCCCGGGTTCAAGTGATTCTCCTGAGCCTCCGCCTCCTGAGTACCTGGGATTACAGGCGTGTGCCACCACGTCTAGCTAATTTTGTATTTCTAGTAGAGACTGGGTTTCATCATGTTGGTCAGGCTGGTCTCGAACTCCTGACCTCAAGTGATCCACCTCCCTCGGTCTCCCAAGGTGCTGGGATTACAGGCATAAGCCACCGTGCCAGGTCTATTTTTTGATTTTTTAGTAATAGCCATTCTGACTTGTGTGAGGTGGTATCTCATTGTGGTTTTGATTTGCATTTCCCTAATGATCTTTTTTTCATATGTTTGTTGGCTACATGTATGTCTTCTTATGAAAAGTGTCTATTCATGTCCCTTGTCCACTTTTTAATGGCTTTTTTTTCCTTGGGAGACCGAGGGAGGTGGATCAAATGAACTAAACAATCAACTGTTACCTAGATCCATGATTTCATTAGGGGTTTCAAAATGCACATTGTCTATCATTTCTTCTGCATTTTTTAAGCTGAAATTCTTCAAAAAAGAACTTTCATCAACAATTCTGTTACTCTGACATAAAGTTCATAGAGATGTATAATTATTTCTCTTGTATTTTATCAATTTTCTAATTAAAGGGTTGGTGTCATAGTAACCTTCAATGGTGAATAATGAGTTTGGGTTTGTTTGTTTATCAGCTTGTTTCGTTATGTTTTAGCATGAGGCCAAAGGTTTACAAAACTTTTCTCAGCTTCCTGAGAATCTGAGCTTTAGTTAACTCTTACTCAGAAACCTACTAAGAGGATGAACATCAAATAGGTTACCAGGCAACATGGCTTATGGTAAAAATAATGCCAGATTGGTAAATTACAAATGGATGGGAAGACTGGTAAGTAAATTAAATACCTAACAGGGATGCCATACTTTGTACCTCCCTGAGGAAAATGACTCTTGGAACTGGGCATATACCTTGCGGGAACCTTGGAAGCTATGTCTGTGAGTTGTTACAAGAGATATTGCCACCTGTGGGGTAGAAATATTTTAAGCCAGAAAGACTCCTGCAACTGCTTGATATGGATTGCATCTCCCTGCACCTGACCTGTGTCACCTGGGAGGAAAATGCCCCCCCAGACAGTGGTGTAGGCTGTTGTGTGACCTGTGGCGAGGATACCCACAGGGGAATAATGCTGTCCTCACAGCAAGCGGTGCTGCAGCCCCTCAAGCCTTCTGGGTAGATGAGGCCACGTGTGCCCTGTAAGAGTCCTGTGAGTCCAAATGTGTAGCTGAACCTAGGAAGACCCCTGCCTCTGCATAGTGTCACTATGAAATGGAAGATTTTTATATATTTGGTAGGTTTTGATCAACTGCGGTCTTTATTCTTTTTGATGCTCGAATTTTACCATCTTAGATTAAAATAGCTTCCGTCCCCTTAAGACACAACTTAGCCTAGTTTTAAACAACAGCTCATTCATTTGCTTCTTTCATTTTCTCAAAAAGTGCTTATTGAACATGTGTCTATGCAACGAGCGCTTTGCAGGTTACAAAGCAAGAAAGAAACACAAGAGCTGCCTCAAAGCAGTGTGTGTATGGCTAAATGTCAAATGAACTAAACAATCAATGTTGTACAAGCTCAGAAAACAAAATCCCTTCTCTACTCTGAGACAGACAGAATGGATTTCACATCTTAAACGAAGCCTTATGTGGCAGGGAGGACAGTGCCCCCGCAAAGACATTCACAGCCTAATCCCCAGAACTGCAAACACGTTAGGTTTCATGGCAAAGGGGAATTAAGGCTACTCATCAGCTGACCTTAAGATTGAGATCAAGAACAAGGCCTTTTAAAATAGGAAAACAGGCAGAAGAGGGGTCAGAGTTGGAGAACGCCCTGTGGCGAAGGAAGCCGACATAGGAGTGATGACACCAGCTTTGGAGATAGAAGAAGGGGTCCCAAGTCAGTGAATGTAGGCAGCAGCCTCAAGAAGCCGGAAAAGGCCAGGAAGGGAACGTCCCCTAAAGCTGACGTCTTTTTTTTTAATTGACAAGTAACAGATGTATACATTTTCTGGGCCCATGTGATAATTTAATACATTCATTTAATGTGCAAAGATCTAATCAGGTTAATTGGGATAGCCATCACCTTAAATATTTGTCTTTTCTTTATGCTAGAAACATCAGAATTCTTCCCTTCTAGCTATTCTGAAATGTGCAATAGATTATTGTAAATGATAGCCACCCCACTGATCTATCTAGAGCTGACATCTTGATTTTTACCTGGTCAGACCTGTATCGGAGTTTGACCTCCAGAACTCTAAGATTCATATTGTGGTAATTTGTTACAGCTGAATAGGAAACTAACACACCTTACTTGACCACTCCATCCATCATTCATTAATTCATTAAGTTACATGAGCAAATGTTATGGCTGCTTGTGTTGGGAAAATGGCAGGTGCTGTACCAGGTGCTTTACCGGTGGTTTGCTGTGAAAGCACCTGCTAGCTAAGGGGCCTGGATAAAGAATTTAGTTTCCACACCAGCACAATGAGGACCACCCTCATAGGTTGTTGTTCAGAGTTAAAGAAGAGAAGAAACAGAAGGCACACAGCACAGTCTGGCATTTTGTTGGTTCTAAATAATAATAGTTTCCTCATTCTTGGTTCTTCCCTCTCACAGAAGATTGGCTGCAGAATAGAGTCAGGGCCCACAGCTCACCTTCCCAGTTGCCTGGGAAGACAGTCCCAGAGGCACTCTTTATTGTAACAGTTTTAATGTTAATCACTATAGATAATCTGTCAGAAGAGATGATGATAAAAACTGTCAGGGTGTTCCAAAGCCACAAAGACAAGAAAATGTCCCTCTACGTCGATTAAAATACCATGCCACTAATGAAGCCAACTCTCATCCTTTAATTTCCCAAAGGGCTGCAAGAGAGGAAAACAAATACTAAGAATTCTTCATTTCCATACAGGATCAGGTCCACTGGTGAAGACTTAAATTTTCATTGCCCTCTATGGCATTGTGCCATTTTTAATTATTCAGACAACAATGAAATACACGTATTTTTCCATTCCCCTGAAAGTCCCTAACAATCCCATGAGGCGGACAGAGACATTTTGGGTTACACATGCTGGGCTCTGAGTCTGGGGCATCTTTACTACCTCAACAGCTCGGCAAAGTTAGCAGGATTCACCCACTGCCTTCCCAGGAACATTTGTTTTTTTGAGGTCACAAAAATGTCATCTTGTCACTGTGCTTCAAAGATGAACATATTTTCTCTGGCCAGTTTTGCTACATATGCAAACTGTACAAGTGATATTCCTCTTGGAAGTGACTGGAGTTTAGAACCACGCCCAGCACACAGGAAGCACTTACTAAATGTAAGCTATTAAAACTTGCCAATGATAACATCTTTCAAGGGAAACAGTACCGCTTAAATTATCCAAAAACTGATTAATATTTTGATTAGCTACTAATGATAAAAAAAGAGAGAAGATGACATTAATTCTTCTTTCTTTCTTCTTATTTCACATAAAAATTAATCAAGTTCTCACCAAATGGCAAGCAAGGTGTCAGAACAAAATTAGGATAGAATTTGACACACATGCAGCAAATGTTGTCCAGAAAGTGAAGGAGGACTCATTAATCAACATGGTGGATAATTAATTCAGAAGGAAAATGAAATCACCACAGCCATTTTTTACAATATAAATCTGGCATCTTCAAGGTAGCAGGTGTAAGCACAATAGACCCCCAAAACCTATTCAATACGAGTGAAACTGAAATTTTCCTCATCAGAAGCTAATTCCAATGGACAGATAATACTGCAAGATTCCTCTCTGGGACCATCAATCATGTTTATAAACTATCCATTTGAAGGCATAGACAATGGAAATTTGGGGAGAAAAATACCTCCTGAGTATATTTGCTGTCCAAATTGTAATGAGAGGTTAAATGAGAGTAAAAATAGTCACCTACATGAGCAAAACACCAATAAGACTTATGACAAACCATTAAATTTCTAGTTGGGTAAAACCTAGACTGCAAGGTACAAGAGGTCAGCAGTTTGCATCTTTCTTCGCTGACAATTTTGCTCTTAAAGATTTCTATGTTTAGAAGTGGGATTGGGCCTTCCCTCTCCAGGCCTCGAGCTACTCCTTAAAGGGGGCAAAGATGCAGACAGATGCCACTAACTCTTCCTTCCTGGGATTTCCATATTACTGCCCACTCCCTACTCCACCCACTGGCCAGACTATGACAGAAGGCTCAGCCCTGGAAGAGGCAAAAAGGGGAAGTAGGACTACCTCTCTCTGCCTCAAATCCTCCCTGTCCTTCCTGCGCTTCCCTCCTAACCCTCTTTCACACATATCCTAATCAACTTTTCCTGGGTGATATTTCATTATGTTTGGAAGCATGGGCTTGGAAGTCACATTAACTTAGCTTCTAATATCAGCTTTACCCCTCAGGAACCACATGAGCTCAGATGGTTTATTCGTATCTCTGAGCCTAGTTTCCCTGTTGGCTATGTGAGAATATTATCACCTACATCAAACGAAAGTCACTGAGAGGATTAGCAATAGTGCCTCTTACGATCAGGCTTTGTTTTAATCGCCATATATATATATATATATATATATATATATATATAGAGAGAGAGAGAGAGAGAGAGAGAGAGAGAGAGCCATTTAATCATCACAAAAAAATCCTATAAGGTAGGTGATTAACATCTCTCTTACAGGTAAAGAAACTGAGGCATAGAAAAATTAAAATACCTTTTTCAAAGTCATATAACTATTAAATGACAGAACTGGGATTTGAACTCATGACATGTTTCTCCAGAGTCCTTGCTGTACCATCTGTCCTACTGTCTCAAAACGGCACACACGAAGCACTTAGCCCAGTCTCTGGCACAGAACAGATGCTGGAAAATGTGACTTCTCATTGTTGTTGCTGCTGTTATGTCTGTCATGTCTTTCTTGATATCATTTTTTACAGCACAGAAAAGAAGATGCAGGGGAAACATGATAAACACGTGGATGGATGGGTGGATGGCTGCATGGGTGAATGGACAGATGGACAGATGGGTGAAGGGCTAGATGGAAGAATGGATGAATGGATAGACGACAGACGGAGGGATAGATGAATGAATGGATGATGGATGTATGAATGGAGGAATGCACGGGTAGGCGAATAGATGGGTCGATAGATGGCTAGCTGGCTGGATGGAAGATTGGATGGGTAGATGAAGTATGGATGATAGATGGGTGGGTGGATGGATATGCAGATGGATGGATGATAGGTGGACAGATGGGTGAATGGGCAAATTGATAGATGGGCAGATAGGTGGATGAGTAGATAGGATGGATGAATAGATGAATGAAAGAATGGGTGGGTGAAAAAGATGGGTGGAAGGACAGATGAGTAAATGGATGATGGATGGCGGAATGAGTAGGTGTATGGGTGCATGGGTAGGTGGAAGAACAAGTGAATGGGTGGGTGGGTAGATGGATGGATGGATTAGTGGATGAATGAATGACTGATAGGTAGGTAGATAGAGAAATAACATTTGAAACTCTTATTTGGAAAGGCAAAGTGTGCTCTACCTGAAGGTTAGATGACAATCATAGGAAAGAACTGTAGCATGGAAAATGTAAAGGTAGCTTTAGAAATGGAATAAACCTTGGATGTCAGCTAAGTAAGTCACCTTTCCAACCAACACCTGGGCTTTCTGAACATCTTCTCTGCCAGGCATTCCCCAGCCTCTGCTATGTGCACCCACCACAATGGGGAGCTAGCTGCCCCTCCAGGCTAACTCCCCTTATAGCTGAGCTTAGAGAAGTAGAAAGGCCTTCTTCATAATTAGCTGACATTTGTCTCCCTAAAATTTCCATCATTGTCCCAGGTTGCACTGTCTTATCCATGACAACCTTGCATATATCTGATGATTATAATCAGGCGATCACAAAATATCACCAATCCAGGCTAAACAGCCTTAGGCATCTGACACGGAGCCTTGCAGGCCATGGTGGGGATTTGAGTTTTACCAGGGAACAGGGGGAAGCTGGCGAAGGCTTTTCAGCACATGTGACCCAACCGAGTTCACTGAAAAGGTGCCTCTGGCTGGTGTGTGAATGGACTGGACGGTTAGGGATGGACGTGAAGTTGGTGGCAGAGGCCAAGAAAGAAATAGCAATGGCTGGGACTCAGGTGCTGGTGATGAGGTGGTAAGAGGTGGAGAGCTCCAGGAGGGAGAGGGAAGTCCCACGCAGGGACCAGTGTGGAGGTGAGGAGAGGCTGCGTCAGGATGGCAACACAATTCAGCCGGTTGTTTGTAGTAAACACCATGTTTACCACATGTGACACTGTATAAATGGATTTCCGGTTAAGGACAGACGCACCCTCCGGGGACTGTCAGCTGCCCAGCACTGAGATGGAGAACTGCATGTGTTTCCTGTGGCTGCTGTAACAAAGTAACACAAAGTGGGTGGCTTCAACCAACAGAAATGTCACTTCACAGCTCAGAGACCAGAAGGCCGAGACGAAGGTGTCAGCTCATGCAAACGGTAGGCAGCTGTGCCAGGAAGTTAAGGTCCTCAGGAGCATCCTCCAGCCGGCAAGGGCTTGGAGCTGCTGGTGGATAAAAACCCCAGGGTGAGGGAGATGGCAGGGAGGGTCTGCAGCCTTAGATGAGGATTCTTGTGACTCACCTCAGAACCAACTAGAGGATGCATCATTGGGGTACTCTGCTGTCCTGCAGAAGTTCTCAAACTATTAAGCATCAGAATGACCAGAATGATTTGAAGATATGAAATGCAGCTCCCCAGGCCTGCTCTCAGGTCCTGGTTCAGAAGGTGTGGCTTAGGGAGATGTATTTGTTTCCTAGGGTACTTTCCTATGTAGCCAAGTACCATCAGCTAGATGGCTTAGAACAACAAACATTTATTCCCTCACAGTTCTGGAGGCCAACAGTCCAAACTCAAGGTGTTGGCAGGGATGGTTCCTCCTGCAGGCTGTGAGGGAGGATCCGTTCCATGCCAGCTCGGTGTTGCCAGCAACCCTTGGTGTTCCTTAGCTTGCAGCTGCATCATTTCAGTGTGTGCCTCTCTTCACATGGGGTCCCTCCTGTGTCTACGTCCAGATTTCCCTCTTCTTATGAATATACCAGTCACGTTGGATCAAGGCCCACCCTAATAGCCTCACCTTAGTGAGGTTACAACTGCAAAGATTATACTTCCAAATAAGGTTACACTCACTGTCCAAGGAGTTATGACTTCAACATAGCTTTGTGAGGGACACAATTCCACCCATGACAGCAACCCTGAAGGGACTGCAGTCCCTCTCCATCCATGACAACATCCAACTAGAAATGGGTTGGCCATCTATTAGGCGTACCAGAGACTATTCCTGCTCTAGCCAAGAATTTGGGCCAGATGACTACTAAGATCCTTTGCAGTATCCAGATTCTAAGATTCTGTTTTCCTGGGAAGGTGTAAACTGCTTTATCTTCAGGTTAGCTCTTAACTCATGAGCTGGGACAATGCTCTTTCCCCTAAGAAAGGTAAGGTCACGGTAAAAAGTCTTTTCCTCTGGACAGAAAAGGGGCATTTGGTAAAAACTAGGGAAATCTGAACAGACTGTGAACTTTAGCTAATAATAATGTATCAATATTGGATCATTCACTGTAACAAATGTAGCATGCTAATATAAGACATGAGTACTAAGGGAAACTGGGTCTGGGAGATATGGGAACTCTCTGTATTCTTCTCTCAATGTTTCTATAAATCTAAAACTGTTCTAAAAAATAATCTATTACGTAAACAAAAAGTAGAGCTGGACTCCTTAATGCGTGCCTGTTACAAACGAGGCCCACCCTCTCTTCAGCGCTGAGATGCCAAGAATCTGGAGCTGCAATGGGAACTTGAAACGAGAGGCTGAAAACAGGCCGGGCATGGTGGTTCATGCCTGTAATCCCAGCACTTTGGGAGGCCGAGGCAGGCGGATCACCTGAGGTAAGGAGTTCGACACCAGCCTGGCCAACATGGTGAAACCCCGTCTCTACTAAAAATACAAAAATTAGCTGGGCGTGGTGGCGGGCGCCTGTAATCCCAGCTACTCAGGAGGCTGAGGCAGGAGAATCACTTGAACCTAGGAGGCGGAGGTTGCAGTGAGCCAAGATTGTGCCACGGCACTCCAGGCTGAGTGACAGAGTGAGACTCCGTCTCAAAAAAAAAAGAGGTTGGAAACAGCCTATATATCCTATAGGGAGAAGAGGAGGCCTGGAGTGAGGCCTGGAGTCAGCCCTGGAGTCCAGGAAAGGCCCTGCGGCAGAGATGGCAGTTTTTGAGGGGTCTCTCAGAAGCTCCTCTTTTAGAGAAGGAGGTCACACATGAATTTCTCTGGGTTCTGGAATCCACAGTGCCAGAGGGGACCTCTCACTGGAGACGCCTCTCCCTTGCATTTACATCCTTGAGGTTTCAACCTAGCAGTCAGCTTCTCCGTTCCCTAAGGCGACTCTGCTCACCTGCCCTTTCTTTGCATTTCCAAGGGTTTCCTCCAATCTTTGGTGGGCAATGGCAGTGCAGGCCAGCAGCCCAGGGGCATCACTGTGGGGGTGGCTGGAGTTTTGCTGATGTTTTCTGAATTCCACACTGTGCCTGGAGTGAGGAGAATCCTATGGAACATAGGCTTGGCCTGGGCGTGCATGGTTAATCCATGCATGGTTAATCCACGTCCAGGGGTGTAAGGACACACTTCCAGGCCGCTGAAGGAGACCACTCTGTTGTTGAGTCAGGCCCCTATGGCCATAACTAAGCAGAACAAGCAGTTGGGAACAGAGTGAGAAACATGTTGAGTGTCACAGGTCGGGTGGAAGCTGCCACTGCAATGCTGGTTTCATCTTGCGCTGTACCCTGCACCATGCTTCTCGGCACGAGTCCTCTCTTCCTGCAGACAGTGGGTATTGAGAGGCTCCCTGCTTTTCTTGGCTTCCTCCCCGGCACCCAGCCTACATCGTGCCTAGCGCTGAAGGAGAGCACAGTCAACACTTGCCAAGAGAACAGAAGGTGTTTGTCACACAGAACTCCTCAAGAAATCCTCACCTTGCTGGAAGACGACAGCGAGAGTTGCCGTGGGAACCCAGCAGGCATTCCCTCTGCTCTGCTCTCCAGTGACCCCTTTACAAACCCCATAAGAACCCCGTCATGTCAGGTGCTGCGCAGGAACCTGCCACCTCTCAGGAAATCCAGAAGCAAGGATCAGGTTTGAGGACAGGGCTGCTGTCCACCTTAGCTGACCTTTGCTCCTGCCAGCCATCTGGTGCTCCAGGTGAACTCTGATACTGATCCTTCCAGAAAGGTAGAGGGACCTAGACACAGGTTATCTGTATCATGGGGCTGGAGTGAGGAGGGATTCAAGGGTCCATGAGGACCCTCTTTCAGAGACTAAGGCCTCTTCCCCGCTACCACCCCTGTGTCCAGCCTCCTGCAGTCTCTCCTCTGGCACACGTTCCCTCTGCTGGAAATGCCCCACGCACATTCTGACAAGTCTTAATGGCCCTTTAGACCCAGCCCAGACATGCTGGTTGAGGTTCACCTGGTACCGCCAGGCCTGCACCACCCAAGGGACAGGGTTTGATATGGGAAATAGACACAACTCGCGCATCACAGACTGTGCTGAGAGCCTCAGAGGCAGAGCACGCACACACAGCCCCTGGCATGGACCAAATACTTAATCCACATGTAAAAAAAAAAAATGGAAGGAAGAGAAGGAAGGAAGGGAGGGAGGGAAGAAGAGAGGGAGGGAGGGAGGGAGGGAGGACAGTTTCAAAATAGCTTAGAACTTGGAAGGGAAAGAGAGGGGCATTATTTATGGGCCTCGTAAAACTGACCACCACCCCACAAGGATTTCCAGTGGAATATCTCACAACAGGTCATGAAGTGAGATGGTTCAATTCCAGAACTATTTCATGAGCATCTGCCATGTGCAAGGAACCATGTCTATCCCTATTCCTGAGGGAAGTGGGGGAGGTAGGCAAGCTGCACTGTAGTCTCAGAAAAGAGCTGCTTCCACTCAGACCTTAGGCTCTTCCCTCTTTGTGAGTCTCCTCTTGCATGACCTAAGAATCTCCACCAAATGGTCCACAAACAGCCAGGAAGCACCAGAGGATGTCCTGGCCTTGGAGTCAGAAGACCTGGGTTTGAGCCCTGGACCAACCATTGCTGATGGAGAGGTAACCGTTCCCAGCATGCCAGTGTCTAAGAAGACCCCTCAGCTCCTCAGGAACATTCCATAAACCATTCTCTGACACACCCCATCGAGTCCTCTAACTCACTGACCCCCTCCTTTCACTTCTTCTCGAGGTCCCTCAAGTCTCCACTTCCTTCCTCATCCTCTTGAGATGTTGCGATCACTTCCACCCAAAGATTTCCAGCCCTAATTCCTGGAACCTGGAAATGTGACCTTCGAAGGGAAAAGGGCCTTTGCAGATATAATTAAGTGAAGGATCTTGACACGAGGAGACTATGCTGGATTATCCAGTGAGCCCTAAACCCAGTCCCAAGTGGCCTCCTAAGAGAGAGCAGAGGAAGATTTCACACACACAGAAGAAGGGGAGGTCACGTGCAGGCAGAGATGGAAGTAAGTTGGCCACAAGCCAAGAAGTGCTGCAGCCTTGGAAGCCCCAGAAGCTGGAAGAGACAGGAACAACCCTCCCAGAGCCTTTGAAGGGAGCATGGCCCTGCTGATACCTTGATTTCAGCCCAGAGAAAGTGATTTGGGACTCTGGCCTCCAGAACAGTGACACGGTGAGTTTCTGTTGCATGAAACCACCAAGGTTACGGTAATTTGTGACAACAGCCACAGGATACTAATACAGCTAAGTCCCTATCCCTCTCCCTCTCACCTGGAAAAGCTCTCCAGGCCAGCTCTGGTTCCGGTACCAGGATGAGGTCAGCACTGCATCCCATTGTATAGGTAAGGCAAGTGGAGTCACCAACACGGTAAGTGGCAGAACTGGGACTCAACGCTAGCAGTCAGGCCTGGGTTTTAACCACTGGGCTCTATGCCCTGCCCGCCAGTGGCCTCCATGCCTCCATCCAGACCACTGAGACCACTGCAGGGGAAGGCACCTCGTCCAGGCAGGGAGGCCCACCAGCCTCACACGGGCACTCCATGTTGCTCAGCAAGTCTGGGTTTCTCTAGTAAGCCACTTCCCCGTGGTCAGGACTGCTTCACACTTTTTACATTCCCACCTTTTCCTCCTCTGCTGTCCTCACCTTGAACTTCATTGAGAAGCATCTGACAGGTTCATCCCATGTTCCCTCCCCAAGCCACGTATCTGCTGCATCTACACAGACTCTGCCATCCTTCCTACCATGACAGATGATGGCCCAACTCCTCTCCAGTCCTTCCATCAAACAGAATCTCCCTGCAAGAGTGTCCCAGCCACAGGACATCCTTGGAGGAAGCTGGGTAGCCTGAAGAGCCACATCACATCTGGAAACATGTTGTGTTGTCTTCTGGTTTGAGTAATGCTGCACCTCATCCTAATCTTTGCTATCATGTACCTTATAGCCTCAAATTTTCTCTGCAGGCGACTTTCCACCAAGAACACCATTGTGTAGAGGCACCTACTGTGCCAGGCACTGTTGGAGGCACTGGGGATGAATCAGCAAGCAAGACAGAAGGTCCCTGCACTCACATAACTTACTGCTCAGGTGGGTAAGATGAAATACAACAACATTAATTTGAAAAAGAAAAAAAAAAAAGGTAGTTTCCGGCAGCCTTGAGTGTTGTGAAGAAAATCAGAATTTCAGGATAAAGAATGGAGGCAGTGCTGCTGTAGGGAAGGCCCCTCACTGGCTCTGATGACTCTTCAATCTCTGTGCCCTCTACACCTCCCACCCTGGCCTGGTCCTCTTTTGGGTCCTCAAATGTCCACATCCCTTCCCACCTCTTGTGCTTGCTGCCCACTCCAAAACGCTCATCGCCAGCTCTCAGCTTAACAAGCCTCCATTAGAAGCATCCTCTCCAAGATTCTTTAACAGAGCCCCTTGCCCCTTCATAGCTCTGACCATAGTGTAGAATCAAAGAGTTACCAGTGCACAGGGTTGTGTTTGCTTGTATACTCTCTATAAGGACAAAAACCAAGACTCTTACTTGCTAGTGTCCGGCAAACAAGAGTCTTGGATCTACCACAGTGCTTGATGCAGAAGGAGCCCTCAGCAAGAATCTGTTGGATTCATCAATCCATTAATTACTTTTTTAAAAGTACTGCTTGCATGAACCAGCAACCCAATCAAAGAACAAGTGAACAAAGAACCTTGGATGAGTTGTTTAACTTCCCTGGGCTTCAAGTTTTTAGAGATGAGGAACAAAATCATTTCTCTAAAGTGTTTACAAAGAATAAAAAGAGTAGTAGTTGTAAAAATATACCATATGGTTGGCACATAAAAAACTACTAAACACACATATTTAAAAACCTCAATTCGACAAATACTCATGGAACACTTACTTTGTACAAACACAATTTCGAGACAGTTTAGAGGTAATGTTGGTAGCATCCAGAAAGAGTCCTAAGCTCATTCTAATAATAGAGAAAACAGACATAGGTCTGAACTTCTTTTTTTGTCTTACGTTCTTTGACTCTGAAAAAATCTAAGCTCAGTCTTTTTAAAAAGCTGTTCGGTCAGTAGAAGAAAAGATTGAAAACACTCAGGCCTAAGCCAAATCCATTACTACCTGTGTGACCTTAGGGAAAAACCAATAAATCTTTCTGAACCCCAGCTTCCTGGTCTAAAACGAGAGAGTTGTGAGAATTAAATAAGATCGCAGGCGAGAGGTGTGTGGCAGTGGTCAGGCCCAGAGTAAGGCTGGAGCTAAAACATGCTCGGCACTCCATGCCCCTAGAAGCTTCCAGGACCAGCCAGTCCTGCCCAGTTCCTCCCTCCTCCTGGTCCCAGCATGTGCTGAGACTGAGTCCACCTCCATTATAACCACAGTCAAGGAGCCTGATAAAAATCAAAGGAAATATTCCTTCCTCAAATCCTCTCTGTAAGAGACAGCCTATGAATAAGCAATGTAAAAGATAAACCACCACGCACACCTCGGAAATGCTCTTTGTCAAAAATAACTCGGCAGGATAGAGCAAAGTTACAGCTCTCATGGGGCTTGAAATGAGGGGGCAATCAAGTCACGTAATGGCATATTTCGAATCCCAGCTAAGCTTCATGTTAGAATTACAAATGCGATAACTGATTTGCCAGAGAAAAATGCTATTTTTAGTGGGAAGTGTATCACAGATTTCCATGCATACTAAGCTCCTGCCATTCTGAGTGACATTTTCTTTCTGGGAGCATCTAAGCAGGACCACAGAGCAAGATGGAAAGATTAAAAGTAATTGGCAATGCTATAATTGAAAAAAAAAAAAAAAAGACTGGGTTCTTAAAACTAGTGTCCAACCACAATGCCTGAAACTGAATTGGAGTTCAATAAATATTGAATGTTGGGACGGGAGGGAGGATGGGAGGCTGGGGGAGAGGAAGAGAGGAATGAATTTAGCTCACAAGCTGAACACTCTCCGTGCATGCTTGATAATCAATGCTAAACACTCTTCAGGCAAAATAAGACAAGCTCCCAAGAGAAATGAATATATAATTCCAGAGGTGCAAGAACAAAATCATTATAAACTTCAACATTCCTATTGTACTCAAGCATCAGGACTGGCAAACTGCAGCAGCTGCTTATAATTTCATATAATGTAGGGATAAAGAAAGACTCGGCTTCTTATGCCCCATCACTTTTTGAATAAAAAACAAAAACAGGAGGATTAATACTTTCCTCTTTTAAAGTACTAATTACTTTAGTCAGAAGGTTATAGAGTACCACATACTTGCAAATTAAATATCCGGGTGCTGATTGCATGATCCAAATCATTTCACTCTACTTTTCATTTTCATGTTTTGTAAGAAAACAGACTTTTAGCTCTGAAATCATTTGATAATTAGCTGCTCACATCACTTAATATAATAAGTGACATTTATGAACCTCTGCCAATAACTTCGTCTCCCATTGCTCGTCCATTTCTCCCTACTACTTCAGACAAGGTGGCAAATTTTAATTTGTAATCCTTGCCATTCTGATTAGGGAGTTAAGTGAAAATGAAGAATGGCATCTGGATGGCTGCACAAGGCTTAATTAACCAAGCCACACAACTCTGGCACCCAGAAATGGATTAACAAGCCCTGACTCCCCTCTTGGTGCAAGGTCAGCCCTGCACTTACGAGGCTCCAAGCCTGGCTCTTCACCAGGCACTCTGTGAGGAAGGAGCACCCATTCAAAACAGAGGAGAGTCCCTTTCTTCTGAGAACAGTCATTGAGCTCACAAAGTGGCATGAGTCAGACCTAGCAGAGCTCTTCTCTCAGGCCAGTTAAGTAGTTGCTCCTGAAAAGGATGAGCCAGAGCTGTTTCTGGTTCTACCTAGGATCTACCTCTTTGTGTCACAGGACACCACTTCCTGGACCCAGGGAGATAGGATCAGGAAGCTGCTCAGTTTTGCTTCCCAGATCTCCCATTTTCAGTATGCTTTCAATTCTCTTGAGAAAGACTCAAGGAAGGGCTACTCGCCCTGACCACTTCTCTTTATGGTCTGCTAATCTGACCAGGGCTCACAGGCAGCTATCACCATAAGGATGCATCCCCATCACAAGTCTCTTTCACATCATTACACATGACAGTATCAAAAGGCTCTAGGTTACGGGTTCCCCATTTGAGAGATGAGAAAACTAGGCTCAGAGAATGTCTGTAAAATATAAATGTGCCTGAGCCTAAATAGTGAGGAAGCTCAAGTCCCATTCTTCACTCACCAGATGTATCACTGTGGGTAAACCTCTCAGCCTAGCTGAGCCTCAGCTGCTTCAACTATCAAACACTGAAAATAAGATGCCATACCAAAAAGCAGTACCAAATTAAATAAGGGGCGTGACATGAGCACCAAATTAAATAAGGGGTGTGCACATTTCTAAATGTGACATAAACATAAGGTATTTTATCTGAAAACATAAGGCATTACAGTTTATTGTCATCTTGATGATTCCAAATTCACACAAATTACCCTCCAGTGGGTAGTGAGTGGGCAGAAAGCCACACATCTTTAATCTAGAATAAAAAAAGTTTCCTGTAAATGGAATCCAATTTGAAGGGTTCACATTTGGCCCCATTATTAATCATCAGCAGTCTACCAAGAAAGCAAAGAATGTTAAAATAAAAATCATCAGATATAACCAAATAAGAATTTGATCTGGGAGAAATGAAGCCCAGCTTTGAATGATCTCAATCTCTGACTGGATTAATATAATCCATAATTATGTTGCTAGCCACTTAGAAGAAGATAACATCACCCTCGTCCTCAGATTGTCTTCTCAACTTCCTATACAATGTCTAGCACATAATCAAAAATACACAGAGATATGAGACAAGAAAATATGATCAAAAACTGAGTGGTACTCTAGATAACAGACACAGAACGAGGGTACAGATAATAACGTCTTCAGTCAGACACTTCAAAATAATTTTGTTTGAGAGTAAATAAAAAAATAAGATTGAGATTTTTGGCCAAAACAACGGAAAATTAAAGAAAACATAAAGAAGTCATCTTAAATATCTGATGAAAGGAAAGAAGGAACGACAAGGCCATGCTGATGAACCTCATCTAGTTAAGGTTATCTATTAGACTGTGACCCATGTGTCCATCCAGGAGAAATCTTGGGCAATGATTAAAAGCCTGGACCATGGAGCAGATGACCTGAGTTTAAAACCTGACCCTATCATTTACTAGTATATGCCCTTGGGCAAGTTACTTAACCTCTCTCCAGTTCTCATCCATAAGATGTTACAGAGAGCAATACCTACTTCATGGGCTTGTTAAGAGGATTATACGAGTTAGTTCTGTGAAGTTCTTAAACAGTGTCTGGCACTATCTGCTATTGCACATAGGGAGGATGATGTTAATATTCATTAACTACATAAGAAGAACTGAATTCAGTTCAGTACACACTCACATCACCTGGTCTGGCCTCTCTCCCCTGCTGCCTCTTCTTTATTTTCTATACTCAATACCCCAATCTGCACATCAGCCACACTTGGCTACTGACATCTCACCAAACGCACCTTGCTCCTTTCACGTCCTTACATCTGCCCTTTCTTTCCTCTGTCTGAAAATCGTTTCCACGCTTAATCAACTTGGAAAGCTTCTTCATAAGCTTTCAGAATCAATTCAGATTCTCTCCCTCTTAACTAATGAGTACTAGACTTAATACCTGGATGATGAAATAATCTGTACAACAAACCCCCTGTGACACGAGTTTACCTATATAACAAACCTACACGCATATCCCTAAACTTAAAAGTTAAAAATAAATAAAAAAATTGTTATTAGTTCAATAGTTTATTGAATAAACTAATTATTCAATAATTATTATTAATATAATATTAAATATAATATTAATATTAAATATATTAAATATAATATTAATATTAAATATATTAAATATAATATTAATATTAAATATATTAAATATAATATATATTTATATTAATCATATTTATTTTAATTATATTTAAATATATTTAGATTAATTATATTAAAATATAATATATTAATTATATTTATATTGATATTAAATATAAATATAATATTAAATATAATTATTAAAATAATAATTATTCAATAATTATCCAATAATTATTGAAATAATTAGTTCAATGCCACCTCCTCCAGGAAGCATTTCTGTGACTTTCTCAGAAGTAATTACTTCCTCTTCTGTGCTCTGCCGGCCCTGACCTTCCCATTTGCATGGTGGTCACCCAATTCTGTGGTCACTTCTGTTTATGTTTCAGTCTTTCCTACTAGATCAGACTTCCTTAGAGCAGGAAGTATGTCATCTACACCTCTTTTCCTAGATGCCAAACATTCAGTGCATAGCAGTTGTTGAATTATGACTACAGAGTGACAAATGATTAACTGAATGAATGAAATATACTCAGCATTTGGCCTTATGTCACTGTCGTTAAAACATTCATCACATGTGTGTAAGTATAATGGGATTTAGAATTCTTACTCTTCTAAGGCTTGAAGCATGCTCCCAGGGTCCTCGGAAGACAGAATGTCTATCATTTGGTCGTTAAGGGAAAGGTCCTCATTCACGCCATCAGCTGAGGTGAACGGCAAGGGTTCCAGCTTGCTCTCATACTGCCAAACCTTCAGGAGAATTGCGGAAATAATAATTGATTGGGCCTTCTTGTGAATTCCACGTGCTGAGAAAGCCAGGAGGGAAGGCCAGGGGTCTGCAGTCTGAGCACCCAATCAGCCCCACCACTGTGACCACAGTAAACCCAGACAAGCTTTTGCGAATGTCCCTGAGCCTCTGTTTTCTCTGCAAAGAAATGGGATCATAATTCTACTAGCCCTGCATGAGGATGTTGTGTGGGTAAAGTGGAACAATGGACAGAAAGAACTTTTCAGCCTGTAAGACCTATAAACTATTTAACTATCATCATCTTTATCATTATCAGGTAGAGGAAACCTCAAAACAGGTATGATGGACCTTGACATCAGAGATCTGGCTAGTTTCTAATCGGAATATAGGATTGAGTGGGGCGTGGTGGCTCACGCCTGTAATCCCAGCACTTTGGGAGGCTGAGGTGGATGGATCACTTGAGGTTAGGAGTTTGACACCAGCCTGGCCAACACGGTGAAACCCTGTCTCTACTAAAAATACAAAAATTAGCCAGGCGTGGTGGCAGGCACCTGTAATCCCAGCTACTCAGGAGGCTAAGGCAGGAGAACCACTTGAACCCAGGAGACGGAAGCTGCAGTGAGCCGAGATTGCGCCACTGCACTCCATCCTGGGAGACAGAGTGAGACTCTGTCTCAAAAAAATAAAGAAAGAAAGAAAGAATATAGGATTGTGAGCTGGAAGTGACATTAGAGATAAATAAGCCCAACCCTCTGATTGGATAAGAGATATCTGTGTTGTCTCCAATATCATTAACTCTGCAAAAATGCATAGCTATAGCTAACCTTTAACAATTCTTGTCCCTGTGCCAGGTATTATTTTCAGTGCTTTCTTTGTGTTATCATGAAGCTGTTACAACAACGCAGTGTTGGTGCCCCCATTTTACAAATAGGAAAACTGAGGCTCACAGAAGTGAAATAACGTTATTGAAGGTCACACAGCTCAGAAGAGCCCGGTTGATTTTTAACCCCAATCCAACTCTGAAGGCTGCCTTCTGCTTTAGAGCAGACCACTGACCACCACTATGCTGGCAAAAAAATAAAGAAAAATGTGAGAAGAGTTCATTCTGTGATGCCAGGAAAAAAGTACTGCAAGGGTCTTCACGCCTTAAATCAAATTCATACTCTTGCTTTCCTCTGTGCAGTTCTTATGATCTGCCTTAATCTCTGGAAAATGAATCCTGCTCCGACATCAAAGCAGCAGGGTGCGTTTAGTTCTTCTGATTGATAACAGCTTTGGGAGAATCAGTACAAGGTCTGATTAGATGGGACGTTTTTCTTCTCACTTTTGCCCGCCAAGGAGACTGTGGGCTGACCTCATTTTGAAATGACAATCCTCTCCTCCAAGAAGCAGGGACAAAATGAACAACAGGCTCCTCACCCAGGCTGGGGTGGAATTTCCAGCCTCCAGAGCCCCTGGGCAGGACTAAGCCCCAGGGCAGGACTAAGCCCATCAGGGCCCAGGTCCCTGATGAAACACACCCTTTACCAGACACCTTCCCTTTCTGCCTCACTTCCCACCACCTCCCCTTTTGTCCTGGGATCACTTCCCACATAAGCTACTTGAATGGGAATTCTAGTCTCAGGTAATGGGCTGCGTGTGGGTGATGGGGTACGTGTGGGTGATGGGGTGCGTGTGGGTGACGGGCTGCGTGTGGGTGATGGGGTGTGTGTGGGTGATGGGGTGCGTGTGGGTGACAGGATGCATGTGGGGTGACGGGATGCGTGTGGGTGACGGGATGCGTGTGGGTGATGGGATGCCCGTGGGTAATGGGATGCATGTGGGTGACAGGCTGCGTGTGGGTGATGGGCTTTGTATGGGGTAATGGCTGCAGTGGTTCTCCCACCTGGTTGCTGCTTAGAAGTTTTAAAAATGACTAAACCAGGCATGTTGGTGTGTAGCTGCAGTCCCAGCTACCTGGAAGGCTGAAGCAGGAGGACTGCTTAAGCCCAGGAGTTCCAAGTTGTAACGTTCTGTGATTGTGCCTAGGAATCGCCACTGGACTCAGCCTGCACAGCACAGCAAGACCCTGGCTCTTAAGAAAAAAAAAGAATGATGGGGATGCATCCCAGGACAAACAGCAGTTTTGGAGGTGGGCCCTGGGCATGGGTTTTTGTGCACAGCTCCCTCAGCAATGCTGATGGGGATCCAGGGCTGAGACCCACAGAACTGGGGGATGAACTTCAACCTCACATTCACCACCTTCCAAACCACCCTCAGGGAAGACTCACCCGATGTCTGGTGAGCATGTTTCCCTTCAGACACTGATAGCGAACCATGAGGAAGAGGGCAGCCCAGGTCAGCACAAGGGAGAGGAGGAAGGCAATGAAGAACCCTGCTGCGTGGAGGCCGTGGTGCGGCAGAACCTGTGGAGACAAGAGGAGAGCAGGATTCATGTGTGGTCAGACAGCATGTCTCCCAGGCCTCACAGATGATTGAGTGTCAGAGCAGACCAAGCAGGGACCAGGGGACTCGCTTGCATTTGAGTCTCGCTCTGCCAGCTACCAGCTGGCTGCCTGGAGGCCCTCGCTGGTCCTCTCTGAGCCTGAACTTCCTCAGTGCATGACAAGCCTGTCAAAGACCTGAGGCATGGTGATTTGCACACAATAGCACCATCCAGCCGCACGCCTAGCACATCACAGACACTCAAGAATGTTAAGTTTCCAAATCAAAAACATGATAATCCAAAGGAAGCACTAGGGATCCGTGACATTTTCTGAGAATCACAGGTAGAATTTTGCAGAGGCCAGAGGAAGAACCCATGGCACCCTCACCTTCCCGCTACCCTCTATTAACTTTAGATTAAATAATTAAACCCCAATTTTTACGGTATTATATTTAGAGAAAATCTCTTGTCTTCTGACTGGTGAGATTAGTGGGCCACATTTACCCCCGCCCCTCCTTCCCTGCTTCTGCCTTCTAGCATTTTTTAGGTTTATAGCATATATATTTTGTTCTGCAACCAGAATTCAATCCTGATTATTGTTTATAGGTTAATCCCAGCAACTACAAATTTTAAAAGACAATATTATTATGATTAGGCAAAATTTGCTCACTGCAGAGTAAAGTAATTGGATCCAATCCTGTGACACTAAATATCTGCTCCTCAAAGGAGTGTGTTCCTAATTCAGTCCCTTTTCTCACACTTTATCAATTATTCCAAATCAGGCTACATTTTTAGTTTGCTTCAGTGTGAATTAGCACTTCCTTGTGTGACTTTTTGTTTTTCCTGAAGTTTTTCATGGCCTATCTTTTTTCTTCCTAGCATACACCCATGTTCTTAATAATACTATCTGTTACAGAGAGTCAAATTTACTTTTTCTTAAAGTCATCATTCCCAGAGTTCTCTGACTTTCTGATTTAATCAGACCTGGCTACTTTCTAGGTTTTCTGGTATCATAGAGAGCTTTTTCTTTTTCTCCACTGCCTTCTATATTGTCACAGCATTACTCATTGAAGAAAAACTGTTTCTTGGATCCCATTTCTTCCTTTTTCTTGGATAATTCTTTTTTATTTTGATGAAGTATCCTAAGTATCTATTTATTCTCAAGTAAGTTCGTTTGGAGAAGATGCTCTTTTCTCACATCTGGCAATGCTGTCACTTAGTTCTCAGTTTGACTGATAGTATGGCTGGCTACATAATTCATGGCTAAAATAACTTTCCCTCAAGATGTTGATGGTGCCATTCTACTGTCTTCTGACAGAAGTGTGCCTGATGGCCTTTTAGAAGAATCTGTTTTTGTTTTCTGGGTGCTTTTTAAGATTTCTCCCTTTTCCCTATAGTTCTGAATATCTTAGCATTTTAAAGAAGATATTTGAATACATTTCTAATAATATATAAAAAGTCTTATATAGTAATGTAACTTTGCAAAGAAATACACACAGTATAATCTCCATTTCACTAAAATAAAAATAATGTGCATATATACATATGCATGTGTAAATTATAAAGAAAATCCTCCAGAATTTTATTTGAATGTAATTTCTTGATGAGGTTTTTCACCTTCTTTATGCTTGTTTTCTAATATTTCTACAATGAGTAGGTATTATTTGTGTAATAAGAGATAATAATAATTATTATTATTACTACTATTATGATGATGATTATAAAAAAAGTAAGGCAAATTTGATAGATGAAAATCACCCAGACTGCTGAGGGTTTGTCAACCCAAATCACAATTCAACTTCTTCCTGTTTTCAATCCTGCTCCTTTCTTTTTCCTTTCATAGGGGGTCACTGATTGTACCAAGGGTCCCCAAGGCCACCTGCATACAATCCCACTCACAGGTATGGTTTATTACAGCAAAAAGACACAAAGCAAAGTCAGAAAAGGGAAGAATGGAGTAAAGCCCAAGGAAAACCAGGCACATGCTTCCAGACTCCAGCGGAGTCACAAAAGATGTGCTTAATTCCCCCAGAGAGGGGTTGTGACAACTCATGTGAAATGTATTCTACTAGGGAAGCTCATTAGGGACTCAGTGTCCAGGGTTTTTATTCGAGGCTGATCACATAGGCACCCTGTGCCTGGCATGTACCAAAATTTCATACTCCAAGAAAAACAGCAGGTAATCAGCATAAACTATACTACATGTAAAAAACAGTTCAGGCACAGGGAGCCACTCTTAGCAGTTTTAAGAAGATGGGAATCCTGAAATCCAAGTTTCCAGACACCAGCCCAGGATCAATCTTGTAAGCAAGCTTTTCTAAGGATAGCAGCCTTCGGTTTGATATGCTAACTCTTCTCTGCACAATGGAAAGCATATTATACCCCAAACTCTGCATCAGCATCTGTCTCCAGAAAAGCCAACCTGTGACAATTAGTTTAATTCAAAATGGCTCCAGACCATGGGATACCGAATGTATTATTTAGGAGCTAGAAGACAACTAGCCTATTCCTCATTCTTGCAGCCACAGTGCAGATTGTAGTCAAGGTTACATTTTTTCTGACAGACCAATGAGGCCACCCTGACCTTCTAGACTGTCAAAGCTAAGTTAGGTCAAAAACAGGAGCTTCAGTTCAAATGCTTATTGAAACCTGAATCAAAGTGTGATGCCACTTATAACTCATCTTTGATAAATCAGCCTCTGTCCACAAAGGCTGTTATCAGAGACTGTCAGAGAACCAATTCTGTTTTCTTGCTCTAACATCCTCTTGATCCTAAATCTTGAATTTTGATTAACACTAAAATGAAATCCAAGTACTCCATTTGTTCTGGACATGTCCCTCTGCTCCCTGAGCCCTGAGTGTGTACCTACTAGACAAGAAAAAAATCGATAAGCTGAATAAACGTAAATAGCATTGCATGGAGGTTATGTCAAAATATTGATGGAAAGGAAACTAAAAAAAATCTGTCTGTAAAACAACACAGTAGCTAAAGATCAGCAATCTGTTTTCAAGATTTTTAATCCCCTTTATCTTCAAAGAAGGCAACAACTTGTTTTTTCATCTTCGAGAAGAGGGAATGAGAGGTAAAGGGGATTAACAATTTTGATCACCAACAAAACGCCAATCTCTGGGCTAGGTAAATGTAGTGAGTTGAGTTGAGTTGTGCCCTCCAAAAAGACATGTTGAAGTCCTAACCCCAATACCTATGAATGTGACTTTATTTAGAAATTGTCTTTGCAGATGTAGACAAGTTAAGATGAGGTCATACTGGGTCACAGTGAGTCCTAAATCCAATGATCGTGTCTTCATGAGGAGAGGGAGATTTGTAGACACACACAGAAAAGATGGCCATGTGAAGATGGAGGCAGATACTGAGTGATGCAGCTATAAGCCAAGGATTTCAAGGAATGCTAAGGATTTCTGAGCCACCAGAAGCTAAGAAGAGGCAAAGGAAGATGCTTCTCCAGGGTCTTTATAAACAGCATGGCCCTGCCTGCCTACACCTTAATTTCAGACTTCCAGCCTGCAGAACTGTGAGAAAATTAAATTGTTGTATTAAGGTACCAAGCTTGTGGAGATTTGTTATGGCAGCCTGAGGACACTAACACAATGCTTCATATACTTTATTTCATTCAATCTTCTGTAATCCTGTGGAACACGTATCATCCCTGTTCTACTGATAGACAAATGGAGATGCAAAGAGATTAAAAAATTAATTGATGTCCACAGCTAAAACAAAATTAGCTCTGCTGGACTCCAATGTCTACGTTTGTCCCACTAGAGCTGGACACTACTTACTGTCCAGGGGGCTGTATGTTTTTCTAAAATGTTTTTAGTCCTAATCTCCCACACCATGGTAGAAGTTAGTTGTATGACTGACATTACATATGGGCAGCATCACTCTACCGTAAAAGCCAGGAAAAGAACTCTCTCGTATGTTCCTTCTCCCCTTCTGTCTCCCTGCCTCCCTCCCTCCTGCTTCATGAAGTGGAAGTGGACAGGTGAGTCAGGCTACCTCAAATCTCTTCCTCTTTCCACTTCCACCTTCTAAATCCACATCTTGAGATCTTACTTTCCTTTGGCCACAAGGGCATTGCCAAGAGAAACTGAAGAGTAGAGGTACTGTGGGCAGTTTAGTGGAGCAGGGTCTAGATCAATGCTTAAAGTAGCAACACAGTTGTGGGAATGGAAGCCTGGACCTAGGAAGAGGGAAAAACCAGGGCCAGTTCTGCAGATCCCATCACCTGTCACCCCCTTCTCTTACAATTCCTGCTTTCTGACACCAAGTAACAAGCAAACCTAGGTAGAGCCTACCTCCATGGGGCAAACCCACTCATGACCCTCATTTTCTTCATTTATCTGTGTTGTTAAATTATGCTAGGTCCTGCCCTGCCTACAATGCCTCTACTCTTCAATCTTCTTCCTCAGTGAAGAATGACCAAAGAAGAGTAAGATCTCAATATGTAATTTTATGAGAAGAAGGAGGCTCCATATAATCACTACCATCACTATCATCATCACCAACATTAATATTACCACCATGATTATCAACATCATCAATATCCCCATCATAACTATCTTTACCATCACCATCATGATCAACATCTTCATTAACACCATCATGATCACCATCAGCAGCAGCATCACCATCAAATTCATCATCACCATCACCACAATGACTGTCACCACCACCATCACCACCATCATTATCAACATCATCAATATCTCCATCATTTTCATCTTTACCATCACCATCAACACCATTATGATCAATATCAGCAGGATCACCATCAAATTCATCATCACCATCCCCACCATCACCATCACCACCATCACCATCGCCACCACGATTATCAACATCATCAATATCCCCATCACCATCATCTTCACATTGGCCATCACCACCATCACTATCAACATCATCAATATCACCATCACCATCATCTTCACCATCACCATCACTACCATCATTGTCAACATTATCAATATGCCAATCACCTTCACCATGGCCATCACCACCATCATTATCAACATCATCAATATCTCCATCACCATCATCTTCACCATCACCATCAACGCCATCATCAGCAGCATCGCCATCAAATTCATTATCACCATCACCACCATGACCACCACCACCATTACCATAGCCACCATCACTATCAACATCATCAATATCCCCATCACCACCATCATTATCAACATCATCAATATCCCCATCACCATCATCTTCACCATGACCATCACAATCACTATAAACATCATCAATATCACCATCACCATCATCTTCACGCCCACCACCATCAACACCATCATGACACCATCAGCGGCAGCAACACCATTACCACTGTCATTTCACAGAACATGTATTATGCAGATACTAAGCACCAGGGATGGATCCAAGTGCTTTACATGTATTAATCCATTTAATCTCCACAACAATACTCTGTGATGGGAACTATTTTAACCACCACTTTATAAATTATAATGTCATTGTAGAAAAAAGTTTTTAAAATGGCCCAAGGTCACAGATAGAGTAAGTAGTAGACCCAAGACTCACATCCAGCAGTTGGGGCTAGTGGCCTTCATACCCCCGCTGCCTCTCCTAGGCTGGCCCTTTATCAGGAGCCCTGCATCGAGCCATCAAGGGTTTGTGCCCCTGTTAACACTTTCATTCCCACTCTGAGTATGCAGCTCACCTTTTGGGGGTGAGGGAGTAGCAGCAGGGCAGGATTTTGGAACTCCTGAGTCTCTGGCCAAAAGCCTTCCTAATCCCTTCAAACTTTAATTTTGTCCACAGACCAGGCTTTATTCCCTTTTTAATATTTCAAACAATACTTTATTTATTTATTTATTTTTGAGATAGAGTCTTGCTCTTGTTGCCCAGGCTGGAGTGCAATGGCACAATCTCGGCTCACTGCAACCTCCACCTCCTGGGTTCAAGCGATTCTCCTGCCTCAGCCTTCCAAGTAGCTGGGATTACAGGCGCCTGCCACCATGCCCAGCTAATTTTTGTACTTTTTGTAGAGACGGGGTTTCACCATGTTGGCCAGGCTTGTCTTAAACTCCTGACCTCGTGCTCTGCCCACCTCGGCCTCCCAAAGTGTTGGGATTACAGACGTCAGCCACTGCGCCTGGCCTCAAACAATATTTTAAGTGCAGAATTCTTACATCCATTTCACATGTGAAGAAACCAAGGTTTGCTATAATTTGTTTGCCTGAAACGCTCTATTTAAGTGGATACATCAAGTGGGCTGCCAGGTTTGACCCCGTGTTTGGATGTGACACTACACTTTCCTGATGTTAATTCACTGAGTCACTGGAGCCCTGTACTAGGTGCTGGAAGAACGAGGAGGAACCAGAGCCAGGCCCTACTCAAGGAGCTCACAGTCCTACAGAGGAATGAACAGGCAGGCAGATGCTGATGCCACAGTGTGCCTGGGCTGAGGCTGGGGAGCCTGGAGAACTGGGGGAGGGAGGGGAGCTCCTCTCCTAGCTCAAAGGACAGGATAAGGCTTTCCAAGAGGTGATCCAGTGGGCAGAGGAGAACGAGCTGGGCCAGGGGGAGGGCGAGCCTGGAGAAGGACTGGCCTGAACAAGGCCTGAAGCCGGCAAGAGAAGCAGCCCCAGCCTGACAGAGCCTTCGAGAGCAGGTTAGGGATTTGCTGTGTCATCCTAAGGGAATCAGGGGAACAACTAAGAGGCTTTAAGCCATGAAGAAACATGGTTAGATCAGTATTTTAGAAAGACAACTCTGGCCGCTGTATGACTTCAGCCTGGAGGAAGGTAAATCTGGATGCCAAGGGAGAAATAGGGGGCATGAAAAGAGGCTGCAGGAGGCAACGGGACACGCCAGCAAGGACCGTGGACTTTGGCTTTTGATGGGGGTTCAACTCTTAGATCCACCCCTTTCCACACTGTGGGAGGCTGGGTCTCCCCAGCTCTGAGAGGCAATAGGTTAAAAATAGAATTACCATACAACCGAGCAATTTCACCCCCAAGCATATACCCCAAATAATTTAAAACAGGTATTCGAACAAAAATCTGTACTCGAATGCTCACAGCAGCACTGTTTACAATAAGCCAAACGTCCTGATGAATAAAGAACATGTGTATATCCATATAATGGACTATTATTCAGCCACAAAAAGGAATGAAGTTCTGGTGCATGCTACAACATGGAGGAACACTGAAAACTTGATGCTAAGTGAAAGACGCCAGACACAAAAGGACACGTACTGTGTGATTCCACTTATCTGAAATGTACAGGGTCGGCAAATCCAGAGACAGAAGCAGATGAGTGGTTTGCCAGGGGCTGGGGGAGAAGGAAATGGGAAGTCACCAATGGGTACCAAGTTTCCTTTCGGAGTGGGGAAAATGTTCTGTAAGCAGACAGTGGTGATGGCTGCACAACACCTATTGACTGTAGTAACTGTCAATAACAGTAAATGTTAGGCTGTGTATACTTTACCACACACACAGAAACAGTGCCTAATGTTTAGGGTTATGGTACACAGAAGTCAGAAAATCTGAGCCGCTATTGCTACTACTGTTGTTGGCTGGTGGGAAGGGCACAGATCAGGAGACACAGTCAACAGAGTGTTGTGATGGAATGTATATGTAAGAAGCCAGACACAGGAGGAGCCAACAATGTCCCTGAATCCAGCTCGGGGGACAGGATGCTGGTGGGACCCACCGCTGCAGTGATGAGTTCAGAACCAGAAGTGGCTGAGAGCACCAGAATCAGCCCCACGTAAATCATACTTCTGAGATTCCCTTAAACATGCTGCAGCCAAGTTCCACTGAGAATCACTGTAAGTACAGATTCCAAAGAGCATCTTTACCTTAAACCTCATTGTCTAAGAATAAAGAAAAAGAGATGGTTATCCCGGCTTCCCCCCCAGAGTCCTCCTCACTTTCCTTCTTGTCTCTGGAAAAGAATCATCCACGATTACCACCCTTTAATCACATATTAGCAGGAGCAGATGCCTTTGATGCATTCTGTCACTGCATTTATGAAGAGCGATGCTGGATAAACAGGCCTTTCAAAACGAATGCTTTAAATGCTCAGAATCCAACACCAAGTTACAAAAGCATGATGAAGAATTGTTTACAGAGTTTGACTTCATTATGTACTAAATATATTCACAGTCTTGTGGATGGCGAGATGTGAACATGTTAGCAATGGTTCTCCCTGCTGGTGGGATTACGGCATGAAGCTATTTTATTCTTCCAACTTTTCTGCACGTGGAGGGTGGTGGTAAGAAGAGGACATTTCTTCAAAATGCCCACAGTGGCCTTATATTAAATCCCACCCACCCAACCCTTCGAAACACAGAAAATGCTTGATGAACATGGGAGATGAGACGAATGTTTCCTCCGGAACAGTCTAAGAATCATTTACTTGAAATCTTTTACTTTGAGCTTGAGACCCAAGAAACAGAGGGGTGAGTGGCTTGCTGGCCCTTGTCACACAGTCCCTGAGGGGCAGCCCTGAGGGCAAAGAGACCCTTGGCCTCCCAGCTGACAATTGGGGCAAGAGTGAGATCTCGAAGATAATCACAGGCAGAGACAATCACACTTACCAACGCAGCTTTGCTAATTTCCCAATCTAGCAAATAGCATCTGGAGTAGAGAACACATCACACAGCATGATTCTGACTGCAATGATGTTGAGTTCTGAACCTGGCCAGTTCCCAGAGCCTCCCTGGACAAGAGGTTTTTAAAATGAGAAAGTGGGACTAGATAATCTTTAAGGTCTCTTCCAGTTCAACAATTCTATTCTGATGTCAACAAAAAGGTATTAAGTGCCATCCAGAGGAATACTCTCAACTTCACACAGTGCCAGGCTTTAATAAATGATCCAATGCATAGGACCCCAGCCAAGGGCACAACTAGCTGGCCAGGGGAGGGCTCGGGCATCACAGCGTGCAGATGCTGGTCAGGGTCCAGCAGGAGGTTTACAAGTTGCCCAAAGAACAGGTAAGCTAAGAACAGGATGTGCAAAACCAGAGCGTAATGGAAAACAAAGGCGCCCAGTGGCCCCGAGAGATGGTTAGCAGGGGTTAACTTTCCTGATGGATCCTGAATGGAGGCCCCTCAAGAATAGAAAGCATTCAGGTTTGCATTTTAGGGAAGACCACCCCAGCGTGGACAATGGGCTGGGTAGGGAGTAAAACTGGAGGCAGAAAGGATAGGATGCTGGGGCAGTAATGAAAACAAGAAATGCAGATTAGGGCAATGGTCAGTGGGCTTCGAATGTCCACGGAGAAGGCAAAAATGATAACGTGCAATTGTGTACAAGCCCCCAGGCATACAAATGCAACTCACAGCCACGTGATTTTGCCTACAGAGTGACACGGGCCGCCACTGTGCTTCAAGGGCACCTCCTAAGCCTCGTCTTTGGGAAATTCTCACATCATAGATAGCTACCTATTGTGGCATTCCATCTCTTATAAATTAAGATGCTCTTTACATATTAAAAACATTAATCTTTTGTCTCTTATGTATATTACAAATATTTCCCCAAGTTTCTCACTTATCTGAGTGCTGTTTTTAAAGTTTGCAACTATGTGTACCTAAATCCAGTTTTCTCCAGATCACATCCTAGTAGCCCATATTTACTTTTTACTAATTGCTATATTTAGATTTTAATCTAATTAGGAAATTCATCTTTGTCTTTATTTCAAAAGACCCAGTCAGTTGTTACCAAATTCATGCATGATACATCCTCCTCCTCCCGTTGGTTTAAAACATATTGATAGATGTGTGTGTAGATTTTATCTTTTGTTCCATTGGTCTGATGTTTCTCGTAGCAGTCAAATGCTGCATTAATGTAGCTTTGTAATATTTTTAATATCTGCTAGGGTAAACCCTCCCACATTACTCTTCATTTTCAAAACCTTCCCATCTGGGTTCATAATTTATATTTTCAGATGAAACTATGATTTTTTTTCACATCCCCTCTAAAGTCCCATTAAAATTAGTATTGGAGCCTGGGTGCGGTGGCTCATGCCTGTAATCCCAGCACTTTGGGAGGCTGAGGTGGGTGGATCACCTGAGGTCCGGAGTTCAAGACCAGCCTGACCAACATGGTGAAACTCCATCTCTACTAATAATACAAAATTAGCTGGGCCTGGTGGTGGGTGCCTGTAATCCCAGCTACTCAGGAGGCCGAGGCAGGAGAATTGCTTGAACCCAGGAGGCAGAGGTTGCCGTGAGCCGAGATCGCGCCATTGCACTTCAGCCTGGGCAACAAGAGCAAAACTCCATCTTAAGAACAACAAAAACAAAATTAGTATTGGAATTGCACTCTAAATGAATTGGGGTACCATAACAATTGGTTTAAATGTCTCTCTCTGATTAGACCTGAGATCCTGGCAGCAGAACACTGTGATCTGTTCTCCTGGTGCCCGGCACAGTACCCAGCCCTTTCATGGGCACATGTGATGAACACAGAAGGGGATATCTAGTGCCATCTGAGACCTGCACTCAATGTGTGATTCTTATCTTCTCTCAAAAAGACAGTACTCTCATCCAGGAGACAGAAAGGGGAAGACAACTTCTTGAGAAAAAATGAGAAACAATTTCTTGGGGCCTCATTTTCCTTGGCTGACATGTGTCAGTTTCACCCTCAGGAAAGTAACAGGAAATTAAGGAGACAATGGGGTAGCTCCCAAATGTGGCAGAATCTCTATTTACACAATGGAAGCCTCACATCTTTACCTTGTATTTTTAAACTGCCTGATGCAAATGTCAGGGGTGCTGCCACCCTCCTGGCAAACTCATCCTATTCATCGCCATCACACCTGTCTGGTGTAATCCCACTATCTCTGCAGGTCCCCGCCGCCATCAGCCCTGCTGGAACACATGCTATGACTGCCACGGCCTTGCCTCATCCTTATGTATGTGTCACATACAAGAGTAGTGTTTGGTTCATGCCTGACAAGCAGTCAACACTGGCTTAACCTAGAAGTCAGATGTTCAGCTGCCCCTTCCCCAACTTTAATTAAATCTTACCTTCAAGACCCAATTGAATTCTTCCTCCTCCAGGAAGCCTGCCAGTCCACCCAGCCCATGGAGTTCTCTCTCTCTCTGCTGTCAGTGTCCATGGTACAAGCAATCTATATTTCAGGTCACAAACTCACAAATTCAGTGAGCGCTGTGCATTCTTCGGTCTTTTTTTTTCATGTAGTGCCTCAGTGTGAGGGTGGGGATGGTGGGTGACAGGCAACCCGAGTGTCCATGCTGCCGCACGCTCCATTACTTCCTAGCATCTCGCACTGAGCCTGAGGTACACTTATAGCACCTGTGTAGCCCCCGTGGGCATTGGGGCATGAGGCCCTGATGCAAAACATTCACTGTCAGCATCACAGAACACTTGGCACAGCTGTGCTGTTCTCATGTGTAAATAATAGTAATAATACTGCTGACGACAACAGCTGACATTTATGGAGCCCTCACAGTGCCAGGCACTGTGCTGAGTACTTTACAGCCCTTGATCCATTTACCTCAACAACCATCCTATGAAGTGAACGTTGTTATTACTCTCATTTCACAGTTGGGGAAACTGAGGCCCTCAGAGGTAAGTGACGTGCCCAAGCTCACATGCAATCAGTGGAGGGACAGGGATTCAAAGCCAGGCCTTATGGTCCAAGAGTCAGCTGGGCCCACACAACACCATAGGGCCATCCTGTGCATACACCTCCTCTTCCCACTCAACAGGGAGCTCCCTGAATGTGGTCCACAGCCTGGGGGCGCCTGTCCTGGGGGCTGGTGTGGCTGAAATCCAGCCCCAGCTCCACGGCCAGGACTTGCATCCACAGGTCTGCATCCCAGGGGGCAACTATTCCTCTTTCTCCTGAAGGCAACATGCAGGTGACGGGAAGCCTGGAAGACCTCGGCATGGCTCAATTCCATCCATAAGTGAGCCTGCGGCATCGGGGAAGAGCTCAGAAATACCCTTACATGAGCATTCTCTGCCTTTTATTACACTCATACAGCAACCAGCCACCTCCTCCTCCTGAGCAGCAATCATCGTCATTGACGACAATAAGCTCAATCACGGGATATTTACCTGTTGAGTGCCACCTACAATGTACCGCACAGTGGGGGACACAGGCAAATCCGACATGGCCTCACCCGCCAGGAGCTCACAGACCACCAGAAGACTGGTTACCAGTGCACCCGACAGCCTCACTAAACTGAACACTCACCTAACGCCAGCCTTGTACTTTCTCTTCGTCTCTTCTGTGCAGGACTCTGGCTCTCTGGGAGGCGGTGTGGTCCAGTGCCTGACAGCAGGGCTCTGGAGCCAAACTGCTTGGGTTCAAATCCTGGTCCTGCCACTTACTAGCCATGCAGAAAAGAGTTAACATCTCCAGCCAGAGACTGGCATCCTCTGAAAGCCCTTCCTGTAGGGCTGGGCCTCAGCTGATGTCTGGGAACATGGATTTTGGGAGGGTTTCCACTATTTTCTGGTAAGAGTGGCTCTCTGTTTTCAAACTGTCTGTACAAACAGTGTGGCTTATGCTGAGCACCTCCTTTCCTTCTGGGAGTCTGGAATCTTGGTATATGCCAGGCAGAGAGTGCCTACGTGGCCAGCCCCCAGTGAAAATTCTGGCACTGAGTCTCTAAGGAGCCTCCCTGGTAGATAATACTTCACATGTGTTAGCACAACTCATGCTGGGGAGATGAAGCATCCCCTCTGTGACTGCTGGGAGAGGACTCTTAAAACTTGCAAGTGATTTTCTCCAAACTTCTCCTCATGCAACTTTTCCCTGGGCTGATTTTGCTTTGTATCTTTTCATTGTAGTAAGTCATAGCAGTGGGTACAACTACAGGCATGCATCACCTAACAAGGAAGAGATGTTCCTAGAAATGCATTGTTAGGCAAATTCCTAATTGTGCAAACACCACAGAGTGACTTACACCAACCTAGATGATCTAGCCTACTACACACCTAAGCTCTACGGTATAGTCTATTCCTCCTGGCTACAAACCTGTACAGCATGTTACTGTACTGAATACTGTAGGTAACTGTAACACGTACTAAGTATTTGTATATATAAACAGATCCAAGTATGGAAAAGGTACCAAAGCCTGTAATCCCAGCACTTTGGGAGGCCGAGGTGGCCGGATCACTTGAGGTCAGGAGTTCAAGACCAGCCTGGCCAATGTGGTAAAACCCCGTCTCTACTAAAAATATAAAAACTAGCTGGCTGTGGTGGTGGGTGCCTGTAATCCCAGCTACTTGGGAGGCTGAGGCAGGAGAATCGCTTGAATCTGGGAGGCAGAGGTTGCAGTGAGCTGAGAACGTACCACTGCACTCCAGCCTGGGCGACAAAGCAAGACTCTAAGAAAAAAAAGAAAGAAAGAAAAGAAAAATATGTACAAAAGACAAAAAAAAAAATACACTCGTATAGGAAATGTATCATAACTCGAGCTTGCAGGTCTGGAAGTTGCTCTGGGCCAGTCAGTGAGTGAGTGGTGAGTGAATGTGAAGGCGTAGGGTATGACTGTACACGACTATAGACTTTAGAAACACTGTACCCTTAGGCTACACTACATTTATTTATTTATGTTGAGACAGAGTCTCACTCTGTTAACCAGGCTGGAGTGCAGTGGCATGATCTCGGCTCACTGCAACCTCCGCCTCCCAGGTTCAAGCAATTCGCATGTCTCAGTCTCCCGAGTAGCTGGAATCACAGACACGCACCACCATGCTCAGCTAATTTTTTTTGTATTTTTAGTAAAGACCGGTTTAGCCATGTTGGCCAGGCTGATCTTGAACTCCTGGCTTCAAGTGATCAGCCCACCTCAGCCTCCCAAAGTACTGAGATTACAGGCATGAGCCACTATGCCTGGCCACTAAATTTATTTTAAAAATATATGCTGTGCAGGTTTCTTCAGTAATAAGTTAATCTTGGCTTACTGTAATTTTTTATTTTTTATTTTATTTTATTTTACTTTAAGTTCTGGGATACATATGCAGAACGTGCAGGTTTGTTACATAGGTATACATGTGTCATGGTGGTTTGCTGCACCTATCAACCTGTCATCTAGGTTTTAAGCCCCACATGTAATTGCCCTTGCCCCCCATCCCCCGACAGGTCCCAGTGTGTGATGTTCCCCTCCCTGTGACTTTATTACCTTTGTAATTTTTTTTTTAACATTTTGACTCTTTGGTAATAACACAGCTTAAAACACAAACACACTGTACAGCTATACAAAAATAGTTCCTTTCTTTATATCCTTACTCTGTAAGCTTTCTATATTTTTAAGGTATTTTTTTAAAACACTTCTTAAACTTTTTGTTAAAAACTAAGACACACATTAGCCTAGTCCTGCACAGCATCAGGATCATCAATATCACTGCCTTCCACCCCGACACTCTGTCCCACTGGAAGGTCTTCAGAGGCAATAACAGGCATGGACCTGTCATCTCCTAGGATAACAATGCCTTATTCTAGAATCCCTCCTGACGGACCTGCCTGAGGCTGATTTATAGGTAAGCTTATTTCGGATTTGATCAGTGGAAGGGATACACTCTAAAATAACAATAAAAAGTATGTATAGTAAATACGTAAACCAGCAACATAGTCTTTTAGTGTCATTATCAAGTATTATGTTTTGTACATAATGGTATGTGCTAGACTTGTTATGATTGGCAGCACAGTAGGTTTCACACCAGAATCACCAAACAGGTGAGTAAACGCACCATGCTACGATGGATATTACACAACCACATTATCACTAGGTGACAGGAATTTTTCAGCTGCATTGTAATCCTGCGGGACCACCTTCATATATGCAGTCCACTGTTCACCAAAATGTCATTATGTGGCGCGTGACTGTATATGTAAGTCCCGTGAGTCACCCTAGAGAATCACCGAACCCGGGGGTGGGTGTTGGGGACCCTGACATTCTAGCCATGGGATACTGGGCAAATCACTTGACTTTAATGTGCCTCGGTTTCCCCATCTGAAATGGCAGAGATTTTAAAATAGAATCTGTCTCACAAGACTGTGGTAAAGATGACATAATTCCACATAAGTAAATTGCTTAGAATGCTTGGCACCCAGTTTTAAGAAACGTGAAGTGTTGTTACCTGGTGAATTAACACTTGGTGAATACATGAGTGAGTGAACATGTGAGCTGCAAATGATTAAACTGAAGAACAGAAATGGAGAAGTATTATGGTGAAGAGCAGAAGCAGAGAGACCCGCCCCACAGACTGCAGGCTTTGGGAAGATCTGGGAAAACACAATGTCACCAGCAGCTTGACCTAGTGGCAAACACTGGGGATAGGTAGGAGCGTGACTGGACAGTAGCACAGACGGGCTGTGGAGCCTCAGCCTGTCCAGCCCACGGCCTACCTGCCTTGTCCAGGTGGAGGGTCATCCAGGGAAACCAGTCAGATAGCCTCAGGGCACACGGGGGACCCGAGAGACTGCACAGAGTCCCAGTCTCAACGCATAACTGGGGGACCAAGGCCAGCAGCTGGCCGCTCCCCATGGCTCCAAGGACAGGCAGGACCCACACAGCACAGGTGTGTCCTGAGGGTGCTCAGGGCATGTCATGTCTCTTACCGTTACGTTTTCTTCTGCTGTTATGGAAAAAAGCACTTTCAGCTGTGTTCTGTTCTAGAAAAGGAAAAAAGAAAACACTTTCAGCAACAGTTTGGGGTCTGACACGTGGGATAACATTTGGTGCGATTTCCAACCCTCCAAGCCTGGAGCTACAATCAGCCCTAACTGCTGCACAGGTCAGAGCTTGTGAAGGTCTCACCATCAGGAGGAAGGGGCTTTGGGGATAGGATCCCTCCCTCTCTACTGGAGGCCGTGTGAAATCCAAACACCAGCTTCGCTAACATCCAGAGAAAGTCATGGCAGCATGCCCTTGTGGAGAAACGCTTGGGGTTGGGCACTGACTCCAAGCCTGTGACCAAGGCAGGTCACCTCCACTCTCCCAGCGTCTGCCTCCTTCACAGAGGTAGATGGAATCCTGGGCTCTGACTGCACTGCACGTGTTCTTCTCTCACTCAAACGCACTTGATTCTCCAAGCCCCAACCCGCTGTGGGTCTATTCCTAATGCTCTCTAATATTCCTCTGCTGAGAAGATACAGGAAACAGAAAAATAAAGTGTGTCATGGTATCCACCTGTCTAACCGCATGGTGACCGACAAGACCCACCGTGAGAACATACTTCTTCCTGGGGGTAAAGGCAGAATAGCTTGCCACTGACAGGCTGTCTATAGGGTGGTGGTTAGGGCCAGGCTGTCTAAGTTCATACAGGGCCCCACTGCTCACCAGCAGTTGGACCTTGGGCAAGGTATTAGCCTCTCTGTGCCTCTGTTTTCTCATCTGTGAAATGGTAATCATATTCAACTCACAGAATTGCTATGAAGATTAACTTAGGTAATATAGAACCCTGAAGAGTGCCTGGCACTAGGGAATGCTATAAAATATTACTGCTATTGGTGGCTGTAGGTAGTAGTAGTAACATTAGCAGCAGCAGCAGCAGTAGTAGCAATAGCAGGCCGGGGGCGGTGGCTCACACCTGTAATCCCAGCACTTTGGAAGGCCAAGGCAAGTGGATCACCTGAGGTCAGGAGTTCAAGACCAGCCTGGCCAATGTAGTGAAACCCCATCTCTACTAAAAATCAAAAATTAGCTGGGTGTGGTGGCGGGCACCTGTAATTCCAGCTACTCAGGAGGCTGAGGCAGGAGAATGGCTTGAACCCAGGAGGAGGAGGTTGCAGTGAGCTGAGATCATGCCATTGCACTCCAGCCTGGGTGACAAGAGTGAAATGCTGTCTCAAAAAAAAAAAATAATAATAATAATAAAATTTTTTAAAAGCAATAGCAATAGTAGTAGCAGTAGTATCATTATATAGAACCAGACTGGCTGGGCGCTGTGGCTCACACTTGTAATCTCAGCACTTTGGGAGGCCGAGGCGGGTGGATCACCTGAGGTCAGGAGCTTGAGACCAGCCTGGCCAACATGGTGAAACCCTGTCTCTACTAAAAATACAAAAATTAGCCAGGTGTGGTGGTGGGTGCCTGTAATTCCAGCTACTCAGGAGGCTGAGAGAGGAGAATCGCTTGAACCTGGGAGGCGGAGGTTGCAGTGAGCCCAGACTGCGCCATTACACTCCAGCCTGGGCGACAGGAGTGAAACGCTGTCTCAAAAAAAAAAAAAAAAGAACCAGACCTTGGGACTTAGAGCTTGCAGCCCAGTGAGCTCAGCAACCCATGTAATTCTCATTACAGACGCGACTAAGGCATTTTTCTGTAACCTGAGCTATGCTCCTCCCAAGGTAGCAAATCCCCGATCCATGCCCTACAGATGTTATGGCAGCAGTGCTAGGAAGCAGTGGGACTTCCCAAATCCACTGTGGGCCAGCAGGCAACCTCATGGAGGCTTCAGCGAAAATCAAAATACCGTAAGTCCTCTTTTCATAGGAGGGAAATGGAACAGTTTTAGAATATGACTCTAAAGAAGAGACACCTCTGAGGCATTCATTCCCTTGGCCTTTTCCATTCTTGAGTTACCTCTGCTTTGGAATACGTACGGTGCCTTGGAGTCTCAGGGTCTCCTGAGCTGGAGCCTGAGGCTAAGTTCAGAGCCCACATTCTAGTACATTCTGCTGTGTTCCCACAGATATGCAGATAAGAGCCTAAAGCGTGCTATCAAAGCTTGTCTTCAGCTCTTTGTGAAACATAAATCCTCACTCCAGTACATGCATGCAGTTACGTTTTTTAGTTCCTAGCATGAAGCCAGAAAACATGGACCAAGTGGGATTCAACACAATGTTACTGAGCACCTATTACGTGCAGGGTTCTCTTTTTGGCCCTGGAGACACAGTTGTGAATAGGACACACTAGGTCCCTGGTTTCACGGAGCTGACATTCTAGTGAGGGAGTGGGGGAGGGGTTCCTAAGGGGTAGAGTCAATATCACAGACAGGAACCAAACAAAGTAACAGGCGGGACTATTTCAGGGTGGGGCAGGGGAAGCCACGAGGAAGGTCCTCCCAGAGCATGCAGGGAGCCAGGCTCTGTGGAACCACAAACCTCCCCCTGCTCAAGCCAGCCCGGCCCAGGAACACACACAGCTGGCCAGGAACACACACAGCTGGCCAGGAACACACACAGCTGCCCAGGAACACACACACACAGCTGCCCAGGAACACGCACAGCTGCCCGGGAACACACACAGCTACACGGGAACACACACAGCTGCCCGGGAACACACACACAGCTGCCCGGGAACACACACAGCTGCCCGGGGCTTCAGCTCCTGAGGCTCCTGCCTGAGGACATGGAAGCTTCCATTTCATTTCATTCAGAGTTTCTGATTTGCTTTCTGATGCTTACCTTGTCTTTTCCTTATCATTACTTTACCTTATCTTGCTAATTTACTTGGTTTCCTGCCTTCTGAAATTGTTATGATTTCTTCTGGACCATTTTATCCATGTTTTCCAAAATCTGCCTTTGTTCTCTATTTTTGTACCCTTATACTGAATTATTTCCTGAGAGAATTGTCCTTCCCAGTAGTTTTATGTCAATTTCTTGAATCTTGTATTTAGCCTCTTTCATGTTATCTAAATTTATCTAAGGTTTTTTGTTTTGTTTTGTTTTGTTTTCCCCTCATTGCAGCAGAACCACCACACTGGCCTCGCAGCCTCAGGGTGGAAGGAGGCCTCAGGAGGAGGCTGCAGGGTACAATCTGATTCTGTTATGTGACCTGGGGCAGTCACAGTCATGCTATGAGCCTCATCTTCCATGTCCGTGAATAGGGAAGACTTTCTCCAGAGGCTGAAGACACAATAAAATGACAAAAGGAAGCAGAGCATCATGATCTCCTTGAAGTCGGGGACCACATCTCCTCCAGCCTGTACCCGGGGTGTGCAGCACCTGCCAGGACAGGCAGCCAGCCAGCCAGCATTCACTGCGTAAGTGAACCCACCACAGGGGCAGTGAGAGATGGGGAGACTCACAGTAATGGTGTTATGGGCCAGACTGTGTTTCCCAAAATTTATATGTTAAAGTCTGAAGTCCAGTGCCCTAGGATGGTGACTGCATTTGGAGACAGGGTCTTTACAGAGGTAGTAAGGTAAAGTGAGGTTGCTAGGCTGGGTCATGGTCTTGTATGCCTGGTGTCCTTATAGAAGAGGCTAGGACAGACGTGCAGCCAGGGAAGGCCTTAGGAAGACACAGGGAGAAGGCAGCCTCCAAAAGCCAAGAACAGGTCTCAGAAGGAATCAGCCCCGCAGACACCCTGATCTCTGGCTTCCAGCCTCCTGGACAATACATTTCTGTTGTTTTTAAGTCTAGTCTGTGGTACTTTGTTATGGTAGCCCTGCAAAATTAATAGTAATGGTAACTACCGGTTAGTTGCTTACAGTGTGCAGGACACAGGGAAGAGAATTCACATGTATTGATTACCTATCCTTATGATAACCTCATGTGAGGCCCAGAGGGGTTAAGTAACTTAGGCAAAGTCACATGGGCATTACTAAGGGAGCCCAGTTCATGGCAAGGCGTGTGAGACTCCAGGGCCTATGCCCTTATCTGCTAGGTGGCATCACTGAAGGAAGGAAGGAACTAACAGGTCTTCTGTCTGAAGTGTCCCTATTTCTAAAACAACCTCTCTTGGCAGTGGCAAGACAGAGATTAAAGTAACAAAGGTCATACCCGTGACGAGCTCTGAAAGGTGAGTTGGGCAGGAAGCTTGAGGCTCTCCCCGTTCCCGAGGTCTCCAGCCTGGAGCGTGGCTGCGTAGCTGACAGCAAAGGCATCTCCCACTGCGCAGAGAAAAGCACATGTGACTCAGGGAGGGCTTGGCCACGCCCCCGGCTGCACCCCACCACACCCCAGACACATCCTGGCCCCTGGCTTCAGTGGTTCCAAGGGAGGCCACCATGGCAGTGATGCCTGCAGCAAGGAAGCCCTTTGTATTGCACACAGCTGGGTGTGGGGAGGGAATTCTCTGAGTAGTAAGCTGGGGAGAGTGAGCTGGGTGGACTCCTGGACTCCCACTCCTGACGTTTCCATTCACGAGTGGGGGTGCACCACCCGCAACAGGGCTGGCTCTCCTAGCCCTTTCTCACTGTGCAGCGCACCTCATCCCATAGGTAAGTTTGGGTGGGCTGTGCTCAGCCCATCCTGCTCGGGAGAGGCTGTACCAGGACTGGAGGCCTTCGCCTGATGTGGCCGGGTGGGTGATGGAGCCCGTCTAACTCTGCCAGTCACTGTTCTCACCTAAGCTTGTCCTCCAATCTGCCTTTCTCCCTAACAGAGTTTACTTATAGCCCTAAAACGCCACAATATGCCTCATTTCTCAATGTATGCAGACCTCAAAAATATATATAGATACATATATACACACATATATAACATATATACACACACATATATATTACACACACACACACACACACACACACACACACAGAGTAAAGAAAAGAGGAGGAACGCTCACTTAGCCTAAGGAATCACTGGCATTTTTGTTTTAAAAATCCTCAACATTTTCATTTTTATTTAAAATTTTTTATTTATTTATTTCTGAGACAGGCTCTCTCTATGTTGCCCAGACTAGTCTCGAACTCCCAGGCTCCAGTGATCCTCCTGCCTCAGCCTCCTGAGTAGCTGGGACTTTAGGTGTGGACCATGCTCATCTCATTTTATTTTTATATAACCTAGAGCTAAGATAATGAACGTAAAGTGATAAAGATAATGGCAGTGACAATGACAATGACGGGGAAAGAAGTCATAGTCAGACCTTCCCCATACAGTGATTTCATCACTCTCCACGTGCTGCACCTGCATTAACCCAGCTGATCTCCACACACTGCCCCGAGATGGATGGAGAACACGTGATTTTCTGCAACATACAGAAGAAGAAACTGAAACTGAGAGACAGTGACTGGCTTAGGATCACCCCGCTGATGGACAGGGAGCCACCTGACCCTCTGGGTCCCATCATCTTTTCCCCAAACAACACTGGCTCTAATAAAAGAAAAGCACCAAATAATAATGATGAGGTCAGAATGTCAATGAACTGGGACCTGACTGGTCATTTGATTTTATAGTTATCTACTTATGCTTTGGGGAAAAAAAAAAAAAGTCACCTGTGCCCCAAGGTGAAAATCAATGTCACATTCCTTGGCGTAGCGGTGAGTTCACAGATAAATATGATTTGGACACTGCCCTCAGGGAATGTAGAGCCCAGTAGGTAGAGCTAAGCATGGGCATAAATAACAAGAATGGAGCAGTAAGAATAAAAATAACAACAACAGTGGCCGGGCATGGTGGCTCACGCCTGTAATCCTAGCACTTTGGGAGGCCAAGGCAGGTGGATCACCTGAGGTCAGGAGTTCGTGACCAGCCTGGGCAATATGGTAAAATCCTGTCTCTACTAAAAATACAAAAATTAGCTGGGCATGGTGGCACACGCCTGTAGACCCAGCTACTTGGGAGGCTGAGGCAGGAGAATCACTTAAATTCGGCAGGTGGAGGTTGCAGTGAGCCGAGATTGTGCCACTGCACTCTAGGCTGGGCGACAAGCATGAAACTCCATCTCAAAAAAAAAGAAAAGAAAAGAAAAGAAAAAACCACCAACAAAATACCTCCTATTACCAGGAGCCCGGGAGCACTTTCCACAGCCGGGCTGCGTCATACTGCTTTAACTCCCTTACCCTCACAGCGCCTTCCTAGGTGGGTGTTACTAGCATGCCCAGAGGAGAGATGGAGAGCCAAGGTTCAGAGACATGCAGTGTGCACGTGCTAGAGCAGAAGTCCATGAATTCACGTGTGGAAAGTGCCTAGAATGGCCCTAGGCTCCAAGCAGGGAAGCAGGAAGGGGCAGGTAGTCTCTGTGGAAGTTTGGAGGCAGAGGGGTGACTTTGGGGCAAGGGACTGGGTAGGGCTTTCTAGAAAAGGTGACACCAGGGCCAGGTCCCAAAGAATAGAGATGATTTGTATATTCAGAGTTGGGGAGAGGTGCTTTCCTGACCCACACAAGAGCAAGAGTAGATGCTAGGAGATAGGAGAAGGGTAGGAAGCTGGGTCTCGCAGGAGCATGGACCATGAAAGGTCTGCGGGGAAATGAGATGAGAGACGTGCAGGACCACGGGCTGAAGAGGGTGTTGGACACCTTCCCTTTACCAGGCAGAGTGTCTGGGTGACATTGTCTCCTTGATTCTATCTCTACGACTCCACAATGGACTGATATTCGCACAACCAGAGCACTTCAATAGCTTTGCAGAAGCCACGCAGCTTCTCAGTCACAAGGCTGGGAGTCACCCAGGTCCATCTGAGGCTGCATCTATGCTCTGCTCGTGGCTCCATGCTCCATGCTTTGAACACGAGTTAAGAATAGCGGATTCATCTTTATATCATTGAAGGCAGGAAAGCACTGAAGGTCACTTAGCTGGGACATCTCATAACAACTTTTATGACATCATTTAAATGAGAGCCAGCAAAAAGGTCACTACTTGTGGGCAAGCTCCACTAGTAGCTTCTGTCAATAATAGCGTGTTAAGAAGGATTCTGAGGCCTTATCTAGGCTCAGAGGGAAGGAACAGCATGACTGATGAGCGATGTGTGCCGTGAGTACGGAGGCATGGAGTCGGTAAGAGTTCCAGGCGTGTGAGAAGCATGACGGTTTAAAGGTTACCACGGTGCACAGGGAGCCACACTGCCTGAGCTTGACTCAGCCTTGACAGCGGCCAGCCCTATGACCTCGGGCAAGCTTCTCAGCCACTTTAGTCCCAGTCTCTTCATCTGTAAATGAGGTCCTACTAAGAATAAAAGATGTCTTTGCCCTCCTAGGGAAACTAAGTTCTGAAGCCATGGTACCAACTGAATCCCAGAATTGGTCTTAAACCTGCTTAATTGACCAATAACAGCCCACCTCAGGAAACGAACCTCTGAAAGCCAACCAGTGAGGGTGGCAGAGTCTACAAGCCAACCAAGCAGCCCTGGAGTTACCCCAGTGAACATGCTTGAACACCTGAACACACCTGGACAGCTCAAGAACATGCTACTGAGACGGATGTCAACCCACTCCCACTCTGTCCGGCACAACCCAAAACAAACTCTTCATCTTCCTGAGTGATGGTTAATTTTGGTGATCTGAGTGACAGGTATACTGGGGTCCACTGTCAACTCTATCTTTGTGCATGTTTGAAATTTTTCATAATAAAAATAGACTATGTATTTTTAAAAATTTCCCACAACTCTTTCCCCAAATCCAACATCTCTCTAAGATAAATGAGAAATTCAGCTTTTTGGTTACAGATATTGAATGTGGTCTCTTTTCTCTTTTTTTGATACCCTGATAGTAAGATCCACTGTGAGGATTAGGAGAGTGAACATGTGTAAGGCTTTAAGAACATGCCTGACCCAGAACACATTCACCTGGAAGTATCTGTACATATTCTCATTTGTCATCCCTGACTTCAGAACGCTTTGCTGTTACCTTGCAGAAACTTCTTGCTAAAAGCCTGGAATCCTTCCGAGGTCCTGTTTCCCACAGAGTCCCAAATGGTGAGACCAGCAATGCTGTCCAGCAAGAGCAGCTCCGAGAGGTTGGCTGACGAGGTTGTCTTGGTGTTGTTAACAAGCAGCCATATGCGGGCTGTCTGTGCTTCACTCGACCCAGACACCTAGGGCAGAAGGAGAAGGCATGAGGGCAGATTTGCTGACAAGTCCAGCTTCCTAAAATGGGGCATGAGCCCAGCCTGTGCACATTAGGCATCCAGGAAGAAGGAGGGTAGCACGGTCTCGCAGAGGGCCTGGGAATTTATCAGTCTCAGTATGATTTCAAAGACCCCCAAGAGGTTTTGACCCACACTTCCCAAGCTGTTGCTTGGAGACAGTTTCAAAGAAACTGAGATGCTGAAATGCAGTGAAATAATCCTTGCAGAGAATCTTAGAAGAAAAATCTCCAAGTGCAGAACCAGTCAGGTTGGGGAAATTGTGATAACCAGTGTTACCAAGCAAACAATGGCTCCTTGGTACTTAGTTATTTTGAAGATTCAGCCTCAGCCCAGGGTCTCTGATGGTCATGTGATCTCCAGGAAGGACCCGAGCTGCTCGTCCGCCTCTTGGATCATCTCCCACATTCAGGCTCTGCCCAGCACATGTCTCAGTGGCTCTACTGCCAGAAGCCATCCAGCGGCCCATGCAACAGGCTCATCACCTGGGCTCTGCACTCTTGCCCTGCCTTCCTCTCTAATCTTGTCTCCCAGCCCTCCTGCACCAGCTTCTCTCCAGCTCTGCTGAAATACATGCAGGAGCCAGAAAAAAGAGAAGGAAGCAATGTGTGTGCTGAGATGAGCGAGCTCTGGAATATAAGAAGTGATAAAAGAAAGCTTCAGAACTGTGTGTGTAATATACTGCCACCTGTGTGAAAAAAAGTGGGGGAGAAAGAAGGTACATCTATGTATACATGCATGTGCACACACTTATAACTGCATGCATATGGCAGAAAAAGTCACTAGAAGGATATACAAGAAACTACTAACACTGATTGCATCCAGGAAGGCAAACAATGTAGTTGAGGGCCTGTGATAAAATGAGGGTGGCACAGGAAAGGCTTAACTCAGCAGGCCTGGGCTGTCCAAACCCTCCACATTCAGGAGAAAGGACTGGCCCTTGAGCAGCTCCTGAAAGATAACCTCTAAAGCCTGCAGAATATCCTTGCCTGATTACAGTGTGGGTTGTTGTTTTTTTTTTTTTTTTTAATATGCCTGGGTCCTTTGACCTCACCAGATAGCTGATGCCAATGAGTTGTGATGGGTGCCTTGGACCCTGCTGTACTGAAATGACCTCTGGAGGGGCTAGAGAACGAGTAACTGAGGTCAGTCTCATGGGTGCTCCATGCCTATGTGACTGAGCCTGAGAAAAACCCTGGACCCAAAGGCTCCAGTGAGCTTCCCTGGTTGGCAATATTCCATCCGGATTGTCAAACATTATTGCTGGGAGAACTAAGCTCTGTCCACACAACTCATCCACTGGGAGAGACAGCCGGAAGCTCATGCCTGGTCTCTCCTGGGCTCTGCGACATTCACCTTTTTCCTTTCCTGGCTTTAATCTATACCCTTTCTCTGTAATGAACTGTAACTGAGCAGAATGGCTTTTCTGAGTTCTGTAAGTACTTCTAGCAAATCACTGACCCTAAGGCAGGTGCTGGAGACCCCTGACACAAGGATAATATGTGGGATTGTAACCACCTTGTAGGATTAGGAAGGTTAAAGACCTAAAAAACATTAAACAACTTTGAAAACTGTCAGGTACCCTATTAATGATTATAATCTGAAACAAAATATATCAGACTTTTTTCCCATTCTAAATGATCTCTGTGGATTTTTACTGACAATTATTTAATTGTAACAAAAATAATCTCAGTCCTAGTATTGCCATATGAGATATCACAGACCTTGCTATTTGTTCATTGCTCATGTGTCTAGACTTGTGTAGGTAAGCCCATGATTTATCAGTTCTTAAATACATGACTCTAATAAAATGATCTGGGCAAAATCCAATTATTTTCTCTTCAAATATACACCACCAGTGGAAACTTACCAGTGCACATTTCTGAAAAATTACTCCATTTTCAGAAGTCCCTTGAACTTCTCTTGAAATGTCCCCATACTACAATAAAATGTAAAAGTTATTAGAAAATGAGAAATATTTCATGCTATACATATTTAATAAAAGTACAAGATAATGAAATTTTTACAGAGGGTAGAAAGATTACTGCTACTAATCCTTAAGTAATCTTGAAGTCTTATTTTTTAAAAGAGCATTAAAGGATTAGAAATTAAAACTTATGGAAAGAAGAATGTGGACATGAGCTTACACCACAGTGTATTCCTGGTCTGGGTGCAAGTGTGGGACACCTGTTGTCACAGGGCTCAGCCAACCAAGACTGACATACCAGCAAGGGGGACGTGGGCAGAGCAGTGAAGATATCATTTAACATGTACCGTGTGCTTACCAGGTGTGGGCTGACAGTACACCTGTGCACCATGGTGCGCTGGAACAAAGGGCAGTGTGTCTGGGGGCTGGGGGCAGCCTCTCTGTGAGCTTGATCCCTCATCAACATAAGGAATCCCCCCACCAATGCTTGGCCTCCTCCAGCCCTGCAATGGCTCCTACGAAAAGGTTCCAAAGGAAAGCCAGGGCTCATCCATCAAACACAAGCCTCCTGTTGCCCTTGAAACCGCAGGTTTCCTTTCCGTTTGACTAATAACAAATATCTGTTCATTTCTGCTCTTGCCATGCTCCCTGCCCCAGGGCCCTGCAGTATCCACACACCTCCTTTAAATGGGACTGGACCCTTACTGCATCAAGGAAGCCCTCCTTGGCTCTCCTTGCTGTGATGACCACATCTTTCCCACTCTCTGCCTTGCGCACCTGTCACCTGCAGTGGAACAAGCTGTATTCTGAGTCACGGACTCTGGCAGCTCTCAGTGATATTCATAATCGTATGTTTTGTATATTTTTTATTTATTTTGTTTATTTTTGTAGAGATGGGGCCTTGCTATGTTTCCCAGGCTGGCCTTGGACTCCTGGCCTCAAGTGATCCTCCTGCCTTGGCCTCCCAAGGTGCTGGGATTATAAACGTGAGCCACCACACTGGGCCTAATAACCATAAAATGTCTGTCATTGGCTGAGGGCCAGGCATGGCAGCCATCACTTTACATACATGAGTTCTATTACTCCCATTTTATAGATGAGGAAACTAAGACTCAGAAAGGTTAATACTCTTGCCAAAGATTACTCAGGCAGGAAGCTCGAGACTCTCCCCAGGCCTGTGTGACTCCAAATCCTGTGATCTTTCCACAACATGCATTCCCTCTCCACAGTGTAACCCTCTCATTGTGTAGAAAATTAACAAAAATGCCGGGCGCGGTGGCTCACGCCTGTAATCCCAGCACTTTGGGAGGCCGAGGCGGGTGGATCATGAGGTCAGGAGATCGAGACCATCCTGGCTAACAAGGTGAAACCCCGTCTCTACTAAAAATACAAAAAATTAGCCGGGCGCGGTGGCGGGCGCCTGTAGTCCCAGCTACTCGGGAGGCTGAGGCAGGAGAATGGCGTGAACCCGGGAAGCGGAGCTTGCAGTGAGCCGAGATTGCGCCACTGCAGTCCGCAGTCCGGCCTGGGCGACAGAGCGAGACTCCGTCTCAAAAAAAAAAAAAAAAAGAAAAAAGAAAATTAACAAAAATGCCATTTTCCAAAGAACACGCGGACAATATGCAACAGCATCAGCCTGACCCAGGCCTCTGATTCAGTTGAGCTTCCATCCACTACACCCCCGCTAATGCCTTTTTAACGTGCTGGGACCCTAAGAGAATTTGCCAAAGCCCTCAAGCAGGGACCTGGCTTTCTCTTCTGACCTTCATATAGCATCTTGCAAACAATAACTGATAAATACAGCTTGTGGAGCAAATAAATGCAGAAGGGACGACTGAGTATGGAGGGTGCTGCCCTGTGAGGTGACGAGTTACCTGTAACTGGAGAGGACTGGAAAGAACAATGAGTACTGTAGTGGGTTCAGAGATGAACCCCAAAGGATATGTCTGTGTTCTGATCCCCAGAACCTGTGTATGTGTCCTTATTTGGAAAAGAGGTCTCTGAAGATGTAATTAAACTAAGGATCTCAAGAGATCATCCTGGACTATCCAGGTGGGCCTGACATCCAATGACAAGTGTCCTTATAAGTGGCACATAGAGAAGACACAGACACAGAGGAGGCCAAGAGCAGATGGAGGGAGAGAGTCAAGTGATCCAGCCACAGCCAAGGATGGCCTGGAGCCACCAGAAGCTGGAAGAGGGAGGAGGATGCTCCCCTAGAGCCTGCAGAGGGAGCGTGGCCCCACCAGCACCGGGCTTCCAGACTTCTAACCTCCCCAGCAGTGAGAAAATACATTCCTGTTGTTTTCAGCCATGCTGTTTGTGGTCATTTGTGACAGCAGCCCCAGGAAATTAACATCACTACTTAGCAGGGAGCCCAAAAAAGGGCTCTTGGCCATCGTAGCTCATTGGCCAAGCTCAACAGTTCTCGTACTACGTTAAGTCACTGAACCCACGTTACATAAAATCAGAATAGAAAACAACAGCAAGAGCACGGAGCTCTGCCACTTCTACCTGTGGGACATGGAACTAGTTTCTTAATCTCTCTAATCCTCAATTTCCCGTCTGTAAAATGAGAATAAAAATATTACTGTTTAAGAAACTCATAATGAGGCTCAAGTGAGATTATACATAGAAAGTGCTAAACCCAGTGCCCGACCCATAGTAAATGCTTGTGAAATGTTCACTGCTATTATGGGCACAGTCATCTTTAATAGCTGGCAGTCACTCGGTCTGGTTAAAGCACAATCCAATCCCTGCTTCAGAAACACCAGATGAGGCAGCCTAATGCTGAGTCAAACCTCCTCTCCATCTAAATACTGTATGTTGTGTAGCAGAAATAGCACCTTGGAAAAATAAATGGATTTGCTACCCAGTGATAACTATATTTAGTGAAAGAGGAGGAATAGGGTTTTTTTAAGCAACAAAAACCCGTGCCATTTTATATACAGGCCATAATTGGTTTATTTCCAACTTCTGGTATTTGTGTTAAAGCATTGAACTTAATACTTACCAGGCGGTGTGTTATAGGAGACTCTCTTTTAAATAAGTTCTTCTTAGGCCAGGAGGGTATAAAAGCAAATAAGGAATGAGCCCATGGCCCACTAGAGGCTGCAGAAGTTGAGAGTGGGATGAAGACTTCCATTTTCTTGTCCAATTTCATTCCAAGTGGTGCTTCCACTGCAAAACAACAACACACCCGTTTTATATAATGCGGAAAGACAGTAAGACATAGAACTTAACCTCTAGAGACAGACTACAGGGTACATGGAAGGTACTTAGAAGACGTTTGTTGGGTAAGTAAGTTAATGAAGGAATGAATGATATCATCTCTTTGCCAGGAAAATGAGACATGCTCACTGGGATGCTACAGAACTTAAGAAGAGCATTTTTCAAAGCCTCGTCTCCTTACCTGGGTTGTGCAGCCCCACCTAGGAATCAGAACTGCTGGGCAAGAATGATGCCTGGGTTGATTCTTACACACATGACATTAGACAGCCCTGGGCTTGAGTCCTGGCTCTGCCCCTCCAGCTGTGAGTCCTTGGGCATAACCTCTAACCTCTCTATACCTCGGTTTGCTTAATTCTAAGGCAAACAGCATAGGTCTCACCTCACTAGGTCCTTCTGGGCACCCGCCTACTGCAGAGTAAGCCCTCAGTGAACACCACCAACCACCATCCTAAAGAGGATGTGTGCACGGCCAGACACAAACGCCTGCTGAGCCCTCCAATAGGAAATGACTCCTGGGCCAGGCACCGCAGCTGACACCTGTAATCCTAGCACTTTGGGAGGCTGAGGCGGGCAGATCACAAAGTCAAGAGATCGAGACTATCCTGGCCAACATGGTGAAACCCCGTCTCTACTAAAATACAAAAAATTAGCCTGGTGAGGTGGTGTGCGCCTGTAGTCCCAGCTATTCGGGAGGGTGAGGCAGGGGAATCGCTTGAACCTGGGAGGCGGAGGTTGCAGTGAGCCGAGATCATGCCACTGCACTCCAGTCTGGGCGACAGAGCAAGACTCCATCTCAAAAAAAAAAAAGAAAAAAAAAAGAAGAAAGAAATGACTCCCTTAGATTTTTCTCTGTGTCAATACATTTGGAAAGTTCATGAGCATTGTGTGCAAAGCACAGGAATGTCACTTAAAAGGTCCGGGCTGGGCTGTCAGGGTCCCTCTTCAGTGGATGCGGCCCAGGTGCTGATCAACTGTGGGACCTTGCACAGGTCAGCTGAGTTCTCTGGGCCTCAGTTCCCCTCACCTGGGTGTGTGGTTAAGATACCAATCAGACAGGGCTGTTGTCTGAGCAGCCAATCAAATGCCACACTGCACATGAAAGTGCTTAGATGTATCCAATGCTTCAAGTCAGCAATTTTAGTTTTGAAATGACCTGGATGGTGGCATTGTGCCTTCTTCAACATTTGTCTTTTATTCAAATACAAACTAATTTGACTGAAAATAAGGTGTACTTTTCAGTCTTTCTTACCCAGCATATTGATGGTAAAGACTACAAGTGCTTTTGAAACTTTCTATAGAATTTCAAAATATATGCAGGAAAAAAACTAAAATCTGATTAAAAAAAGATGTGGAGCTGGGTCCTGGATTAAATTACAGTATTTTTTTCCTTCCTTGGGTTGTATTTGGGGGTGATTCAGTTCCTCAGGTTGGGATGGGATAAGGGCTCCAATTGCATCAAGCATCGGGGAACTGATGGCCCTCGCCATGGAAACAAGTGGGTGCTCCACCAGGTGAGCGGCTGATTCAGAGCATCGGGAATGTCTGAGTAGAGCATATGGGTGCAAGTGAGACCGGACATCCATCTCCGGACCCCAGCACAGCACCCTGGGCCAGGGCACAAATGCTTGTGCAGCAAGCAACCAGGACATAAAGTCTTAAGGCCACACCTTACCCTTAAGCGCTCCATCTCTGGTCCACCCGTTTATGCCTCTCTGGCTCTCCTGGTCCTCAGCTTTAATGAAGACTCCAAAGTGATCCCTCCCTTCAGAGAGGACCCCTCCTCTATTCAGCAAGAATCCCGCTCAGTCTACAGAGCCAAGTGGGGCCCACCCGAATCCCAGCCCATCCCATTCCCCAGGACACCAGAGTTAGGCACAGAACCCAGACAACCCCACCCAGTGGCCCCAGGGATAGGTTCAGGGACAGGCCGGGGACCCACGCTGAGCCCAGGGGCCTGCACTGGAACTGTCACAGCCGCTGGGAAGTCTGCGCTGCAGGTGCCAGCCATGAGGCTCAGGAGCCAGGGACTGCCCGCGGCATTTTTCCCACCATGGGGAAAGGATGTAACTGCCTGTGAAAGATGCTCACCAGAGGAAAGCAGGGCGGCTGAGAGGGAAGGAGAAAGGCAGAGCCGTAGGAGCATTGAGAACCTTGTGCTCCTGGGTCCAGCAGTGCCAGGGCCTGTGCGTTTCAGTTACAGATGCCAATGAATTCCTCTTGATGAAATGAGTGTCAGTTGAATTTCGACCACTGAGTGTGGCAAGCTGAATAAAGGTCCGCAAAGACAGCCAGGTCCTAACCCCATGAAGCTGTGAATGTTATCTTAGGGTCTCAGATACTTTGCAAATGTGATTCCATTAAGGGCTTCGAGATGGGGAGATTGCCTGGATTATCCTGGTGGGCCCTAAATGTCATCACAGATGTCCTTATAAGAGGGAGACAGAGATTTGACAGACAGAAGAGAAGAAGGCCAAGTAACTACTGAGGCACGATGCCATGCTGCTAGCTTCCAAAATGGAGGAGGGCAGTATCCCCAATCCATCCCTAAGGAACGCAGGCAATGCGGCCATAGATGCTGGAAAAGGAGAGGAATTGGTTTCGCTTCTGGAACCTCCAGAGGGAGCAGACAGACACCTTGACTTTGCCCAGTGAAACTGATGTTGGACTTCTGCTTTCCAGTACTGTAAGAGAATAAACGTGTGTGGTCGAAGCCACTGTTTGTGAACATTTGTTAGGGAAGCCACAGGAAACTGATATACCCATTTAATTCACACGTTCTGTTTCATTCACCAAATGCCTTCAGGGGATATCAAAAAGGGCCTACCTCACCCTAGGTTCCACTGTGCACTAACGCTTCGGCCAGCTTTGAGGTGGAGGTACACTGCCCTAGTTCTGTAAGGTCAGGGAATGATCTACTTGCCCAAAGTAGAGAGGTGCTGGAAGGATCAGCAGAGAGTGAGGGAGCTGGAGGAAGGAGGGCTTCAGGCTTCTGGTTTTTCATGCTCAAAACAGGGGAACATCAACCAGAAGAAAAACTCACCTGCAGTCTTAAAGTGACAGCATTCCACTTTGGGCCAAATCATACAGGGCAAGTCCTAAAAAATTCAAGACACAAAGTCATTAATGGAACACATACTTCTGAGAAGTGATAATAAATAATCTTTGTAAATGACTCACATGGAGAGGACATGCACTTTTTTTTTTTTTTTCTGAGACAGAGTCTTGCTCTGTCACCCAGGCTGCAGTGCAGTGGCGCGATCTCGACTTACTACAAGCTCCACCTCCTAGGTTCACGCCATTCTCCTGCCTCAGCCTCCCGAGTAGCTGGGACTACAGGCGCCCACCACCACGCCCAGCTAATTTTTTTGTTTTGTATTTTTAGTAGAGACGGGGTTTCACCATATTAGTCAGGATGGTCTCCATCTCCTGACCTCGTGATCCGCCTGCCTCAGCCTCCCAAAGCGCTGGGATTACACGTGTGAGCCACCGCGTCCGGCCAAGGACCTGCACTTTCATCCAGAAGTGTGAAGTAAACTTTTCTAAGTCGGCCATTCCCGGCAGCTTCTGAGTAAAGAATTCCCTTCTCTTTCCCAGGGAGAGAATCAGCGCCCTCATGAATGCATTTCTGGGAGCTGTCAAGGGAGGCCGCACCATGTGATTGAAATGTCTTATCATCAGACAGACCTGGGTTCAAACGTTAGCCCTGCCCTCCATCAACTCTGTGGACCCTGGGTAAGCCAACAGCCTGCGAATTCCCAAGATCCTGCAAGTTTCCAGGGTGGTAGATAAGACACTAGATGAGGAGTGGAGAGAACTGGACTCTAGCTGGAACCATTTATTCACTGTGTGTCCTTGGCTAAGTCTCTCAGCCTCTCTGAGCCTCAGATCCCTCTTCTGAAAAGTGACCTCAAAGCCTCCTCCGAGTCTGCTCAGCCTCATTGGTGATGAAAATTTGTCTAAACTGAGCCTGGCCAAACCCTTCCAATTTACCTTTATGAATCACTGGGCTCTAGAAAGACTCAGACCTCTCTACTGAATAACAGTAAAAGCTCTCCCAGATGGAACCTTCTCCATGTGCCAGTGCTTACGCTATGTGCACTGAGTGAACTGTACAAGTAGTCCCTATAGAAATGCATGAAGCATTATACTCATTGTACAGCACTACCCCCAGTCTACAGTAATGAGATAACTCACTCCAGAGCCTGGCACGCAAGCAGCCTGGCCTAGCACATGTGCTCACCCTGCACGCAACGGCTGGTTTCTGTGTAATGGAAGAAGAAAGGATGTGTATGTGAGTTGAGCGGGATGCTCAGGCCTGGCTTTGGGTCCAGTTCCAATGACTAGTCCATGTGGCTACTGTTCACATGGCTCTCACGCGGGCCAGACACCACGGAAACCATAAGGTGGGACAGGATCGATGGGACAACTGTTGTGGCCACTGTCTGTGTGTTTCAGCCCCAGTCCTTACAGGCCTCCAGGACCCTGGCTGGGGCAGTTCTGCTGGGGTGATGTAACCCCAGCTGGGCTGGAGGCTGATTTTCCCCCAAAGGTGTGGAGGAGGCCCACCCACGGAGATGGAGACTCCTGGAGGGACACGGAGGAAATGATGGAAATTGCAGAGACAGTGGCAGAGACAGGCAAGAGGTGTGGGAAGAGGGAAAATGGGTGCAGCTCGATCCAGACAGGCTTCTACCAAACCCACCCCAGCATTCCCCATTGATGGAGCCAAACATCTGGCTTCAGTTTGTTCACACGGAGCTTATGTTATGTTATGGGCAGCGTAAAGAATTCTATTTAAAATAGTAAATTATGGTACAAACATTCTATGGAGTACCAGGCAGCTATTAAAAAGAGTAAAGCAGCATGATTCAGAATTCCACTTCTGGGCATATATGCAGAATAACTGAAAGCCAGGTCTTGAAGAGGTATTTGCACATCTGTGTTCACAGCAGCATTATTCACAATAGCCAAAAGTGGAAGCAAGCCAAATGTCCATCAATGGATGAATGGATAAGCTAAATGCGGTCCATCCATAAAATGGAATATTATGCAGCCTTGGAAAGGACAACATAGGGAGACTCCATCTCTACAAAAAAAAAAAAAAAAGAAAAAAAGAAAATTAGCCAGATGTAGTGGCACATGCCTATACTCCCAGCTACTTGGGAGGCTGAGGCAGAAGGAATTACTTGGAGCCCAGGAGGTCGAGGCTGCAGTGAGCTATGATCATGCCACTGCACTCCAGCCCAGAAGACGAAGTGAGACCCTCTCTGAAAAAAATAAATAATAAATATTAATAATAAATAATAGGCTGGGTATAGTGGCTCACGCCTGTAATCCCAGCACTTTGGGAGGCCAAGGTAGGCTGATCACTTGAGGTCAGGAGTTCGAGACCAGTCTGGCCCACATGGTGAAACCCTGCCTCTACTAAAAATACACAAATTAGCTGGGCATGGTGGTGGGTGCCTGAATCCCAGCTACTTGGGAGGCTGAAGCAGGAGAATCACTTGAACCCAGGAGGCAGAGGTTGCAGTGAGTGGAGATGGCGCCACTGCACTCAGGTATGGGTGACAGAGCGAGACTCCGTCTCAAAAAAAATAAAAATAAAAATAAAGAAATAATAATAGGGGACACTATGTATGTGTGTGGGCAGAGGAGGTATATGTGAACTTTCTGCGCTATGTGCTCGATTTTTCTGTAAATCTAAAACTCTTCTAAAAATTACAGTCTATTACTTAACAAATACATCCATGTGGTCTCTGATATGAACATTTGCCAATGGATGGCAAAGCATCCATTGGATGGTGCACCGAACTCCACACAAATGTACGTTTGTACAACCTCTGTCCCCTGGAACTTTCTATCCATTCTTTCAACCAGCACCTGCTGCTTGTTAGGCACTGTGCTAGGGATCACATGTCAGGCAAAGCAGACCTGGCCCCTGACCTCACCCAGGGACAAAGCTCTCCTTACCAGTGGACATTGCCACTCAGGAGGAAGGGGCAGGTTCCCAGGGAGCAAAGGACCCAGGCTGACCTCCATGAGAACCCTGGGCCAGGCCTCCCAGGGCAGTCTCGCTGGTTTCTGGGCATCTCTGATTCTTGTCCTCACCAAAGTCCCCAGCCTGGGGAGGTACCTCTCTGGGGACTCCAGCCACTCTGGGCAACCGCTCCCATAGGCACCATGCCAGGTGCAGCCGATAGCACCTTCCAATGGCCAGCCTGCCCCTCCCTGTCATCCCTCTCTCCAAGCTGACACAGCTCCTGTCGAGGTCACCACAGCCACTCCAACGTTCCACTTAATGATCAGTCCTCCTCATCGCACACACTTACCAGCACCATTCGATATGTGCTTATTGCAGCTTCCCGTGGCTGCTGTACACATCACTGCAAATGTAGTGGCTTAATACACATTTATTCTCTGATAGTTCTAGAAGTCAGAAGTCTGACACAGGTCTCAATGGACTAAAGTCAAAGTATTGGCAGGGCTGTGCTCTTTTCTGGAGGCTCCAGGGGAAAACCCATTTCCTCTCCTTTTCCAGCTTTCAGAGACTGCTGCGTTCCTTAAGTTCATGGCCCCTTCCTCCATTGTCAAAGGCAGCAGTAGCTGAGTCCTTCTCACGTTGCATCTCTCTGACCTCCTTCAAACATCTCCTTCTGATCTCTTCTCTGCCTGCTTCTTCCACTTTTACGGACCCTGATTATTACACTGGAACCATCAGATAAACCTGAATATATTCCTTATTTTAACATCAGTTGATCAGCAACCTGAATTCCTTGTATAATGTCAATTCCCATGGCCATGAAACCTGACATATCCACAGGTTCCAGGGGTCTGGACGTGGGCATCTTGGGGAGCCATTATTCTGCCGACCATGGTGAGCCCCTTTCTCCCTTCCTGAAATGCTCTCCACCCTTGACCTTCGGGTCACATTCCTGGTTCCCTTTTACAGAGGCCACACGTTGTCCGGCCTCCTCTGTTGGATCTTTTCCTCTCCTAGTCAAAAGTCCTGGGGTTGCTCCAGGGCACTCTTTCCAGTCGAGAGTTCCTCCTGAGGTGAGCTCATCCAGGCCCTCAGATGTTAAAGGTCATTTATACACTGACTATTCCCCCATGTAAATCTCTAGTTCATATTTCTCCCCTCAAATCCAGACTTGAATGCCTAAGAGACATGTCGAACTCAACAGCAGTGATTTCCAACCTGAGGCTGCTGCACATTAACCAGTGGCATCTCCTTTCTCCTATTGGCTCAGGCCAAAATCCTTGGATTTGTCTTTGATTCTTCTCTTTCTCTCTCTCAACCCAGAACCAATCCCAGTAAACCCCACTGGCTCTACCTTGAAAAAACATCCACAATCCAGCAACCTCTCAGTAGCCCACCATTACCTCCCCAGTCCAGCTCCCCTCCATAGCCCCCTGGCCTCCCGCCTGCCTGCTTGCCACTTTCCTGCTCACACATCCGCCTGCCATCTATTCTCACCCCTGCCACGGGGGTGCCTGGAAAGGAAACATGAGAGTGGGTCACTTTCTTGCTGAAAGCCCATCCACAGCATCCCATCTTACTCGGAACAACTGTCGGAGTCCTGGCCAGAAACAAGGCCTTGCCCGTCCCCCACTCCATTCGGGGATCCGCTCAGCTGTCACCTCCTTACAGCACCTTCCCTGCCCATCCTGTCCATATCATGAGTGCCCCTCATCTCTCAGACCACTCTGCCCACTGTGTACATCTCTACAGCCCCAACCACCAGTGGACACACCACATAGTAACATGATTCCTGCCTTTTTCCTGCTCCAAGAATGCAGGTTCCTCAAGAGCAGGGGCAGGTCTTGGTCTGCCTTATCCTGTTATATTTCAAGCATTTAGGACAGAGCCTGGCATCTAGAAGGCCCTCAATAGACATTGCGAAAGAATGGCCCAGAGGCCTGGTCTCTGCTAACCCTCCACTGCCTCCTCCCCTTCTGATCAACTTCCAGTAGAATGGTCTGCATTGATGAAAATGGTCTAGAATCTGAGCTGTCCAATATGGTAGCCACTAGCCAGATGGGGCCATTTGAGCATATGAAATGTTTAAGTTTAGCCATACATGGCTACTGTAGTGGACAGTGCCCTTTTAGACCATCTGGGAAATGGTTGTAATTGCCTCTTCTCTCTTTGTAAGAAGAAGGGATGATAAATTCGCACAGAAATCTTGTGTTCAGGTTCATGAAGCACTTTCTTGTAGAGCCTAGACACCGACAGCAAGTGCTTTGGGTTAGACAAGTCTGGGTGGACATCTTCACCTCACCTGGAATCACTGTGGCCTCAGTTTCCTCATCTGTAAAATGGGAATGTTATACCTTCTTCATAAGGAATTTTGAAAGATTAAACCAGAAAATAAATGTAAAGCTTAGCATAGTAACAGAGTATTTACCAACAGAGTAAATACACAGCAAATATACAATTGTTATTATTGCCATTATTACTACATATTACTATGTATTGCCATTCAGTAAGTCCTTACTTAACATCATCAATAGGTTCATGGCAACTGTGACTTTAAGCCAAATGGCATACTGTATAGCAAAACCAATTTTACCATAGGCTAGTTAATACAGACAAGAGCTAAGTTCCTACAGCATGCAGTGCTTCTTTTTGCTTAAAGTCAAAGTATCCAAGAACCTATTGATGTTCCGTGAGGACTTACTGCATATCATTGTAACTATTATTATCACCGCTCTTGTTACTGTTCTTATCATCACCATCATCATCATCTCTGATAATGCCAAGAAGTAACTATAAAATCGCCACTTTGTAGATGAGGAATGTGAATCTGAAAGCTGGACTGAGCACCAACTTCAGGAGAATAGAGACTCAGGCACGTTGAGTGCTACATCCCCAGGAGCTGCACAGAAGCATCAAGAGTACCCAATAAATATTTATAAGTTGACACATGAAATGCTCAAGTGTCCACAGCTAGTAAACAGTAGAGCTGAGGTCAGAACTCACACTTCTAGACTCTCAGCCCGGGTTCCAATCCCTCAGCCACTGCCTCACCACTTCCTGCCAACCTCAGTTACTTCACTTGCATTCATTCATTCAACAAATACTTTTGATCACCTACTATGTGCTATTTTGAAAATGAGGATACGTTGACAAACGAGACATCAAAAGTTCTACTCTCAGAACACTATTTAGGAAAATTACAAGCAAAATCATAGTATACTATATATATTATACAAACAAAACAGTAACATACCATATATAGTATATTAGAAGGTGATAAGAACAGTGGAGCAAAATAAAGAAGGAAATAGGAACAGAGAGTAATGGGGGTTGCCATTTTAAATGGGGTTATGTTGAAAGGCTTTAACAGGGTGACAGAGTGGCTGTCAGGGTATCAGGGGGAGGAGCATTAGTTCAGGCAGAGGAAAGACCCGTGCAAGGGCCCTGAGGTGGGAACACACCCAGGGTGTTCAAGGAACACAAGGAGGCCAGGGTGCCTGAGCAGGGCGAGTGAGTGGTTTCTGCTCTGGGGACAATGGGAAGCCACCGTGAGCTACTCCGTGATGAGTGGCATAATAGCCATTTTAAATGGGACACTCTGGCTGCTCTGTTGAGAACAGAGAAGTACTCAAGGGGAGATGCAAGGAGGTCAGTCAGGCGGCTCCACAATAATCCCAGAGAGAAGGTGGCAATTCAGATGAAGATGGTGTTTGTAAAGAGAGTGAAAACTGTGTTGATTGTGGGTGTGTTTTGAAAATGAAACCCATGCGATATGCTGACTAAATGTGGGGCTTGGGGAGAGGGAGGAGGCAAGGAGGGTGCCAAGGCCTCTGGGCCCAGCAAGAAAAAGACAAAGGAACCACTGACAGGAAGGGAGGCAAGGGGCAGGATTTCGGTTCTGCCTTGGTGCATGAGTTGTGGAGTGCCTGTGAGCCTCCACGGGCCATGTCAGGTAGGCATGCAGATCCACGGTGGAGCTCAGAGAAGGTCTTGGCTGGAGATGGAAATTCGGGAGCTGCCAGGGGATAGATCACCAAGGGTGTGAGTACTGACAGAAGGAAGAAGAGAACCCAGCACTGAGTCCTGGGGTGCTCCGGCCATTAAAGATCAAGTGAAGCACAGATACACTCATGATCTCCATCTTTCCTGACCAAGCTCTCAGGAAGTTTTGTTTTGTTGTTGTTGTTGTTTGAGAGAGGGTCTTGTTCTGCCATCCAGGTTGGAGTGCAGTGGTGAGATCATAGCTCACTGCATCCTCGAACTCCTGGTTTCAAGCCATCTTCCTGCCTCAGCCTCCTGAAAACCTGGGAATACAGGCATGTGCTATCACACACAGCTATATATATATATATGTTTTGTAGAGATGGGGGTCTCACTATGTTTCCCAGGCTGCTTTTGAACTCCTGACCTCAAGCGATCCTCCTGACTTAGCCTCCCAAAGTGTTGGGATTACAGGCGTGAGCTTATTTGACTAATAGTTCCCTTAACTCAGAATTCCAAGGCTGCAGTTTTGAAGCTATAGTAATTACACAGTGTAACAGATAATGTTACATCATATCTGGCTGATTTTTTGTTGTTCTTTTCTACAAATCTGGGACACACCCAATCCACTGAACTTGGCATCACAACCAACCTAAATTACTGTTGTGTGGTACTTCAAGTAAAATAACGAAATGATACTATTAGCATAATGAAATGGTGAAAATGATGAAAGGATCCCATTCTGAAATAGACACTTATCTTTCAAAGGGTCTGGGTGGTTTCTTTCATCTCTAATTCTTGGGACATCAGATAGGCTTGCTACTGAGCACTGATTTCTCAGACATGTTGGTCTTGGGACTCCTTTACACATTTTCCAATTATTGAAGACTCCAAAAAACTTTTGTTTGTGCTGATTATATTTATCAACATTTACTCTCTTTAAATTAAAGGTGAGAATATTTTAAAGTGTCTAGTAATTCATTTTAAATAGGAATAACAATGCCATTGCATATTAACATAAATAGCATTTTTTTTTGAAAACTAAATAAACTAAAACTGTTTTATTTTCTAAAATAAAAAAAGTGAGAAGAATGGCATTTTTTTACATTTTTGCAAACCTCATCTATGTCTGAGTTAATGGAAGGAGCTGGATTCTCAAATCTGCTTGTACATTAAATCTGCTGCAACATCACACTTCCTGTCACCTTGGAAAACCCCATCGCACAATTGTGAGAAAATGAGTAGAAAAAGTAAGTAATACCTCAGTATTACTGTGAAAATAGCTGTGACTCCATGGACCCCTATAATGGTTCAGTGACGCCAGGGATTCCCTGGGCCCCACCTTAAGAACCACTGGGGAATAAAATGCATTCCCAGTGGGCATCAAATGATGAAATTAAAAAAGGTAAAATCCCTGCCCACAGGAACTCACAGTCCAGCAAAGGAAACAGACAAGCAGCCCAAACAATGTGGTAAATGTTCTCACCAAGAGATGTCCCAGCATCAGGGGGCCAGAGACTTGGAATATGCCAAGCTCCTCCTACATGCGGGCCACACCCATGACGATTCCTCCACTTGGGATGTTCTCTCCTGACTCCTTCCCTGGCTAAACCTGCCCATCCTTCAAGTCTTGACTGACCTTCCAGACTAAATGACCTCCTTCCTCCACCCTCTCTCACGGCTCCCCATCCTCCTCCTCACAGCAATCACTGTGTGCAATTAGGCATTGGTCTCCCAGCCCCCTGCACACAGCATGGGACTTAGCAAAGGTGCAATAAATATAGATAGATACATAGATAGATAGATACATAGATAGATAGATAGATACATAGATAGATAGACACATAGATAGATACATAGATAGATACATAGATAGATACATAGATAGATAGATAGATACATAGATAGATAGATACATAGATAGATAGATAGATACATACATACATACATACATACATACATAGATAATATTGAATGAATGGATGGATAGATGGTATCAAGTAATTACATGAAGGCATCATATAATTACAATAGGAAGAACTAACCTGTGCCTTCGGGAACTGTGCTCTGGGAACAGCCCTTACACCATTGCTCAGAAGAGGAAGCAGAGACCCTGAGGGCTGTGACTTGTCCCAGGCCCCACAAGAGGGAGTGGCCAAGGCAGGGACACACATGGCCAGAGCTCTTTCCTGTACAGTGTGCAGAAGGGCTATGCAAGACAGGCCCAGAGAGACGGAAGAAGGCTGGTCCCATCAACAGCTGGGATGGGCGTGGGCAGGGCCAGGGCCCAGGGGACGTGCTCAAGATGCCAAGGGCACCTGAATACAGGTGCTCATTCCCAGATTCCTGCAAAGGCAGGGGTTGCCCTTGAGGGTGAGGTACTCTACACCCACCATGGTCCTAGATGGCTTCAGGCCCTTCCCAGTAGGCACCGTCCCTCCCTTCTGGCAGGGACCACCCTCAACACCACTGTGGCTGACAGAGGCCAATGTGCACCAGGATTTCTGACACTGGCTTCCCAGAAGGAAGAGCTTGTGCAAAGCAGGTGAGGCCAGGCACGCAGGCTCTGAACTCGGGGGCCAGAGAGAGAGTACAGGACAGGCCTGGGGACGCGGCTCCCTGAGCCTTGGTTTTGTCACCTGCAAAACGGGCCAGATACTCCCATCTCACAGGGCAGATGCAAGTGAAAGGACCCAGGGAACATGTTCTGTCATTGGACTTTTGAAAGCTCAGGACACTGACATGGCGTTTTTCCAGTGAAAACCTAAAGACAGAAAGGGAGCAGGGTCTCTTTTAAGAGACTAAACCTCTGCCAGTGTCGCAAGTGTCCTGGGGTAGAGAACACAGCAGGACACGACCCACCACCCTAGGAGAGAGGTGGGAGGACCTCAGGGCAGCATCAATGGGCCAGACCATTGGCCAGGGCAGTCCTGGGAATAGGAGCCTGGGTGTGCTGTCAGGGGCAATAAGGTGGAGAGAAGAGTGCCAGCATGGGACAGGAGTGGCAGAATGTCTACCAGGACAGACCACCCCAGAGGTCTGGGGGAAAATGGATGGGAGACGTGGGAAAACCATCACCAAGGGCTGGAAGTGAAGTGGTGGGACCTGAAGCCAGGGAGTGGCAGTGGGGAGTGAGGAGGGGCAGACATCCGAGCTGATTTGGAGGAAAAGGCACTAGGACTGGTGACCAGCTTTGTCGGGGGAGGTCAAGTCTAGGGCTACAGCCAGGGATCCATGCCTTTCGAGTTTAGGACCACAGAGGGAGGGCCAGGGTGAAGTAGGAAGTGGCTAAATCCATCAGCCAGGAGAGTTCAGTCACCTAAGAGTCCAGCCAAGAGCCCCCACTTTTAAAAACCGCTGCAATTTCCCAGTGCTGGCCTCTGCAAGGGGCTCTGCATATGTGAGCTCATCTAACCCACTTCCACCCTCTGGGGTGGACGCCGCGACGGCCCCGTTTCAACGATCAGGAAACTGGGGCACAGGAGTGAACTGCCCTAGGTCGAAGCTCGTAAAATGGAGAGCAGGATTCGAACCAGGGTCGCTGGTGAAGTCCAAGCCGGCAGCTGCCACACCCCGAGGAAGGTCTCCAGTTTCCCTCGAAGCTTTCTGGCCGTGAGCGGGATACACCTAAGGGCCGCGAAGCACCCTATTCAGATCCTGCCCTCCCTTCCTCATTCTTTGCGAAATACTAAGGGTCCTCCCTGCCACCGCCGGTGTAGACAAAGTCAAACCACTACAGTCAGACCGGAGCCTGGGGTCGGGCCCTCCTTACCTGCGTGCTGCTCTCGGGCCCCGCCCCGCTCCGCCCCGGAGGGATCCTCAGGCCGGGCCCAGACCTAGGAGCCACCTGGGGATCCCGGGGTGGCTGCGCGCCGAGGGGGCGCCAGCGGGGACGTGAGCTGGCGCCGAGACAGCCTCGGCCCCCCAGCGCCAGGGCCACTGCCAGGAGACCCCCGGCCAGCACCCACGTGGGGCGCCCCCGGGAGCCCGAGGGGTCCATCGCCTGTCGGGACCCGCTACCTCAAAGCGGCGGGTGCCGCCGAGTCGCTGGAGCTTCCGGACCCCAGGCCCGCCCCGCCGCCGAGCATGCTCAGTGCGAGCCGCCGCCGAAAGTTTTCTGGAACAAACACCCGCATCTGGGGCTTGGCGGGCCAGGAGGTGCCGGACGGGCGTGGGAGGGGGAGAGCGAGTTGGCGCGGCCCAGGCGCCCGGCGGCCAGGCCTGGGTTTGCTTGCGCCCAAACCGAATCAGAGCGGGTCACTCCCCTGCTCCCCGAGGTTACCAGGACCCCAAGGGCCCCTCCGCTACCGCCTACCTGGGTCTGTAAGCCTCAGCTCAGACGCACTTCCCCTGGGAACGGTTTCCTGACACACGGATGTGAATCCAGAGTTTCCCCATCCCCGCTTAGAAAACGGAGAAGCATTTGGAGCGCGGGGCCGGGAGTCCTGGAGCACCCAGAAGGTTCAGGAAAGCTCGGGGAGGAGGGGGTGGCCGCAGAGAAGGAAAAGGACCCTCACTTCCGGTTGCGTTCAGTGCAGACCAGCTGAGCACCCACTGCCCGAGCCTGCTGTGGGTCAGCCCTGGGCCGGCCCGGGTGCCCCTCGCATTCCCAGTGGGAAACAGGCCAGCCGCTGGGCCACCTCTCTGGGGACCTAGAAAGAGGGGAGCTGGTGTCTGAAGTCGCAGCCCTAAGCAAGCTCTCCCTGAACTCTCCGAGGGGACAGGGATTTGCTTTGCCAAGGGACGCAGGAGGAGGAGGAGGAGAAAGACACAAAAAGGGGGACTGGTGGAGCCTTTTGTGTGCTTCCTCATCCCTGCCTAGGTCCTGGGTGACAGCTGACACCTGTTGACGGGGGAGGGCTCCACTCCCGCCAGCCTTCCTGCGGGGCAGGCTGTTAGGCTGTCTATAAAGTCTCAGGCCAGCGAGCCTGGCCCCTGGCAGCCTCTCTCCCCATAACCCAGACCATCCAAGGACAGGCCTTTCCTGACCTAACATGGACAAGGCCATGGGGTTCGAGAAGCTGAGAATTTATAAGCCAAGTTCCCCACACCAGGGGGTACGTGGCAGCTGTCAGGCATGTGACAAGACCACAGGCTAAATGCCAAGCATGTTGCTGGACCGTTGGAGTTGTTTGACAGTCAGTCATTTAAAGGTTAATTTAATAGTCAACAACTTTATGATAAAGTAAAAAGCAAATAACCCTACATTTAAAAAATCTCCTTAGTATTTTTTATGGAGTCAGGGTCTCACTATGTTGCCAAGACTGGTCTTAAACTCCTGGGCTCAGACAATCCTCCACTTGAGCCTCCCAAAGTGCTGGGATTACAGGCGTGAGCAACCACACCTGGCCCAAACACCACATTTTAAAAACTAAAGCCTAAGCATTCATGGAAATGTAAAACAAGAGCGTCAAGTTATTGCCCCCATACATGTCCCCAGGAACCTTGGAGATGCTTCTAAGGTAATATATAAGAAGCTCCACATAGCAGAGAGTTTGCCCTGAAGCCAGACACAGGTGTAAATGAGACAAGAATTCTGCCCCACTCCTTAATTGCAAATGAGTCACCTCTCCTCTCCAGCTGTCAGTTTCTTCATTTATTAAAAAAAGATGAAGAATTTGGATAACAGTTCCCATCTTGCCATGAGGAAATGATGAAACAAACTAGAAACAAGCTGGACATCTAGGCTGAAAGGACAAAGCCCTCCTCTGCTGAAGCAGATCCCCATGGTGTCCCCTAGCCCGGCCCACACAGGGAATTAAGCTCCACAGGGTAGGTGTGTGTGTGTGTGTGCCCCTGAGTGCAAGTGTGCAGTCGTGCATGTGCATGTGTGCTTTACCCAGGCACCCAGGACAAAAGCAAACATCTAGTAGCTACCCCATAAATGTTTGTTTAAAGCAAACACAGTGATGAACTCCTTTAATTTTTTATCACTCTAAACAACTGTGAGATACTCACTAGCCTGGACACTGCCTGGTTTGTGGCTGGCCTATCCCCCAGCCTGCAACACACACACAACAGATTCTCTCCAAGTGCTGAGTAAATGAAGGATGGTGCAGTGTCCTGGTCCTAGTGGGGAGCGGGTGTAAGGGTCTCTTTATCCATTGTCTCAGTGGGGAGTGGGTGTAAGGGTCTCTCTACCCTTGGTCCTAGTGGGGACTAGGTGTAAGGGTCTCTCTACCCATCGTCTCAGTGGGGTCTGGGTGTAAGGATCCCTTTACCCATCCTCCTAGTGGAGACTGAGTGTAACGGTGTCTCCACCCATTGTCTCGACCTTCCCTGGGACAAAATAAGATTAAAACAGGAGTCTTCGCGTGAGCAAGTTCAGAGGCGTGGAGGGCGGTGTGTTCCCGGGAAGGTTGATGGGTAGAGGTTAGGGGCAAGGGCAGGGGGTTGGAATTGCATTGATCCCAGCGTCTTCATCAGGAGGATGGGCGGAGCACCCACCGCAGAGGGTTATTGAGAAAGTTAATGAGATCATTAAGCTAAATGCGTAGCATATTCTAAGCCTCAAAAAACTTAAAGGAGCCTTCTAAGCCTCAGTAAAGTTAAAGGGGTGGAAACCGGGCCCCCCTCCGGAAGGGTCCGGGGCTGGGAGGCGCGTCTGTCTCTGGGCATGCTCAGTGCAGGGGCAGGGCTGGGGCGGGGGTGGCTGAAAGTTTTGAGCGGTGATCCAGGCTCCTCCCTCCGGCTCGGCGAAGCAGGGAAGGGGAGAGAAGCAGGAGTCGGGAGACTGCACAGGCCAGAAAGTCTGCGGAGCGGGCCGCGCCCCTGGCCCGCCCGGGCTCCAAGTCCCGCGTCGCCGCCCTGGCGGGGACGGTGCAGCAGGCGGCGGGATGCGGCGGGGCGGCAGCCTGAGCGCCCCGGATGGCCCGCGGCGGGGCGGCCTGCAAGAGCGACGCGCGGCTGCTGCTGGGGCGGGACGCGCTGCGGCCGGCGCCCGCCCTGCTGGCCCCCGCCGTGCTGCTGGGCGCCGCGCTCGGCCTCGGCCTCGGCCTTTGGCTTGGCTGCCGCGCGGGCCGCCAGCGCACGCGACACCAGGTGGGTCGGCCGAGCAGACAGCGGCGGGGCGGGGAGCGCGGGGCGCGTGGCTTCTGGGTCCTGCGGGCCCGGAGCCCCGGCTCTGCGACTCCTTGAGCCTGGTTGGGAACTTCGCACGCAACCGCTTAGGCGTCGGGTTCCCCTTCTGCTCCAGGAGGGAGGTGGCGGCGTGACTAAAGGGCATTGGCCTGGGGTCCCCTGCGGTGCCTGTTACATCCCACTCCGTTGGGTGATCCTTGACAGCAGCCCAACTGCGCCACGCCTCGGTCTCCTCATCTGCAGCACCAAGGGTTTGGACAGGACGCTGGCCCTGCTCGCCATGGTGGACAGAAGGACGGCTGGGGCTCCCACGCCTGAATGCCTATTCCTGCTTCTGCCTCTTCCATCCTTGCGGTGTGGGTTACGTCGCCTGGCCTGAGTCCCAGCTGCCACATTGGCATTCATTTTTTCATTCACCCCACAGTAAAAGTTTTCAGGCACCTTCTACAGCCAGTCACTGGCCTAGGGACGACATTCATGAGCGGGAGAGACCCTGCCTTGAGGCTGTGAACCTCAAGGAGAAGGACGAATTGCAAGTTTGCAAGTAAACTATCGGTTATGACACCGCATGGGGAGTCTGCGATGGGACGCTGGCAATGCTAGCGTTTATTAAGTGCTGTGTACCAGGCACTGAACTAGACCCTCTCCCTAAATGATCTCAATGAATCTCCACAACAGTTTGTCTCTGCTTTGCAGATGAGGAAACTGAGGCACAGAGAGGTTAAGCAACTTACTAAAGTGACAGAAGTGTCTAACCCCAAAGCCACTGTGTTCTTCATGGATGAGGGTCGGGGTGGCTGCCTGAAGGAGACCAGTGGATGCTTCCTATGCAAGTGGCCCTCATGGAATTGGCTGTGCATGGCAACACCTGGCATATAGCAGGCATTCCATGAATAGTGGTATGGCCACTATTTTAGGTCCTTGCAACTTCTGCCTCTTTGGGGTGGGAGGAGAGTAAAGTCTGCGCGATCAGAAACAAGATGGCGTGGTCTTGCTACCCCCATTTCTGGCCCGTGGGAAGATGAGACAGATCTTGTGCGGTTTCCATGTAGGCACAGGCTCTTTCAGAATATAGGGGAATTTGGTGACTCATGGGGAGCATTACACCGCAAAGAGCTGATGAGGGCTGAAACTGAGATAATGCAAGATGCTCGTAGGTGAGTTGGGGGTTGTCAGATCCTGCTGGTGATTAAGAGACACTAAGAGATGCTGGCTTGTTGCATGGAGAGAGAAAGGGAAGTAACACACAGAGACTTGGCTGGGTGTCCTGTGCAATGTTTATAGACATCTGGTTCTTTATCCTCCAGCCCATGAGGTGGAGGAACTGCCATTATCCCCACTTTACAGTGAGGCAGGGGATGCTCTGCAAGGGTGTTTGTCCAGGGTGCCACGATGAGTAAACAGTGGGACTGAATTTCAACCCTAGTTGGTTTGAACCCCAAAGCTAGAGCCTTAAGTATCTGCTACCTGGTGAGGTGGTGGTTAGTATCCCATTTGCTAGCTGAGTCAGCTGAGGCTTACCGGGATTAACCAAGCCATCTGGGTTTGCACAGCTAGTCAGTTGAGGGTGATGGTGGCTCAGACCAGGGTGGCAGCCATGGAGGGGTCTGTGGCTCAAAGTAGGACTAATAGGATTTTGTTACAGTTTGATGTGATCCTTGCGACAACCTTCTTTCTAATGAGATTCTTTTCCTCCTGTCTCCTCCCTCTAGTTTTTATTTATAAAATGTATGTCAGACAATATGATTCTCCTGATTAAACACCTCCAGTGACTCCTGGCTGCCTGCAAAAGATAATGCCCAGGCTGGGCACTGTGGCTCATGCCTGTCACCCCAGCACTTTGGGAGGCCAAGGCGAGCTGTTCAACTGAGGTCAGGAGTTCGAGACCAGCCTGGCCAATATGGTGAAACCCTGCCTCTACTAAAAATACAAAAATTAGCTGGCATAGTGGCAGGAGCCTGTAATCCCAGCTACTCAGGAGGCTGAGGCAGGAGAATCGCTGGAACCTGGGAGGCGGAGGTTGCAGTGAGCCAAGATCGCACCATTGCACTCCAGCCTGGGCGATAGAGCAAGGCTCCGTCTCAAAAAAAAAAAAAAAAAAAAAATTAGAGACCAGCCTGACCAACATAGAGAAACCCTATCTCTACTAAAAATACAAAATTAGCCAGGTGTGGTGGTGCATGCCTGTAATCCCAGCTACTGGGGAGGCTAAGGCAAGAGAATCGCTTGAACCCAGGAGGTGGAGGTTGCAGTGAGCCAAGATCATGCCATTGCACTCCAGCCTGGGCAACAAGAATGAAACTCCATCTAAAAAATAAATAAATAAATAAAGATAATGCCCAGTTTTCTAGCATGGTGCATACAGTGGCTTACCTTCCCCTGAGCACCTACCCTGATGCACAGGTGCCCAGCCACTTGCCTCATCCTGCTCTCCAGCCACTCAAGACACCTCGCTGTTCCCCGTACACCTCTGCACTTCTGCACATCTGTTCTCTCCGCCTGCGCGGTCCTTTCTTAGACTCTATCCTGCTCAGCCCTCAGGACCCAGAGAGATCACCTTCTTAACTAGGGAAGCCTTAACCTTCCACGCTAGATCAGGTACTTCCCTGCTTTGTAGGCACTGTTTGTTCTCCTCCTCTGTTCCAAGTCACAATTTTATCTTGCATTGCTTTCCTTTTGCTGTTTTTGTTTTATTTTGTTATTTTAACTTATTTCATCATTAAACCTGTTTTATTTACATCAAAGTTGTTCATGCACATAATTTAAAGTATTAGTTCAAAAGGAGCAATAGCCCCACCCATTTTCTACTTCTCAACAGTGGCCTTGTTAACTCTTTCAGCTGATTATTTTGGGAATTTACTTCCCATTTCTAAATAATGTGCCTATATTGCTGCTGCTTGCATTTTTTTTTTTTTTTTTTGGCTGCGTGCAATAGCCGTTGACCCTCCACTGTGGAAAGGAAGAGGACTTAGCTCTGTTGCCTCCCTTCCTCCATAAAATGTCCACTCTTCCCAACACCACCACCACACTCTCAATACGGAGGTTATAGGGGAATTTGGTTAAATTTGTATTCAGTGTTTCCATTATTACAATTCTACAAACATTATCTACTGCAAGTTAAGGATCAGTTGTGGTCATGAATACCTTCTTTTCTTGCACAACATTTTGTTTTTCCTGAAATTAATAGCTATTCTCTTTTTTTGTTTTTTGTTTGTTTTTTGTTTTGTTTGAGATAGGGTCTCACTTGATTGCCCAGGCTGGAGTTCAGTGGCATGATCACAGTTCACAGTAGCTTTGACCTCTTGGGCTCAGGTGATCCTCCCGCCTCAGCCTCCCAAGTAGCTGGGACTACAGGCTTGCACCACCATGCCTGGCTAATTTTTTTTTTTTTTCTATTTTCTGTAGAGTTAGAGTTTTGCCATGTTGCCCAGGCTGGTCTCAAACTCCTGGGCTCAAGCAGTCTTCCTGCTTTCACCTCCCAAAGTGCCAAGATCACAGGTGTGAGCCACCACATCTGGCCTTGGTTTTTTCATTTGCTTAGATTCTGTGTACTTATCATTCATTTAACTCTCCCCCACATATGTGCGTTTGTGTTCAAGACATTTGAATGCATTAGATATTTGATCCATTTTATCTTCTTGAGAAAAATATCTCTCCCAGAAACATTCTGACAAGCTCTAGTTTGAGCTGGTTATTCTCTAGACAGCTCTCTAAAGTGTGGACCAGACCAGCAGCATCAATATCTTGGGGAGCTTGATAGAAATGCATATTCTTGGGCTCTACCCCAGACTCACTGAAGGAGAATCTCTAGGGATGAGTCCAGCAAGCTGTGTTTAATAAGCCCTCCTGGTGATTTACATGTTCTTAAAGTTTGAGAAGCAGCTACTCATCATGCTGGGAGTTTCTCACGTCTCTTCTGGGTTGAATCCTGTTTCAGGGATTCCCTGGCACTCCCCTTTTGTTAGGTAATTTCATTGCATGCCTGGAGCACATCCTTCAGTAGCTTTTTCAAAAAGGGATGGATGCAACTCTTTTGAGAACTTCTATGTCTGAAAATATATTCTTCTATCTTTATACTTAATTTGGTAAGAATAATTAGATTGGGAATAATTTTCCTCCAGAATTTCGAAGGCATTTTTCCATTGTCTTTTTTTTTTTTTTTTTTTTTGAGATAGAGTCTTGCTCTGTCACCCAGGCTGGAGTGCAGTAGTGCAATCTCGGCTCACTGCAACCTCCACTTCCTGGGTTCAAGCAATTCTTCTGCCTCAGCCTCCTGAGTAGCTGGGACTACAGGCATGCGCCACCATGCCCAGCTAATTTTTGTATTTTTAGTAGAGATGGGGTTTCACCATGTTGGCCAGTCTGGTCTCGAACTCCTGAGCTCGTGATCCACCTGCCTCGGCCTCCCAGAGTGCTGGGATTACAGGCGTGAGCTACTGTACCCGGCCTCCATTGTCTTCTAGCTGTTGTAGAACCAAACTGGGTTCCACTCACCTGGCACAGTAAGACCAGATAGCGACACTGAGGTTTTATAGTGGTAAAAAGGGAGGTGTTTATTCACAGTGCACCAAGCCAGGAGGACTAGGCAGCTCATGCTCAAATCCTGACTGCCCTGATGACTTCCAGGTGAGGTTTTTAAAGGTAGAGGTAAATTTCAGGAAAGCAGAAGTTACAGGCAAAATTGTAAATCAATACATGAAGGTGACAACTGGTTTTGGCCTAAAAGGGCCAGACATCTTGAAGTGGAGGCTTGCAGGTCAGAGGTAGATTCAAAGATTTTCTGATTTGCAATTTTGTGAAGGAAGAGAAGCTTTGTTTTAAAATGTAGGTTCGGCAGAAAAGAACCTTAGCTCAGGCTCCTGGTCATGACTTCCTCTGGGCTCCCCAGGAAGAGCTTTAGAACAAAGAATGGTGCTCAGAGTTCAGATCTCAGATAAGGGGCAGCTGAGGACCTCAGCCATGGATCCTCAGAGTGGATCCATTGGATGGGGGTCCAGGTTTCTGAAAAACAACTCAGGGACATATGTTAAGATGTTATCTTTAGTTTCTGCAGGGAAACCAAACATCTCCTGACTCTAACTTCCTTGGCTATTGTTTTAGGCGACTATTACCTTCTTGCTTATCAAGTTGTTGATAATTTCCCTTGAAGAAAGTCAGGATTTTCCTTTATTTCCAGGCTTAGGGCAAGGGATTTGCAGGCCCTTAAAAAGGGGGGACTCTGCTTCATCTCATAATTTCCATGGTTGCTGTTGAGAAAACTGATTCTATTCTGATCCTTGATACCTTACACGAAACCTCTTTTCCTTTTGTTCCTCTGTAGAATCTTAAAGAACCTTTACCTTTGCTCCTAGTAAATGAAATTGCACCACGATGGTGTTGGTGAAAGTCATTTGTCATCCACGGTGCCAGGCATTTGGAACGTCCTTTTGATCGAGAATCATTTTCTTGATTTCTTTGATGATTCTTTTCCTTTTATACGTTTTCTTCTTCCAAGAACTCCTATCACTTTTTTAGGTTGAATTGGGCTTCCAATCTTAGTCTTTCTCTCTCACTTCGATTCTCTTTGTCTTTTTTACATTATCTTTGGAGAGATGTTTCTCAACTTTATACTTGTATTGAGTTTTTCATATTTTCAATTTTGAAGAGTCATTTTTTTGTTCTGAGAATGTTCTATCCTGTCCTTATTTTATGAATGGAATACCTTCTCTGATCTCTCTGATAATATTTTAGTTGTTTATTTGTTTAAAGTTTTTTTTCCCTGTGTAGTGCGTTCCCTGCTTGCTTTTTCCTTTTGTTTGTTTTGGATTTTATCTTTCATATTAGAGTCTGTCCTCAAATGGCTAGTGACCCTCTAGACATTTTCAAGTGATGCTGATGCTCCCTCTGTGGGATATATATATTTTTTCCTCAATGTCTTTACTGTAGGACTATCTGACTGGGTTCTTCTTTGCAGGACCCTTGTACTGGTCTGCTATGGTTGGTAAACAACCCCCCAAATCTCTGGCTTCATCATCCACCCCAAGACCCACGACAGACTGCTGCATCTACACAGGTTTCTCTCTATGCCCAGCATGGGCCTGCCTCCAAGGCCTTTGCACTTGCTATTCTGTCTCTAGAATGCTCCTCCCTGAGATATCTCAATGGCTCATGGCCTCACTTCTTTTAAGTTCCTTCTCAAATGCCGCTTTGTCCAAGAGACTTTGTCTCCCATCATCCTTCATTCCCCCACCCTCCACTGTTACTCTAGGACATGATTGTCCCTGAATTGCTATGTATTTTTTCATTTGTTTGCCTCTTTCTTCTCTCACTGCAATGTCAATGCCACAAAAGCAGAGGCTGTGTATTTTGTTCGTTACTCTATTCCCAGTACCTAGAACAAGGCCTGACACAAAGCAGATGCTCGATAATAGTAGCTGATTAACTCAGTGACAAACTGGTGATGTTTCTTTAGTGCAAAGATTATATTCATGAGCAGGTAGTGATTAAAGGGGAAGTTGAGAAGTGTCTGGGATAACAGAGTTTTAAATATAGTCTACTCTCCTTATTCATGGTAGTTATGTTCTGTAAACTCACTGAGAACACAGCATTAGCGAACACTGAACCGTTGTTCCTGGGGGGAAAACAGGGTTAGGTTCCTACAAGCCTCTGGTCACAACATTTCCATTAACCAGTCAATACATAGCATAGTTTTATGTATGTTTCTGTTTAAAGATATCTTATTTAATAGATATTTTTAATTTATTAACATTGGACTCACAGACATCAGCTCTGTAACTCACACCTGAATGAAGCTTCTGTAACACACCCATTTCTCCAGAGGGCATGTCATAGTTTTCTTGTGTTTCGGGAGACTAGACAGCACTTCTGCACTGTGTTTGGTGGTTATTTTAAACAGTAAAGTCACCGAGAAAAAGCACAGAAATGCAAAAACTGTGCTACTAGAGTATGAAAAGGATGTTTGTTTACAGCATGAGAGCAGAGACAAGAAGGCAGAGTGCTACTTTGTTCCATCTCAACTGAGCACGTGCATGCTGGGCAACTCAGATTGTTCATGCTCTGCATGTATTTGTGAATAACTGTAAAAGCGCCATGAGCATTGGTTTGGGGGTTCTAAATAAATATTAGCAAGTACAGGAATTGGCAAATACAGAATCCATAAATAATGAGCATTCATTGTAGTTCAGAATAGAAACTACTCTATAACTTAAGGTCACCTAACATATTGTCTTAAAAACCATTCAATAGAATGATCAAGATCAACAGGAAAATTATATGCATGTGCCATTTCTCATGCTTAGTTGTTAAATCCAAAGAGCTCCCAGTCCAATGGGGTCCCCAACCTAGAAGAAAAATGGAACGAGCTTTGCTCTGCCTCTTGCCTCAAGTCCTGAGGGTGCACTGAAATGGGGCATCCTGGAGGCCTTAGGGGAACCGCTCAGGAAGGTGACCTGTGCAGTCTTGAAGGACATGTAGCGGACCCCACGTGGGGTGGGAGGCGTCACACACAGAAGACCAAGCTTGAGAAGCACAGAGGCGAGCAGAAGTGGCTGCTGGACTGGGGGAGTTGACTGGCAAAAGTCACGGTGGGGACCAGGCCGACTGACCTCAATGTTGTGTTTCTATCCACCCCCAACTCCTGACCTTCGGGTTTTAGAAAGACGACACTCAAAATCTGCTCAAGAATTTGGAGTCTAATGCGCAGACCCCCTCGGAAACTGGCTCCCCATCAAGGAGGAGGAAGAGAGAAGTGCAGATGTCGAAGGACAAGGAAGCTGTTGATGTAAGCTTGGTGTTGATGTTTGTTTGTGGAGGCACATGTGGGAGGTGGGGTATTCCCCCTGGAAGCCGGGTGTCATGTAGACAAGCCTCTGACAGATATAGTTTCCCAATGGGCTGCTTTTCTGAGGCATAATTTACATACAGTCAAATGCGCAGACTTTAGGTTTTACAGTTTGATGAGTTTTGACAATTGCATGCCCCTTAGAACAAATACCCCCCTGAGAATGTTTTCATCACCCAGCAAGTCCTCTAGTGCCCCTTTCTGGTCACTTCCCGCCCCCACACACTTCCAGAGGTGCCCATGCGTGGGATTTCCATTGATTGGTTCTGCAGTTCTGGAACCTTATGCAAATGGAATTGTGCTGTTCTGTGCCTGTGTTCCCTCCACAGAATGCCTTAAGATGTTTCCCTTTCGTTGTGTGTATCAATAATTCACCCATTTTTATTGCTCAGTGGCAGTCAACTGTGTGGATGTGCCACACTTTGTTGATTGCTCACTGTTTGTGTGTATTTCATTGGCAGACCGGGCTGTTTTCAGAATTTGACTGTAATGAATAAGCCTACTATGAATGTTGGTGCATAAGTCTGTTTATTTTCATTTCATTTTACTTCCTTTAATTAAATCTCTGGGGGTGGGGGTGCTGGGCCTCTGGAAGAGATGTTAAAAAAATTCTATTTGTTCCTGCCTTCCTGGAACCCTTCCTCTATCCACAGAACATCGCTTTCTGGGTGAGCCCCGTGGGTGGAGAGGATGTGACATTTCTAGTCACCTCCTTGTCCCCTAGGAAGTACTGCAGGCTTCATCTTCTGGAATAAGGGGAAGAGATGGAACTAGCATTATTTTTTAGCATCACTCATGCCAGGCAGTTTTACACCTCTCACCTGTGAGTGATGCCAACACTCACGTGAATGATCTCGTGCCCTTCTCTCAGCAGCCACGTGAGGCTGATCTGATTTATATTCCCATTTTCCAGATGAGGAAGCCGAGGCTCAGAGGTAGGCTGCTTTCCTGAGTCCCGCAGCTGGGGGAGTAGCCAAGCTGATATTTGTCCTTGGGTTTGCCAGGCCCCTGCTCCAGAGTGCTGCGTCCCCACACCCAACTTCTAGCCTCTGCTCCTTTCCAACCTGTTCCATCCTGTTCCGCAGCCTTAGCTTACCACAGAAGAAAGTGGGCTCGGGATATAAAAACGGATTTCCCCAAAGGTCCGACGTCAGTAGGGCTCAGCTTCTAGTTACTCTGAACAATCAGCTTTTGCGTTAGCCCTGCATCTCCCTCCCTGGCTGGTGGGATCCCTGTAGAGGGGGGCATTGCCCTGCCCTTGGCCAACGTGGACGGGGGGAGAGATGGGGAAGCCTCTGCTGCTATCCCGGGACATGGCTTGCAGGAGATGAGTCTGGAACAAGCAGATGTTTAACTTTACCGTTGGTAATTATTATCTTGATAATGGGCATCTGCTAGGTGTAGCTAAATAGTGAACAGGTAAGACATTACTAGGCAGGAAAATATGAGTTAACTTTACAGCAGGGTAAAAAGACTTAGGTCTCCCTCCAAACACTGATTGAGCCCCTATTTGAATGTGCCCTGTGCTGTCTCTGACACTGTGTGCTTGCCTCTCCACGTGTGTCTGTGTATGTCCCAGTCCATCACTCTCTCATGTGTCTCTGTGGGTCTTTCTGTGTGCATCTTTGTGACAGTACGTGAGCTTCAGGTGCATGGCATCTCCCTGTCTCTGTGTCTCTCTTCCCCTCCTCTCTCTCTACTGCTGTGCCCCCTCCCACCCTCTCACACTACTAGAATCTGCTGACAGATGTGAAAACATGTCCACCCAAAAACTTGTACACAAATGTTCAAAGCAACACTATTCACAATAGCCAAAATGTGGAAACAACCCAAATAGAAAAACTGGAAAAATAAAATGTGATATATGCAGACATTGGAAGGTTATTTGGCCATAAAATAAAATGAAGGGCCGATGGGTGCTACAACCTGAATGAACCTAGAAAACATGCTAAATGAAAGAAGCCACTCACAAAAGACCACATGTTATAGGATTCCATTCCTGTGAAATGTCTAGAATAGGAAGATTTATACAGACAGAAAGTAGATTAGTGGTTTCCAGGGGCTGCAGCAGAGGAAAGGGAGGGATGGGGTGACAGTGAAAGAGGACAGGGTTTCTCTTTGATGCCATGAAAATGTTCTAAAGTTGACGATAGGCTGGGCATGGTGGCTCATGCCTGTAATCCCAGCATTTTGGGAGGCTGAGGCGGGCAGACACTTAAGGTCAGGAGTTTGAGACCAGCCTGGCCAACATGGTGAAACCCCATCTCTAGTAAAAATACAAAAATCAGCTGGGTGTGGTGGTGCATGCCTGTAGTCCCAGCTACTTAGGAGGCTGAGGCAGGAGAATTGCTTGAACCCAGGAGGCGGAGGTTGCCATGAGCTGAGATTGTGCCACTGCACTCCAGCTTAAGTGACAGAGCAAGACTCTGTCTCAAAATAAATAAATAAAGTTGACTATAGTGATGGCTGCACATATCTGAAGATAGGGAGAACTATGAAATAGTATACATGAGTGAACTGCAGGGTGTGTGAATTAAATCTCAATAAAGCTGTTAAACAATGCTGCTCACACATAGGGTACCCTTGAATGTGATGAAAACACATCTGGCTTTGGGAGCTAGAATCCTGGAACCCAGTCCCAGCTCTGCCACATGTTTGCTGTGTGATGTTGGGCAGGAAGCATAACCTGTCTGAGCCTCAAGTTTCTCATTTTAAATGACAGCAGTGATGGTGCTCCCCCTGCCATTCCCGAGTCACCCAGGGCTGAGTTAATGCGTGTGAACGTTCCTGCCACGGAATAAGTGCTCAATCAGTGTTTGCAGGGGGACCTAAATATTTCTACCCCGCTGTAAGGTTATTTTTTTCTGCCTAGTAATGTCTTGTTCACTATTCAGCTACACCTAGCAGATGCCCATTATCAAGCTAATAATTGCCAAGGGTTAAGTGAAAGATCTCCTTGTTTCAGTGACTGGCTTGTCAGAATGCTTTTGCTTTCTGCAGACTGAGCTTGTCAAAATATGTGGTCAGGGCTGCTTTGGCCCAGTGGATCGAGCTATAACTTTCTTGTCCTCTAGTGCACAGAAAACCAGGGCCTTGTGGTTCCTGCCACGCCTTGGATGACCTCTGTTTAATGAACAACTCATCTCAGCCGAAAACAAACAAAATTCCAGAAGGCTCTGAGGCATGCTATTCCACAGCCTCCGTCTCTCCATCCCACTCCTTTGCTTTGGAGGGAGGGAGAGTGGGTGCCTTTAAGGATGCATTTATGCATTCTCTGAAAAGAACCCCTTTATATTGGTGATGGAAATGGTTTTTCATTTCCTGCAATTATACTTTAACCAATTTTCTGAATAATTGCATTGCTCCAGCTGAGGAAGTTTTACCTTGTACATTTCGCTGCAACCAATTTTCTAAATAATTGTATTGCTTCAGCTGGGGAGACTCTCAGAATTTGGAGGACACCTGACCTTAATGAGGAGAGCTTTAAAAAACTAAAGGCAGTGGCTCCTGTTCAGGTAGCAGAGCCCGCTCCTTCCCTGATTTCAGGTGTCACATGCTCCTGCATCCTTCATCCCCTGGCAGAGACCATGACCGTCCTTGGGCTGGCCCTGCAGGGGTTGCAGTCTGCAGGTAGACAGATCAGGTGGAGCCTTCCTGCCAGCTGGGATGTGTTTCTGATGCCCATTTCCCGGCTCCTCCATCCCCAGGTGCTGCGCCTACAGGTCTTGGGTGGACCCAGCACCAACATCCTTTCCTTCTTTTTTTTTTTTTTTTGAGATGAAGTCTCACTCTGTTGTCCAGTCTGGAGTGCAGTGGTGCGATCTCGGCTCCCTGCAACCTCTGCCTCCTGGATTCAGGTGATTCTCCTGCCTCAGCCTCCTGAGTAGCTGGGATTACAGGCATGCGCCACCACACCCAGCTAATTTGTGTATTTTTTAGTAGAGGCGGGCTTCCACCATGTTGGTCAGGCTGGTCTCAAACTCCTGACCTCGTGATCTGCCCGCCTTGGCCTCCCAAAGTGCTGGGATTACAGGTGTGAGCCACCGCGCCTGGTCCTTTCCTTTTCATAATTAGGTTTTTGTTTTGTATTCCCCCCTTGAAGGTCAACTCCTGGGAAGCAGGGATTTTGCTTTTCTCTCATGGTCATCCTTTTCTTTGTCGTTTCTTTTCTCCCCTGTTTGTAGGAAGTTTACAAATGCACAGGGCCCTTTTGCTTTTGTATCTTTCCCTTGAGCAAATGTGTCTCCCCTGGACAGTCAGCCAGGGCTGGTGTCCTGGGTGTGACCTGTGAGGTCACAGGGACCACGCTCAGATAGGCCCACTCTTGGCTGGTGGACTCTGCTGTCACTATCTTGAAATTCTTGATCATTATTAAATAAGAATCCCCATTTTCATTTTGCAATGGACTCTGCAAGTGAGTCCTGAGTTCAGCCTTTTCCATCTTCCTGCCATTCCTTGTTCACTGACAAAACTCCAAGCAGAAAGTGGGCCAGAATGCAGGGGATTGAGAGCAGGCCAGGCTCTGTACCCTCAGGTCAGAGGGAGGCCAGGAAGGATTTTAAGAGGCACATCGATGGAAATTCATGTTTAAAAGATAATTCGATTCCCACAGGGAGAATGAATTGGAAGGTGTTAACCTCTGATCCTCAGTTCGCAGCACCATAAGGTGGGCATGATAATAATAGTCCCCACCTCCCCAAGCTGACAGATGTGTGATAATTAAATGGGCAAACATGCATAAGGTGGCTGGAGACGGCAGACCCTCAATACATGGATGAGGAGCTGGTTAGGAAGTGATTGCAGCCCTTCAGGGTAAATACGCTGGAGGCATAGGCCAGGGCCATGGATTCGAGAGAGATGTAGGAGGTTAAGTTAATGGGATTGGTGGTCGGTTGGATGTGGGGACTTGGGATGTGGGAGTGCGCGATGCCTCAGTATCTGATATAGGTTTCTGAACACGGTGAAGCCAAGCTCAGGGACCTTCTCCACGAACCCCCACTTCCCTTTAAACTTCATGGCACTTACTCTTGCTGTTATTCACATCATGTTGACAGAGCCAGCATGGCATCAGCTAAAGAGGGCGGACCTGGGGCCAGCAAAGCTGAGTTCAGATCCCGGTTCTAGTGATGATTAGCTGTGTGGCCTTGGGCACGTGACTTCACCTCTCTGTGACTCATTTTCTCTGTCTGGAAGTGGAGACAGTGACCTCTGTGGCAGGGTCCTTGGAAGCTTGGGGAGGTAGCGTACGTTGGTGGTTTTCCCTGTTATTTTTTTTTTTTTTACTTCTTGAAACCTTTTCTTCAACTTTTATTTTAAGTTCTGGGGTACACATGCAGGATGTGCATCTTTGTAACATAGGTAAACGTGTGCCATGGTGGTTTGCTGCTTAACCTAGGTGTTAAGCCCAGCATGCACTAGCTATTCTCCCTGATCCTCTCCCTCCCCTCGCCCCCGACAGGCCCCAGTGTGTGTTGTTCCCCCAACCCAATGTGTCTATGTGTTCTCATTGTCTAGCTTCTACTTATAAGTGAGAACATGCGGTGTTTGGTTTTCTGTTCCTGTGTTAGTTTGCTGAGGATAATGGCTTCCAGCTCCATCTATGCCCCTGTAAAGGACACGATCTTGTTCCTTTTTATGGCTGCATAGCATTCCGTAGTGTATATGTACCACATTTTCTTTATCCACTCTATCAGTGATGGGCTTTTGGGTTGATTCCATGTCTTTGCTATTGTGAATAGTGCAATGAACATACACATGCATGTATCTTTATAATAGAATGATTTCTATTCCTTTGGGTAGATACCCAGTAAAAGGATTGCTGGGACAAATGGCATTTCTGCTTCTAGCTCTTTGAGGAATCGCCACACTGTCTTCCACAATGGTTGAACTAATTTACATTCCCACCAACAGTGTAAAAGTTTTCCTTTTTCTCCACAGCCTCACCAGCATCTGTTGTTTCTTGACTTTTTAATAATCACCATTCTGACTGGCATGAGATGGTATCTCATTGTGGTTTTGATTTGCATCTCTCTAATGATCAGTGATGTTGAGCTTTTTTTCATATGTTTGGTGGCCACGTGAATGTTTTCTTTTGAGAAATGTCTGTTCATGTCCTTTGCCCACTTTTTAATGGGGTTGTTTTATTCTTGTAAATTTGTTTAAGTTCCTTGTAGATTCTGGATGTTAGACCCTTGTCAGATGGGTAGATTGTAAAAATGTTCTCCCCTTCTGTAGATTGTCTTACACTCTGATGATAGTTTCTTTTGCTGTGCAGAAGCTCTTTAATTAGATCGCATTTGTCAGTTTTTGCTTTTGTTGCGGTTGTTTTTGGCATTTTTGTCGTGAAATCTTTGCCTGTGCCTGTGTCCTGAATGGTATTGCCTAGATTTTCTTCTAGGGTTTTTATAGTTTTGGGTTTTACATTTAAGTCTTTAATCCATCTTGAGTTAATTTTATATAAGGAATAATGAGGGGTCTTCCCCCATTCTTGTCACCCAAGTCTTTTTGTGAGTTGTAAGGTACAGAGAAACGACAAGAACAGGAGCCCCTGGTGTGGAGTGTCCCTCCCGTGTTGCTCACAGGGCATCGCGGTGCAGCTCTTCCTGGAGAGGTATCTAGGCCACAGTGCTGGCTCAGTGGAGGCTGTGTCAGCACCTCAAATTAGGAGCAAGTGATCAATCCTGTGTTTCCCACAATAGGGTGTCTTATTCCAAGGTGAACTTTGTGATTGGAAATCGGTCATTGGTGATGGAGCTCACTCTTCAAGACGTGGTTGAGAAGCAACTGGATTGACACAGATGCAGTTTTCTTCCATCAGTGTGTTCAGAATTGCCCAGTAGAGATTTCTCATGGTCTGCAGCGCCAGGCTTTGGGCTTGCCTGTCTGCTTATCTTCATTCACTATCCGGTTGTTTCCAAAGCATTGATTCAGCACTGACTTTACAAAGTGCAGGGCTGGGGTGAGGATGACCCAAGAGGAGAGAGATGCAGAGGATGTGGGGATATAGGGCAGGCCATGGATAAGTCCATCCAGCTTCTTATTAATGAGTCAGGGGAGGTGATTCCTGAGCAGGATTTGACAGTGGTGTGTTGTGCCACTATGCAAAGCAGCCCACTGATGAGTTTCTTCTCTTTTCTTTTTTTTTTTTTTTATTATACTTTAAGTTTTAGGGTACATGTGCACATTGTGCAGGTTAGTTACATATGTATACATGTGCCATGCTGGTGCGCTGCACCCACTAACTCGTCATCTAGCATTAGGTACATCTCCCGATGCTATCCCTCCCCCCTCCCCCCACCCGACAACAGTCCCCAGAGTGTGATATTCCCTTTCCTGTGTCCATGTGATCTCATTGTTCAATTCCCACCTATGAGTGAGAATATGCGGTGTTTGGTTTTTTGTTCTTGCGATAGTTTACTGAGAATGATGATTTCCAATTTCATCCATGTCCCTACAAAGGACATGAACTCATCATTTTTTATGGTTGCATAGTATTCCATGGTGTATATGTGACACATTTTCTTAATCCAGTCTATCATTGTTGGACATTTGGGTTGGTTCCAAGTCTTTGCTATTGTGAATAGTGCCGCAATAAATATACATGTGCATGTGTCTTTATAGCAGCATGATTTATAGTCCTTTGGGTATATACCCAGTAATGGGGTGGCTGGGTCAAATGGTATTTCCAGTTCTAGATCCCTGAGGAATCGCCACACTGACTTCCACAATGGTTGAACTAGTTTACAGTCCCACCAACAGTGTAAAAGTGTTCCTATTTCTCCACATCCTCTCCAGCACCTGTTGTTTCCTGACTTTTTAATGATCTCCATTCTAACTGGTGTGAGATGGTATCTCATTGTGGTTTTGATGTGCATTTCTCTGATGGCCAGTGATGATGAGCATTTTTTCATGTGTTTTTTGGCTGCATCAATGTCTTCTTTTGAGAAGTGTCTGTTCATGTCCTTCGCCCACTTTTTGATGGGGTTGTTTGTTTTTTTCTTGTAAATGTGTTTGAGTTCATTGTAGATTCTGGATATTAGCCCTTTGTCAGATGAGTAGGTTGGGAAAATGTTCTCCCATTTTGTAGGTTGCCTGTTCACTCTGATGGTAGTTTCTTTTGCTGTGCAGAAGCTCTTTAGTTTAATGAGATCCCATTTGTCAATTTTGGCTTTTGTTGCCATTGCTTTTGGTGTTTTAGACATGAAGTCCTTGCACATGCCTATGTCCTGAATGGTAATGCCTAGGTTTTCTTCTAGGGTTTTTATGGTTTTAGGTCTAACGTTTAAGTCTTTAATCCTTTTTGAATTGATTTTTGTATAAGGTGTAAGGAAGGGATCCAGTTTCAGCTTTCTCCATATGGCTAGCCAGTTTTCCCAGCACCATTTATTAAATAGGGAATCCTTTCCGCATTGCTTGTTTTTCTCAGGTTTGTCAAAGATCAGATAGTTGTAGATATGCGGCATTATTTCTGAGGGCTCTGTTCTGTTCCATTGATCTATATCTCTGTTTTGGTACAAGTACCATGCTGTTTTGGTTACTGTAGACTTGTAGTATAGTTTGAAGTCAGGTAGTGTGATGCCTCCAGCTTTGTTCTTTTGGCTTAGGATTGACTTGGCGATGCGGGCTCTTTTTTGGTTCCATATGAACTTTAAAGTGGTTTTTTCCAGTTCTGTGAAGAAAGTCATTGGCTGCTTGTTGGGGATGGCATTGAATCTGTAAATTACCTTGGGCAGTATGGCCATTTTCACGATACTGATTCTTGCTACCCATGAGCATGGAATGTTCTTCCATTTGTTTGTATCCTCTTATATTTCCTTGAGCAGTGGTTTGTAGTTCTCCTTGAAGAAGTCCTTCACATCCCTTGTAAGTTGGATTCCTAGGTATTTTATTCTCTTTGAAGCAATTGTGAATGGGAGTTCACTCATGATTTGGCTCTCTGTTTGTCTGTTGTTGGTGTATAAGAATGCTTGTGATTTTTGTACATTGATTTTGTATCCTGAGACTTTGCTGAAGTTGCTTATCAGCTTAAGGAGATTTTGGGCTGAGACAATGGGGTTTTCTAGATATACAATCATGTCGTCTGCAAACAGGGACAATTTGACTTCCTCTTTTCCTAATTGAATACCCTTTATTTCCTAAAGTTTCTTCTCTTTTCTAGTGACTCAGCAGGGTGCTTCATGAATGTGGTCTTCGAGGGCAGCTACTCTGCTGGTTTACTATCTGGGAAGACTGAGGTTCAGAGGAGTTAGAAGATTTGCCCAACCACTTCCTTTTGTTTAAGGGTCTAATCCCAACTCTTGTGTGTGAATATGACTGCATGTGCTTATACCCCTGGCAATGCTAAAATTATTCTGTGTGTTTGCTTTTTCTAATTCCTTAGGAGACTCTCTTGTTAATTAGTCTTAAGTTATTCAAATCCTTATTTCTTCCAAAGCTGAAGATTGTAATTAAATGAACATTGTGCCATTCTCTTATGATAGCATTTGTCTGTTCATCCATCTGTCCATATCCCCATCTATTTTTTCATCCACCCATCTATCTCTCCACCTTTTCATTCACCCATCTGTCTGTCCATCCTTCCATCCAACCACCCATCTATTCATCTGTCTACCTATCCATCCATCCACCTGTCTATCCATCTGCCCACCCACCCATTCATTCACCCATCCATCCATCTATCCATCCATCTGTTTGTCCACCCATCCATCCATTTTCCTTCTGGCAAGGAAGAGCTAATATGAATCTAAATGTGCCTATCATGGTCCCTTTCTGAGGCTGCTATTACAAATGGGATGTGGCATTTTGGAAAAACTTGACAACTTATCCTTCATTTTACAGAAAGTTTCCCATGCCGTTTGTGTCTTTCCCTCCCAGGAATGTGAGCCGCCTTCCAACAGCAATATCACAGCATTCGCCCTGAAGGCCAAAGTCATCTACCCCATCAATCAGAAGTTCCGGGTGAGAGTCCTGAGCTCCATCATAGAAAGCCAGTTACTTCCGTCATGTGCCAGAGATTGGGAGGAAAGTGGGGGGATTAACTGTGTGATGTTTGGTCCTGTTTGAGGGTTTTATGGCAAGTCATTTTAGTAGGGATAGTTTTGAGGCTCAGGAACAGGACATGCCCATGGTAACCACGGTACGGAAGTTCCATGGTTCCTTGTATCCCCAGGGACACGAGGTAACAGCACAGTAGGACAGCTCCCTCTCTGCCTTTTTAACACTAATACAAACACTGATACCGACTCAGTTCTGAGCGCTAATCCTCATTCACAGAGCCCTGGACTAATAATGCCAGCAGCTGGCACTTACTGAACACTTATGTGGACAGGGCCAGTGTTGTGTTAAGTATTTGTCATGCATCAGGCGTTTCAACTTGGTGTTATGCCTATCAGGTAAATAATGTCTCCACTTTACACGTAAGGAAACTGAGGCCCAGAGAGGCGAGTGACCTGAGGTCACGTGACAGGAAGTGGCAGAGCCAGAGTCAGACCCCAACACCTGGCTATGGTTACACCTTCCATGGCGCTTCCAGGAGCCCTCAGCCTGGGAGGTGCTTTGTGCAAAAAAGTTTCCTAGTGAAATAAGTTTGGGAAAATGTGGCTTGCTTTCTTGGTATTCAGGATGACGAGCTCTGGAGTCACAGCATCTCAGTCCTAACCCCATCTCAGCCATTCACTGTGTGGCGTTTCCTGACTTCTCCTGCCTCAGTCTGTTTATCTGTCAAATGGGGATGATGGTGCTCCTGCCTCGCCCAGTTGTTTTGGGTGTTACACAAGATAACATACATGAGGGCTCAGAACAGTGCACAACATCTGAGCACTCACAACATGTTAGGATCTTGTCAATTATTATTTGCTTTTGAAGACACCCAAAGCCTATTGGAGGTTCTGAGAATTCCTGCACCAAAGGAATATTTCACCTTGTTTAACACAAGCTTTACCGAACTAATTTTTCCATGGAAACTTTGTGGTGAGCAGTAACTGGCTCAAGGAGCTGTTCCCTGGAACCCACATTGGGAACCACATCCTTCACGTGGTTGAAGGGTGGGACGGGTGGGTGGATGAAGGGCATTTCTCCATCCTCTGGGTAGGCCCTGCGTGGGCCCTGGGGATCACGCCATAGTCAGCAGAGCGTCAGCCCCACCCTGGAGGCCCTCACTGCCTGAGTGGATTGAAATACACCGAGAATGCAGGACAGTGCATGATGAAATAGGCAAGAGGCAGATCCCCAGGGACCTGTGGAGCCAGTATGGGGTCCAGGATCCACGCCTGGAGGAAGGGACGCTTCTGCCCAGCAAACAACAAATGGGGGGTGTTTCAGGTAGGGGGACCAAAGTCTGGAAAGGCCAGAATTATGAAGTCACCAGGAGCGTCTAAGCCAGAGCCACTTCACTGTGGCTCGGGCAGCCAGAGGTGGAGGCTGACATTTGCTGGGCCCTCTAGCCATGCCAGGCCCCAGGCTGTGACCTCCTGTGGGCGTGGTGTGCATGGTGTGCATGGTGTTCCAGCTTCTTGATTAGGAGCGTGGAGCCTGTCGGTGGGCAGAGGGCAGGAGGGTGACTCCTGCTCTGTGCAGGCGAAGGACAGGTGGTTGGCAGGATTCGTGGAGGGAGCAGGCCAGGGGGTCAGCAGCAAGGAGAGAACTGGGTCAGGGCAAGCGGTGGCTATGGAGGAGGTAGGTCAGAGTTGGCAGCTGGGAGGAGGGTGCGCTGGGTGTCCGGGGCACAGATCCAGGTTGGCAGTTTAGGGGAAGGAACCTGGTGCAGAGGGGCTGGCCTTGTGAGGACAAGTGAACTGTGATTCGGGCCTCTGGGCTGTCGATGTGGCAGAACCTGGGACGGAAACTCTGTGGTGTCTGCTGGCACCCTGGCCAGTCTCCTCCAGGCAGACCTTCCTGTGAGCGGCTAGCGTGAATCACTGGTAGAATTATGAATACTAGATCAAATCCCAGAGGCATCACATGGACTGAGTGTGACTCCTACTGCCACCCCAGCCTCTGGCCGATGGCTCCTCCAACCCGTCTCTGCATGAAAACTTAAAGCAGGCTGTTTTGCCACACCAGCCGGTAGAGGCCTCTCCTTCCAGCAGTCTGGGGAGCCTGAGCCAGGGTGAGAAGGACGACTGCAGCTCCTCATCCAGCGTCCACTCGGCCACCAGCGATGACAGGTTTCTCAGCCGCACCTTCCTCCGGGTGAACGCCTTCCCTGAAGTGCTGGCCTGCGAGAGGTAAGGAGAGCGGGCAATGGAGGATGAGGCTTCCAGTCCTCTTGGAGTGGGCCGGGAGTCACATCATTGTCAGAGGAGGAAACAGAGGCCCAGAGAGGTTCAGTGACTCTGCCAGGGACACACAGCGACCCAGCGTCACCATCGGAGCCCCAGAGGCCTTTGTCACTTCCTGTGCTGTATTGCCCAACACTGGGGTTATGGAGTCAGGCCTGAGCCCCGGGGAGAGATGACAGGGAGGCCTCATTTAATCACTGGCGTGCTCCCAGCTACTGGCGAAGTTGATTAAGTGGGTACTTCTGAGTACCGGGCAGAGTGCTAAGCACTTTACAGGGATTGATGATCTCATGAGGATTTTGCCCAGTGAGGGGGATCCTGGGACAAGTTCAGCAATCAGTAAATATTAATCAGTGAGTGAATGAATTCCGTTTAACACCCCTATGAAGTTGGTACTGTCATTTCCTCCAGTTCACAAAGAATAAAGGGAAACACAGAGAGGCTGCGTGACTTGCTGGTCACACAGCCGTGAGTGACGGAGCCGGATTTGACCCAACCCAGAGCAGGGCTCCGCACGTGGTGGGGGCTTAAGAAGCTCAGTCTGGCGGGTTCACACACCAGGCCTCAGGCCTCTCTCTGCTCCAAAATTCCGCTGAGTCCAAGAGGTGGGATGATCCAGGGCACAGCCTCTGCTCAGAGTTGCTGCAGAAACACTGGGCTCAGCACCTTGAGCCTGAAAGTGGCCCAGGCAGAAGGGACTTCGTTGAAGAGGGGCCTTCTTGGACTGGCCAGCCCTGGCTTAGAACGGCTTGCTTTCAGCATTTGGGACTTAGAGGATTTGAAACGGTTTGGGTGGG